>NC_000015.10:19352600-19725254 GCF_000001405.40 Homo sapiens
AGGTGAGAAAGGAAATGTCTTCAAATAAGAACTAGACAGAAGCATTCTCAGAAACTTATTTGTGATGTGTGTCCTCAACTGACAGAGATGAACCTTTGTTTTGATACAGCAGTTTGGAAACACTCTTTTTGTAGAATCTACAAGAGGATATTTTGAGAGCATTGAAAATTTCGTTGGAAGCGGGAAAACCTTCATATAAAATCTAGACAGCAGCATTCTCAGAAACTTCTTTGTGATGTTTGCATTCAACTCATAGAGTTGAACATTCCCATTCATACAGCAGGTTTGAGACACTCTTTGTATAGCATGTGGAAATGGATATTTGGAGCGCTTTGAGGCCTATGGTGAAGAAGGAAATATCTTCCCAAAAAAACTAGACGAAAGCATTCTCGCAATCTTGTTTGCCATGTGTGTACTCAACTAACAGAGTTGAACCTATCTTTTGACAGAGCAGTTTTGAAACACTCTTTTTGTGGAATCTGCAAGTGGATATTTGGATAGCTTCGAGGATTTCGTTGGAAACGGGAATATCCTCATTTAAAATCTAGACGGAAGCATTCTCAGAACCTGCTTTGTGATGTTTGCATTCAACTCACAGAACTGAACATTCCCGTTCATAGAGCAGGTTTGAAACACTCTTTCTGTACTATCTGGAAGTGGACATTTCGAGCGCTTTCAGGCCTATGGTGAAAAAGGAAACATCTTCAAATAAAAACTAGACAGAAGCATTCTCAGAAACTTATTTGTGATGTGTGTCCTCAACTCACAGAGTTCAACCTTTGTTTTGATACAGCAGTTTGGAAACACTCTTTTTGTAGAATCTACAAATGGATATTTGGAGAACTTTGAAAATTTCGTTGGACACGGGAATATCTTCATATAAAATCTAGACAAAAGCATTCTCAGAATCTTCTTTGTGATGTTTGCATTCAACTGATAGAGTTGAACATTCCCTTTCATACAGCACGTTTGAAACACACTTTGTGGAGTATGTGGAAATGGACATTTCGAGCACTCTTAGGCCTAAGGTGAAAAGGGAAATATCTTCAAATAAAAACTAGTCAGCAGCATTCTCAGAAACCTCTTTGTGATGTGTGTACTCAACTAACAGAGTTGAACCTTCCTTTTCACAGAGCAGTTTGGAAACACTCTTTTTGTGGCATTTGCAAGTGGATATTTGGATAGCTTTGAGGATTTCGTTGGAAACGGGAATATTTTCATATAAAATCTAGACAGAAGCATTCTCAGAATCTTCTTTGTGATGTATGCCCTCAATTCACAGAGTTGAACCTTTGTTTGGATACAGCATTTTGGAAACATTCCTTTTGTAGAATCTGCAAGTTGATATTTGGATAGCTTTGAGGATTTTCGTTGGAAACGGGAATATCTACATATAAAATCTAGACAGAAGCATTCTCAGAAACCTCTTTGTAATGCTTGCATTCAACTCATAGGTTTCAACATTCCCTATCATAGAGCAGGTTTGAAACACTCTTTTTGTAGTATGTGGAAGTGGACATTTGGAGCGCTTTGAGGCCTACGGTGAAAAAGGAAATATCTTCCCATAAAAACTAGACAGAAGCATTCTCAGAAACTTGTTTGTGACGTGTGTATTCAACTAACAGAGTTGAACCTTTCTTTTTACAGAGCAGCTTTGAAACCCTGTTTCTGTGGAATCTGCAATTGGAAATTTCGATAGTTCTGAGGATTTCGTTGGAAACGGGATTACAAATAGAAAGTAGACAGCAGCATTCTCAGAAACTGCTTTGTGATGTTTGCATTCAAGTCACCTAGTTGAACATTCCCTTTCATAGAGCAGGTTTGAATCACTGTTTCTGTAGTATCTGGAAGTGGGTATTTCGAGCGCTTTCAGGCCTAAGGTGAGAAAGGAAATGTCTTCAAATAAGAACTAGACAGAAGCATTCTCAGAAACTTATTTGTGATGTGTGTCCTCAACTAACAGAGTTGAACCTTTCTTTTGACACAGCAGTTTGAAAACACTCTTTTTGTAGAATCTACAAGTGGATATTTTGAGAGCATTGAAAATTTCGTTGGAAACGGGAAAACCTTCATATAAAATCTAGACAGAAGCATTCTCAGAAACTTCTTTGTAATGTTTGCATTCAACTCATAGAGTTGAACATTCCCTTTCATACAGCAGGTTTGAAACACTCTTTTTGTAGTATGTGGAAGTGGACATTTGGAGCGCTTTGAGGCCTACGGTGAAAAAGGAAATATCTTCCCATAAAAACTAGACAGAAGCATTCTCAGAAACTTGTTTGTGACGTGTGTATTCAACTAACAGAGTTGAACCTTTCTTTTTACAGAGCAGCTTTGAAACCCTGTTTCTGTGGAATCTGCAATTGGAAATTTCGATAGTTCTGAGGATTTCGTTGGAAACGGGATTACAAATAGAAAGTAGACAGCAGCATTCTCAGAAACTGCTTTGTGATGTTTGCATTCAAGTCACCTAGTTGAACATTCCCTTTCATAGAGCAGGTTTGAATCACTGTTTCTGTAGTATCTGGAAGTGGGTATTTCGAGCGCTTTCAGGCCTAAGGTGAGAAAGGAAATGTCTTCAAATAAGAACTAGACAGAAGCATTCTCAGAAACTTATTTGTGATGTGTGTCCTCAACTAACAGAGATGAACCTTTGTTTTGATACAGCAGTTTGGAAACACTCTTTTTGTAGAATCTACAAGAGGATATTTTGAGAACATTGAAAATTTCGTTGGAAGCGGGAAAACCTTCATATAAAATCTAGACAGCAGCATTCTCAGAAACTTCTTTGTGATGTTTGCATTCAACTCATAGAGTTGAACATTCCCATTCATACAGCAGGTTTGAGACACTCTTTGTATATCATGTGGAAATGGATATTTGGAGCGCTTTGAGGCCTATGGTGAAGAAGGAAATATCTTCCCAAAAAAACTAGACGAAAGCATTCTCGGAATCTTGTTTGCCATGTGTGTACTCAACTAACAGAGTTGAACCTATCTTTTGAGAGAGCAGTTTTGAAACACTCTTTCTGTGGAATCTGCAAGTGGATATTTGGATAGCTTCGAGGATTTCGTTGGAAACGGGAATATCCTCATTTAAAATCTAGACGGAAGCATTCTCAGAACCTGCTTTGTGATGTTTGCATTCAACTCACAGAGCTGAACATTCCCGTTCATAGAGCAGGTTTGAAACACTCTTTCTGTACTATCTGGAAGTGGACATTTCGAGCGCTTTCAGGCCTATGGTGAAAAAGGAAACATCTTCAAATAAAAACTAGACAGAAGCATTCTCAGAAACTTATTTGTGATGTGTGTCCTCAACTCACAGAGTTCAACCTTTGTTTTGATACAGCAGTTTGGAAGCACTCTTTTTGTAGAATCTACAAATGGATATTTGGAGACCTTTGAAAATTTCGTTGGACACGGGAATATCTTCATATAAAATCTAGACAAAAGCATTCTCAGAATCTTCTTTGTGATGTTTGCATTCAACTCATAGAGTTGAACATTCCCTTTCATACAGCACGTTTGAAACACACTTTGTGGAGTATGTGGAAATGGACATTTCGAGCACTCTTAGGCCTAAGGTGAAAAGGGAAATATCTTCAAATAAAAACTAGTCAGCAGCATTCTCAGAAACCTCTTTGTGATGTGTGTACTCAACTAACAGAGTTGAACCTTCCTTTTCACAGAGCAGTTTGGAAACACTCTTTTTGTGGCATTTGCAAGTGGATATTTGGATAGCTTTGAGGATTTCATTGGAAACGGGAATATTTTCATATAAAATGTAGACAGAAGCATTCTCAGAATCTTCTTTGTGATGTATGCCCTCAATTCACAGAGTTGAACCTTTGTTTGGATACAGCATTTTGGAAACATTCCTTTTGTAGAATCTGCAAGTTGATATTTGGATAGCTTTGAGGATTTCGTTGGAAACGGGAATATCTATCTACATATAAAATCTAGACAGAAGCATTCTCAGAAACTTCTTTGTAATGCTTGCATTCAACTCATAGGTTTCAACATTCCCTATCATAGAGCAGGTTTGAAACACTCTTTTTGTAGTATGTGGAAGTGGACATTTGGAGCGCTTTGAGGCCTACGGTGAAAAAGGAAATATCTTCCCATAAAAACTAGACAGAAGCATTCTCAGAAACTTGTTTGTGACGTGTGTATTCAACTAACAGAGTTGAACCTTTCTTTTTACAGAGCAGCTTTGAAACACGCTTTTTGTGGAATCTGCAATTGGAAATTTCGATAGTTCTGAGGATTTCGTTGGAAACGGGATTACAAATAGAAAGTAGACAGCAGCATTCTCAGAAAATGCTTTGTGATGTTTGCATTCAAGTCACCTAGTTGAACATTCCCTTTCATAGAGCAGGTTTGAATCACTGTTTCTGTCGTATCTGGAAGTGGATATTTCGAGCGTTTTCAGGCCTAAGGTGAGAAAGGAAATGTCTTCAAATAAGAACTAGACAGAAGCATTCTCAGAAACTTATTTGTGATGTGTGTCCTCAACTAACAGAGATGAACCTTTGTTTTGATACAGCAGTTTGGAAACACTCTTTTTGTAGAATCTACAAGAGGATATTTTGAGAGCATTGAAAATTTCGTTGGAAGCGGGAAAACCTTCATATAAAATCTAGACAGCAGCATTCTCAGAAACTTCTTTGTGATGTTTGCATTCAACTCATAGAGTTGAACATTCCCATTCATACAGCAGGTTTGAGACACTCTTTGTATAGCATGTGGAAATGGATATTTGGAGCGTTTTGAGGCCTATGGTGAAGAAGGAAATATCTTCCCAAAAAAACTAGACGAAAGAGCATTCTCGGAATCTTGTTTGCCATGTGTGTACTCAACTAACAGAGTTGAACCTATCTTTTGACAGAGCAGTTTTGAAACACTCTTTTTGTGGAATCTGCAAATGGATATTTGTATAGCTTCGAGGACTTCGTTGGAAACGGGAATATCCTCATATAATATCTAGACGGAAGCATTCTCGGAACCTGCTTTGTGATGTTTGCATTCAACTCACAGAGCTGAACATTCCCGTTCATAGAGCAGGTTTGAAACACTCTTTCTGTACTATCTGGAAGTGGACATTTCGAGCGCTTTCAGGCCTATGGTGAAAAAGGAAACATCTTCAAATAAAAACTAGACAGAAGCATTCTCAGAAACTTATTTGTGATGTGTGTCCTCAACTCACAGAGTTCAACCTTTGTTTTGATACAGCAGTTTGGAAACACTCTTTTTGTAGAATCTACAAATGGATATTTGGAGACCTTTGAAAATTTTCGTTGGACACGGGAATATCTTCATATAAAATCTAGACAAAAGCATTCTCAGAAACTTCTTTGTAATGTTTGCATTCAACTCATAGAGTTGAACATTGCCTTTCATAAAGCACGTTTGAAACACACTTTGTGGAGTATGTGGAAATGGACATTTCGAGCACTCTTAGGCCTAAGGTGAAAAGGGAAATATCTTCAAATAAAAACTAGTCAGCCAGCATTCTCAGAAACCTCTTTGTGATGTGTGTACTCAACTAACAGAGTTGAACCTTCCTTTTCACAGAGCAGTTTGGAAACACACTTTTTGTGGCATTTGCAAGTGGATATTTGGATAGCTTTGAGGATTTCGTTGGAAACGGGAATATTTTCATATAAAATCTAGACAGAGCATTCTCAGAATCTTCTTTGTGATGTATGCCCTCAATTCACAGAGTTGAACCTTTGTTTGGATACAGCATTTTGGAAACATTCCTTTTGTAGAATCTGCAAGTTGATATTTGGATAGCTTTGAGGATTTCGTTGGAAACGGGAATATCTACATATAAAATCTAGACAGAAGCATTCTCAGAAACCTCTTTGTAATGTTTGCATTCAACTCATAGGTTTCAACATTCCCTATCATAGAGCAGGTTTGAAACACTCTTTTTGTAGTATGTGGAAGTGGACATTTGGAGCGCTTTGAGGCCTACGGTGAAAAAGGAAATATCTTCCCATAAAAACTAGACAGAAGCATTCTCAGAAACTTGTTTGTGACGTGTGTATTCAACTAACAGAGTTGAACCTTTCTTTTTACAGAGCAGCTTTGAAACCCTGTTTCTGTGGAATCTGCAATTGGAAATTTCGATAGTTCTGAGGATTTCGTTGGAAACGGGATTACAAATAGAAAGTAGACAGCAGCATTCTCAGAAACTGCTTTGTGATGTTTGCATTCAAGTCACATAGTTGAACATTCCCTTTCATAGAGCAGGTTTGAATCACTGTTTCTGTAGTATCTGGAAGTGGGTATTTCGAGCGCTTTCAGGCCTAAGGTGAGAAAGGAAATGTCTTCAAATAAGAACTAGACAGAAGCATTCTCAGAAACTTATTTGTGATGTGTGTCCTCAACTAACAGAGATGAACCTTTGTTTTGATACAGCAGTTTGGAAACACTCTTTTTGTAGAATCTACAAGAGGATATTTTGAGAGCATTGAAAATTTCGTTGGAAGCGGGAAAACCTTCATATAAAATCTAGACAGCAGCATTCTCAGAAACTTCTTTGTGATGTTTGCATTCAACTCATAGAGTTGAACATTCCCATTCATACAGCAGGTTTGAGACACTCTTTGTATAGCATGTGGAAATGGATATTTGGAGCGCTTTGAGGCCTATGGTGAAGAAGGAAATATCTTCCCAAAAAAACTAGACGAAAGCATTCTCGCAATCTTGTTTGCCATGTGTGTACTCAACTAACAGAGTTGAACCTATCTTTTGACAGAGCAGTTTTGAAACACTCTTTTTGTGGAATCTGCAAGTGGATATTTGGATAGCTTCGAGGATTTCGTTGGAAACGGGAATATCCTCATTTAAAATCTAGACGGAAGCATTCTCAGAACCTGCTTTGTGATGTTTGCATTCAACTCACAGAGCTGAACATTCCCGTTCATAGAGCAGGTTTGAAACACTCTTTCTGTACTATCTGGAAGTGGACATTTCGAGCGCTTTCAGGCCTATGGTGAAAAAGGAAACATCTTCAAATAAAAACTAGACAGAAGCATTCTCAGAAACTTATTTGTGATGTGTGTCCTCAACTCACAGAGTTCAACCTTTGTTTTGATACAGCAGTTTGGAAACACTCTTTTTGTAGAATCTACAAATGGATATTTGGAGAACTTTGAAAATTTCGTTGGACACGGGAATATCTTCATATAAAATCTAGACAAAAGCATTCTCAGAATCTTCTTTGTGATGTTTGCATTCAACTGATAGAGTTGAACATTCCCTTTCATACAGCACGTTTGAAACACACTTTGTGGAGTATGTGGAAATGGACATTTCGAGCACTCTTAGGCCTAAGGTGAAAAGGGAAATATCTTCAAATAAAAACTAGTCAGCAGCATTCTCAGAAACCTCTTTGTGATGTGTGTACTCAACTAACAGAGTTGAACCTTCCTTTTCACAGAGCAGTTTGGAAACACTCTTTTTGTGGCATTTGCAAGTGGATATTTGGATAGCTTTGAGGATTTCGTTGGAAACGGGAATATTTTCATATAAAATCTAGACAGAAGCATTCTCAGAATCTTCTTTGTGATGTATGCCCTCAATTCACAGAGTTGAACCTTTGTTTGGATACAGCATTTTGGAAACATTCCTTTTGCAGAATCTGCAAGTTGATATTTGGATAGCTTTGAGGATTTCGTTGGAAACGGGAATATCTACATATAAAATCTAGACAGAAGCATTCTCAGAAACCTCTTTGTAATGCTTGCATTCAACTCATAGGTTTCAACATTCCCTATCATAGAGCAGGTTTGAAACACTCTTTTTGTAGTATGTGGAAGTGGACATTTGGAGCGCTTTGAGGCCTACCGTGATAAAGGAAATATCTTCCCATAAAAACTAGACAGAAGCATTCTCAGAAACTTGTTTGTGACGTGTGTATTCAACTAACAGAGTTGAACCTTTCTTTTTACAGAGCAGCTTTGAAACACGCTTTTTGTGGAATCTGCAATTGGAAATTTCGATAGTTCTGAGGATTTCGTTGGAAACGGGATTACAAATAGAAAGTAGACAGCAGCATTCTCAGAAACTGCTTTGTGATGTTTGCATTCAAGTCACCTAGTAGAACATTCCCTTTCATAGAGCAGGTTTGAATCACTGTTTCTGTCGTATCTGGAAGTGGATATTTCGAGCGTTTTCAGGCCTAAGGTGAGAAAGGAAATGTCTTCAAATAAGAACTAGACAGAAGCATTCTCAGAAACTTATTTGTGATGTGTGTCCTCAACTAACAGAGTTGAACCTTTCTTTTGACACAGCAGTTTGGAAACACTCTTTTTGTAGAATCTACAAGTGGATATTTTGAGAGCATTGAAAATTTCGTTGGAAACGGGAAAACCTTCATATAAAATCTAGACAGAAGCATTCTCAGAAACTTCTTTGTAATGTTTGCATTCAACTCATAGAGTTGAACATTCCCTTTCATACAGCAGGTTTGAAACACTCTTTTTGTAGTATGTGGAAGTGGACATTTGGAGCGCTTTGAGGCCTACGGTGAAAAAGGAAATATCTTCCCATAAAAACTAGACAGAAGCATTCTCAGAAACTTGTTTGTGACGTGTGTATTCAACTAACAGAGTTGAACCTTTCTTTTTACAGAGCAGCTTTGAAACCCTGTTTCTGTGGAATCTGCAATTGGAAATTTCGATAGTTCTGAGGATTTCGTTGGAAACGGGATTACAAATAGAAAGTAGACAGCAGCATTCTCAGAAACTGCTTTGTGATGTTTGCATTCAAGTCACCTAGTTGAACATTCCCTTTCATAGAGCAGGTTTGAATCACTGTTTCTGTAGTATCTGGAAGTGGGTATTTCGAGCGCTTTCAGGCCTAAGGTGAGAAAGGAAATGTCTTCAAATAAGAACTAGACAGAAGCATTCTCAGAAACTTATTTGTGATGTGTGTCCTCAACTAACAGAGATGAACCTTTGTTTTGATACAGCAGTTTGGAAACACTCTTTTTGTAGAATCTACAAGAGGATATTTTGAGAGCATTGAAAATTTCGTTGGAAGCGGGAAAACCTTCATATAAAATCTAGACAGCAGCATTCTCAGAAACTTCTTTGTGATGTTTGCATTCAACTCATAGAGTTGAACATTCCCATTCATACAGCAGGTTTGAGACACTCTTTGTATAGCATGTGGAAATGGATATTTGGAGCGCTTTGAGGCCTATGGTGAAGAAGGAAATATCTTCCCAAAAAAACTAGACGAAAGCATTCTCGGAATCTTGTTTGCCATGTGTGTACTCAACTAACAGAGTTGAACCTATCTTTTGACAGAGCAGTTTTGAAACACTCTTTTTGTGGAATCTGCAAGTGGATATTTGGATAGCTTCGAGGATTTCGTTGGAAACGGGAATATCCTCATTTAAAATCTAGACGGAAGCATTCTCAGAACCTGCTTTGTGATGTTTGCATTCAACTCACAGAGCTGAACATTCCCGTTCATAGAGCAGGTTTGAAACACTCTTTCTGTACTATCTGGAAGTGGACATTTCGAGCGCTTTCAGGCCTATGGTGAAAAAGGAAATATCTTCAAATAAAAACTAGACAGAAGCATTCTCAGAAACTTATTTGTGATGTGTGTCCTCAACTCACAGAGTTCAACCTTTGTTTTGATACAGCAGTTTGGAAACACTCTTTTTGTAGAATCTACAAATGGATATTTGGAGACCTTTGAAAATTTCGTTGGACACGGGAATATCTTCATATAAAATCTAGACAAAAGCATTCTCAGAATCTTCTTTGTGATGTTTGCATTCAACTCATAGCAGTTGAACATTCCCTTTCATACAGCACGTTTGAAACACACTTTGTGGAGTATGTGGAAATGGACATTTCGAGCACTCTTAGGCCTAAGGTGAAAAGGGAAATATCTTCAAATAAAAACTAGTCAGCAGCATTCTCAGAAACCTCTTTGTGATGTGTGTACTCAACTAACAGAGTTGAACCTTCCTTTTCACAGAGCAGTTTGGAAACACTCTTTTTGTGGCATTTGCAAGTGGATATTTGGATAGCTTTGAGGATTTCGTTGGAAACGGGAATATTTTCATATAAAATCTAGACAGAAGCATTCTCAGAATCTTCTTTGTGATGTATGCCCTCAATTCACAGAGTTGAACCTTTGTTTGGATACAGCATTTTGGAAACATTCCTTTTGTAGAATCTGCAAGTTGATATTTGGATAGCTTTGAGGATTTCGTTGGAAACGGGAATATCTACATATAAAATACTAGACAGAAGCATTCTCAGAAACCTCTTTGTAATGCTTGCATTCAACTCATAGGTTTCAACATTCCCTATCATAGAGCAGGTTTGAAACACTCTTTTTGTAGTATGTGGAAGTGGACATTTGGAGCGCTTTGAGGCCTACGGTGAATAAAGGAAATATCTTCCCATAAAAACTAGACAGAAGCATTCTCAGAAACTTGTTTGTGACGTGTGTATTCAACTAACAGAGTTGAACCTTTCTTTTTACAGAGCAGCTTTGAAACACGCTTTTTGTGGAATCTGCAATTGGAAATTTCGATAGTTCTGAGGATTTCGTTGGAAACGGGATTACAAATAGAAAGTAGACAGCAGCATTCTCAGAAACTGCTTTGTGATGTTTGCATTCAAGTCACCTAGTTGAACATTCCCTTTCATAGAGCAGGTTTGAATCACTGTTTCTGTCGTATCTGGAAGTGGATATTTCGAGCGTTTTCAAGCCTAAGGTGAGAAAGGAAATGTCTTCAAATAAGAACTAGACAGAAGCATTCTCAGAAACTTATTTGTGATGTGTGTCCTCAACTAACAGAGTTGAACCTTTCTTTTGACACAGCAGTTTGGAAACACTCTTTTTGTAGAATCTACAAGTGGATATTTTGAGAGCATTGAAAATTTCGTTGGAAACGGGAAAACCTTCATATAAAATCTAGACAGAAGCATTCTCAGAAACTTCTTTGTAATGTTTGCATTCAACTCATAGAGTTGAACATTCCCTTTCATACAGCAGGTTTGAAACACTCTTTCTGTAGTATGTGGAAGTGGACATTTGGAGCGCTTTGAGGCCTACGGTGAAAAAGGAAGTATCTTCCCATAAAAACTAGACAGAAGCATTCTCAGAAACTTGTTTGTGACGTGTGTATTCAACTAACAGAGTTGAACCTTTCTTTTTACAGAGCAGCTTTGAAACCCTGTTTCTGTGGAATCTGCAATTGGAAATTTCGATAGTTCTGAGGATTTCGTTGGAAACGGGATTACAAATAGAAAGTAGACAGCAGCATTCTCAGAAACTGCTTTGTGATGTTTGCATTCAAGTCACATAGTTGAACATTCCCTTTCATAGAGCAGGTTTGAATCACTGTTTCTGTCGTATCTGGAAGTGGGTATTTCGAGCGCTTTCAGGCCTAAGGTGAGAAAGGAAATGTCTTCAAATAAGAACTAGACAGAAGCATTCTCAGAAACTTATTTGTGATGTGTGTCCTCAACTAACAGAGATGAACCTTTGTTTTGATACAGCAGTTTGGAAACACTCTTTTTGTAGAATCTACAAGAGGATATTTTGAGAGCATTGAAAATTTCGTTGGAAGCGGGAAAACCTTCATATAAAATCTAGACAGCAGCATTCTCAGAAACTTCTTTGTGATGTTTGCATTCAACTCATAGAGTTGAACATTCCCATTCATACAGCAGGTTTGAGACACTCTTTGTATAGCATGTGGAAATGGATATTTGGAGCGCTTTGAGGCCTATGGTGAAGAAGGAAATATCTTCCCAAAAAAACTAGACGAAAATCATTCTCGGAATCTTGTTTGCCATGTGTGTACTCAACTAACAGAGTTGAACCTATCTTTTGACAGAGCAGTTTTGAAACACTCTTTTTGTGGAATCTGCAAATGGATATTTGGATAGCTTCGAGGATTTCGTTGGAAACGGGAATATCCTCATTTAAAATCTAGACGGAAGCATTCTCAGAACCTGCTTTGTGATGTTTGCATTCAACTCACAGAGCTGAACATTCCCGTTCATAGAGCAGGTTTGAAACACTCTTTCTGTACTATCTGGAAGTGGACATTTCGAGCGCTTTCAGGCCTATGGTGAAAAAGGAAACATCTTCAAATAAAAACTAGACAGAAGCATTCTCAGAAACTTATTTGTGATGTGTGTCCTCAACTCACAGAGTTCAACCTTTGTTTTGATACAGCAGTTTGGAAACACTCTTTTTGTAGAATCTACAAATGGATATTTGGAGACCTTTGAAAATTTCGTTGGACACGGGAATATCTTCATATAAAATCTAGACAAAAGCATTCTCAGAGTCTTCTTTGTGATGTTTGCATTCAACTCATAGAGTTGAACATTCCCTTTCATACAGCACGTTTGAAACACACTTTGTGGAGTATGTGGAAATGGACATTTCGAGCACTCTTAGGCCTAAGGTGAAAAGGGAAATATCTTCAAATAAAAACTAATCAGCAGCGTTCTCAGAAACCTCTTTGTGATGTGTGTACTCAACTAACAGAGTTGAACCTTCCTTTTCATAGAGCAGTTTGGAAACACTCTTTTTGTGGCATTTGCAAGTGGATATTTGGATAGCTTTGAGGATTTCGTTGGAAACGGGAATATTTTCATATAAAATCTAGACAGAAGCATTCTCAGAATCTTCTTTGTGATGTATGCCCTCAATTCACAGAGTTGAACCTTTGTTTGGATACAGCATTTTGGAAACATTCCTTTTGTAGAATCTGCAAGTTGATATTTGGATAGCTTTGAGGATTTCGTTGGAAACGGGAATATCTACATATAAAATCTAGACAGAAGCATTCTCAGAAACCTCTTTGTAATGCTTGCATTCAACTCATAGGTTTCAACATTCCCTATCATAGAGCAGGTTTGAAACACTCTTTTTGTAGTATGTGAAAGTGGACATTTGGAGCGCTTTGAGGCCTACGGTGAAAAAGGAAATATCTTCCCATAAAAACTAGACAGAAGCATTCTCAGAAACTTGTTTGTGACGTGTGTATTCAACTAACAGAGTTGAACCTTTCTTTTTACAGAGCAGCTTTGAAACACGCTTTTTGTGGAATCTGCAATTGGAAATTTCGATAGTTCTGAGGATTTCGTTGGAAACGGGATTACAAATAGAGAGTAGACAGCAGCATTCTCAGAAACTTATTTGTGATGTGTGTCCTCAACTAACAGAGTTGAACCTTTCTTTTGACACAGCAGTTTGGAAACACTCTTTTTGTAGAATCTACAAGTGGATATTTTGAGAGCATTGAAAATTTCGTTGGAAACGGGAAAACCTTCATATAAAATCTAGACAGAAGCATTCTCAGAAACTTCTTTGTAATGTTTGCATTCAACTCATAGAGTTGAACATTCCCTTTCATACAGCAGGTTTGAAACACCCTTTTTGTAGTATGTGGAAGTGGACATTTGGAGCGCTTTGAGGCCTACGGTGAAAAAGGAAATATCTTCCCATAAAAACTAGACAGAAGCATTCTCAGAAACTTGTTTGTGACGTGTGTATTCAACTAACAGAGTTGAACCTTTCTTTTTACAGAGCAGCTTTGAAACCCTGTTTCTGTGGAATCTGCAATTGGAAATTTCGATAGTTCTGAGGATTTCGTTGGAAACGGGATTACAAATAGAAAGTAGACAGCAAGCATTCTCAGAAACTGCTTTGTGATGTTTGCATTCAAGTCACATAGTTGAACATTCCCTTTCATAGAGCAGGTTTGAATCACTGTTTCTGTAGTATCTGGAAGTGGGTATTTCGAGCGCTTTCAGGCCTAAGGTGAGAAAGGAAATGTCTTCAAATAAGAACTAGACAGAAGCATTCTCAGAAACTTATTTGTGATGTGTGTCCTCAACTAACAGAGATGAACCTTTGTTTTGATACAGCAGTTTGGAAACACTCTTTTTGTAGAATCTACAAGAGGATATTTTGAGAGCATTGAAAATTTCGTTGGAAGCGGGAAAACCTTCATATAAAATCTAGACAGCAGCATTCTCAGAAACTTCTTTGTGATGTTTGCATTCAACTCATAGAGTTGAACATTCCCATTCATACAGCAGGTTTGAGACACTCTTTGTATAGCATGTGGAAATGGATATTTGGAGCGCTTTGAGGCCTATGGTGAAGAAGGAAATATCTTCCCAAAAAAACTAGACGAAAGCATTCTCGGAATCTTGTTTGCCATGTGTGTACTCAACTAACAGAGTTGAACCTATCTTTTGACAGAGCAGTTTTGAAACACTCTTTTTGTGGAATCTGCAAGTGGATATTTGGATAGCTTCGAGGATTTCGTTGGAAACGGGAATATCCTCATTTAAAATCTAGACGGAAGCATTCTCAGAACCTGCTTTGTGATGTTTGCATTCAACTCACAGAGCTGAACATTCCCGTTCATAGAGCAGGTTTGAAACACTCTTTCTGTACTATCTGGAAGTGGACATTTCGAGCGCTTTCAGGCCTATGGTGAAAAAGGAAACATCTTCAAATAAAAACTAGACAGAAGCATTCTCAGAAACTTATTTGTGATGTGTGTCCTCAACTCACAGAGTTCAACCTTTGTTTTGATACAGCAGTTTGGAAACACTCTTTTTGTAGAATCTACAAATGGATATTTGGAGACCTTTGAAAATTTCGTTGGACACGGGAATATCTTCATATAAAATCTAGACAAAAGCATTCTCAGAGTCTTCTTTGTGATGTTTGCATTCAACTCATAGAGTTGAACATTCCCTTTCATACAGCACGTTTGAAACACACTTTGTGGAGTATGTGGAAATGGACATTTCGAGCACTCTTAGGCCTAAGGTGAAAAGGGAAATATCTTCAAATAAAAACTAGTCAGCAGCATTCTCAGAAACCTCTTTGTGATGTGTGTACTCAACTAACAGAGTTGAACCTTCCTTTTCACAGAGCAGTTTGGAAACACTCTTTTTGTGGCATTTGCAAGTGGATATTTGGATAGCTTTGAGGATTTCGTTGGAAACGGGAATATTTTCATATAAAATCTAGACAGAAGCATTCTCAGAATCTTCTTTGTGATGTATGCCCTCAATTCACAGAGTTGAACCTTTGTTTGGATACAGCATTTTGGAAACATTCCTTTTGCAGAATCTGCAAGCTGATATTTGGATAGCTTTGAGGATTTCGTTGGAAACGGGAATATCTACATATAAAATCTAGACAGAAGCATTCTCAGAAACCTCTTTGTAATGCTTGCATTCAACTCATAGGTTTCAACATTCCCTATCATAGAGCAGGTTTGAAACACTCTTTTTGTAGTATGTGGAAGTGGACATTTGGAGCGCTTTGAGGCCTACGGTGAAAAAGGAAATATCTTCCCATAAAAACTAGACAGAAGCATTCTCAGAAACTTGTTTGTGACGTGTGTATTCAACTAACAGAGTTGAACCTTTCTTTTTACAGAGCAGCTTTGAAACACGCTTTTTGTGGAATCTGCAATTGGAAATTTCGATAGTTCTGAGGATTTCGTTGGAAACGGGATTACAAACAGAAAGTAGACAGCAGCATTCTCAGAAACTGCTTTGTGATGTTTGCATTCAAGTCACCTAGTTGAACATTCCCTTTCATAGAGCAGGTTTGAATCACTGTTTCTGTCGTATCTGGAAGTGGATATTTCGAGCGTTTTCAGGCCTAAGGTGAGAAAGGAAATGTCTTCAAATAAGAACTAGACAGAAGCATTCTCAGAAACTTATTTGTGATGTGTGTCCTCAACTAACAGAGTTGAACCTTTCTTTTGACACAGCAGTTTGGAAACACTCTTTTTGTAGAATCTGCAAGTTGATATTTTGAGAGCATTGAAAATTTCGTTGGAAACGGGAATATCTACATATAAAATCTAGACAGAAGCATTCTCAGAAACTTCTTTGTAATGCTTGCATTCAACTCATAGAGTTGAACATTCCCTTTCATACAGCAGGTTTGAAACACTCTTTTTGTAGTATGTGGACGTGGACATTTGGAGCGCTTTGAGGCCTACGGTGAAAAAGGAAATATCTTCCCATAAAAACTAGACAGAAGCATTCTCAGAAACTTGTTTGTGACGTGTGTATTCAACTAACAGAGTTGAACCTTTCTTTTTACAGAGCAGCTTTGAAACCCTGTTTCTGTGGAATCTGCAATTGGAAATTTCGATAGTTCTGAGGATTTCGTTGGAAACGGGATTACAAATAGAAAGTAGACAGCAGCATTCTCAGAAACTGCTTTGTGATGTTTGCATTCAAGTCACCTAGTTGAACATTCCCTTTCATAGAGCAGGTTTGAATCACTGTTTCTGTAGTATCTGGAAGTGGGTATTTCGAGCGCTTTCAGGCCTAAGGTGAGAAAGGAAATGTCTTCAAATAAGAACTAGACAGAAGCATTCTCAGAAACCTATTTGTGATGTGTGTCCTCAACTGACAGAGTTGAACCTTTCTTTTGACACAGCAGTTTGGAAACACTCTTTTTGTAGAATCTACAAGTGGATATTTTGAGAGCATTGAAAATTTCGTTGGAAACGGGAAAACCTTCATATAAAATCTAGACAGAAGCATTCTCAGAAACTTCTTTGTAATGTTTGCATTCAACTCATAGAGTTGAACATTCCCTTTCATACAGCAGGTTTGAAACACTCTTTTTGTAGTATGTGGACGTGGACATTTGGAGCGCTTTGAGGCCTACGGTGAAAAAGGAAATATCTTCCCATAAAAACTAGACAGAAGCATTCTCAGAAACTTGTTTGTGACGTGTGTATTCAACTAACAGAGTTGAACCTTTCTTTTTACAGAGCAGCTTTGAAACCCTGTTTCTGTGGAATCTGCAATTGGAAATTTCGATAGTTCTGAGGATTTCGTTGGAAACGGGATTACAAATAGAAAGTAGACAGCAAGCATTCTCAGAAACTGCTTTGTGATGTTTGCATTCAAGTCACCTAGTTGAACATTCCCTTTCATAGAGCAGGTTTGAATCACTGTTTCTGTAGTATCTGGAAGTGGGTATTTCGAGCGCTTTCAGGCCTAAGGTGAGAAAGGAAATGTCTTCAAATAAGAACTAGACAGAAGCATTCTCAGAAACTTATTTGTGATGTGTGTCCTCAACTAACAGAGATGAACCTTTGTTTTGATACAGCAGTTTGGAAACACTCTTTTTGTAGAATCTACAAGAGGATATTTTGAGAGCATTGAAAATTTCGTTGGAAGCGGGAAAACCTTCATATAAAATCTAGACAGCAGCATTCTCAGAAACTTCTTTGTGATGTTTGCATTCAACTCATAGAGTTGAACATTCCCATTCATACAGCAGGTTTGAGACACTCTTTGTATAGCATGTGGAAATGGATATTTGGAGCGCTTTGAGGCCTATGGTGAAGAAGGAAATATCTTCCCAAAAAAACTAGACGAAGGCATTCTCGCAATCTTGTTTGCCATGTGTGTACTCAACTAACAGAGTTGAACCTATCTTTTGACAGAGCAGTTTTGAAACACTCTTTTTGTGGAATCTGCAAGTGGATATTTGGATAGCTTCGAGGATTTCGTTGGAAACGGGAATATCCTCATTTAAAATCTAGACGGAAGCATTCTCAGAACCTGCTTTGTGATGTTTGCATTCAACTCACAGAGCTGAACATTCCCGTTCATAGAGCAGGTTTGAAACACTCTTTCTGTACTATCTGGAAGTGGACATTTCGAGCGCTTTCAGGCCTATGGTGAAAAAGGAAACATCTTCAAATAAAAACTAGACAGAAGCATTCTCAGAAACTTATTTGTGATGTGTGTCCTCAACTCACAGAGTTCAACCTTTGTTTTGATACAGCAGTTTGGAAACACTCTTTTTGTAGAATCTACAAATGGATATTTGGAGACCTTTGAAAATTTCGTTGGACACGGGAATATCTTCATATAAAATCTAGACAAAAGCATTCTCAGAATCTTCTTTGTGATGTTTGCATTCAACTCATAGAGTTGAACATTACCTTTCATACAGCACGTTTGAAACACACTTTGTGGAGTATGTGGAAATGGACATTTCGAGCACTCTTAGGCCTAAGGTGAAAAGGGAAATATCTTCAAATAAAAACTAGTCAGCAGCATTCTCAGAAACCTCTTTGTGATGTGTGTACTCAACTAACAGAGTTGAACCTTCCTTTTCACAGAGCAGTTTGGAAACACTCTTTTTGTGGCATTTGCAAGTGGATATTTGGATAGCTTTGAGGATTTCGTTGGAAACGGGAATATTTTCATATAAAATCTAGACAGAAGCATTCTCAGAATCTTCTTTGTGATGTATGCCCTCAATTCACAGAGTTGAACCTTTGTTTGGATACAGCACTTTGGAAACATTCCTTTTGTAGAATCTGCAAGTTGATATTTGGATAGCTTTGAGGATTTCGTTGGAAACGGGAATATCTACATATAAAATCTAGACAGAAGCATTCTCAAAAACCTCTTTGTAATGCTTGCATTCAACTCATAGGTTTCAACATTCCCTATCATAGAGCAGGTTTGAAACACTCTTTTTGTAGTATGTGGAAGTGGACATTTGGAGCGCTTTGAGGCCTACGGTGAAAAAGGAAATATCTTCCCATAAAAACTAGACAGAAGCATTCTCAGAAACTTGTTTGTGACGTGTGTATTCAACTAACAGAGTTGAACCTTTCTTTTTACAGAGCAGCTTTGAAACACGCTTTTTGTGGAATCTGCAGTTGGAAATTTCGATAGTTCTGAGGATTTCGTTGGAAACGGGATTACAAATAGAAAGTAGACAGCAGCATTCTCAGAAACTGCTTTGTGATGTTTGCATTCAAGTCACCTAGTTGAACATTCCCTTTCATAGAGCAGGTTTGAATCACTGTTTCTGTCGTATCTGGAAGTGGATATTTCGAGCGTTTTCAGGCCTAAGGTGAGAAAGGAAATGTCTTCAAATAAGAACTAGACAGAAGCATTCTCAGAAACTTATTTGTGATGTGTGTCCTCAACTAACAGAGTTGAACCTTTCTTTTGACACAGCAGTTTGGAAACACTCTTTTTGTAGAATCTACAAGTGGATATTTTGAGAGCATTGAAAATTTCGTTGGAAACGGGAAAACCTTCATATAAAATCTAGACAGAAGCATTCTCAGAAACTTCTTTGTAATGTTTGCATTCAACTCATAGAGTTGAACATTCCCTTTCATACAGCAGGTTTGAAACACTCTTTTTGTAGTATGTGGAAGTGGACATTTGGAGCGCTTTGAGGCCTACGGTGAAAAAGGAAATATCTTCCCATAAAAACTAGACAGAAGCATTCTCAGAAACTTGTTTGTGACGTGTGTATTCAACTAACAGAGTTGAACCTTTCTTTTTACAGAGCAGCTTTGAAACCCTGTTTCTGTGGAATCTGCAATTGGAAATTTCGATAGTTCTGAGGATTTCGTTGGAAACGGGATTACAAATAGAAAGTAGACAGCAGCATTCTCAGAAACTGCTTTGTGATGTTTGCATTCAAGTCACATAGTTGAACATTCCCTTTCATAGAGCAGGTTTGAATCACTGTTTCTGTAGTATCTGGAAGTGGGTATTTCGAGCGCTTTCAGGCCTAAGGTGAGAAAGGAAATGTCTTCAAATAAGAACTAGACAGAAGCATTCTCAGAAACTTATTTGTGATGTGTGTCCTCAACTAACAGAGATGAACCTTTGTTTTGATACAGCAGTTTGGAAACACTCTTTTTGTAGAATCTACAAGAGGATATTTTGAGAGCATTGAAAATTTCGTTGGAAGCGGGAAAACCTTCATATAAAATCTAGACAGCAGCATTCTCAGAAACTTCTTTGTGATGTTTGCATTCAACTCATAGAGTTGAACATTCCCATTCATACAGCAGGTTTGAGACACTCTTTGTATAGCATGTGGAAATGGATATTTGGAGCGCTTTGAGGCCTATGGTGAAGAAGGAAATATCTTCCCAAAAAAACTAGACGAAAGCATTCTCGCAATCTTGTTTGCCATGTGTGTACTCAACTAACAGAGTTGAACCTATCTTTTGACAGAGCAGTTTTGAAACACTCTTTTTGTGGAATCTGCAAGTGGATATTTGGATAGCTTCGAGGATTTCGTTGGAAACGGGAATATCCTCATTTAAAATCTAGACGGAAGCATTCTCAGAACCTGCTTTGTGATGTTTGCATTCAACTCACAGAGCTGAACATTCCCGTTCATAGAGCAGGTTTGAAACACTCTTTCTGTACTATCTGGAAGTGGACATTTCGAGCGCTTTCAGGCCTATGGTGAAAAAGGAAACATCTTCAAATAAAAACTAGACAGAAGCATTCTCAGAAACTTATTTGTGATGTGTGTCCTCAACTCACAGAGTTCAACCTTTGTTTTGATACAGCAGTTTGGAAACAATCTTTATTTGGAGACATTTGAAAATTTCGTTGGACACGGGAATATCTTCATATAAAATCTAGACAAAAGCATTCTCAGAATCTTCTTTGTGATGTTTGCATTCAACTCATAGAGTTGAACATTCCCTTTCATACAGCACGTTTGAAACACACTTTGTGGAGTATGTGGAAATGGACATTTCGAGCACTCTTAGGCCTAAGGTGAAAAGGGAAATATCTTCAAATAAAAACTAGTCAGCAGCATTCTCAGAAACCTCTTTGTGATGTGTGTACTCAACTAACAGAGTTGAACCTTCCTTTTCACAGAGCAGTTTGGAAACACTCTTTTTGTGGCATTTGCAAGTGGATATTTGGATAGCTTTGAGGATTTCGTTGGAAACGGGAATATTTTCATATAAAATCTAGACAGAAGCATTCTCAGAATCTTCTTTGTGATGTATGCCCTCAATTCACAGAGTTGAACCTTTGTTTGGATACAGCATTTTGGAAACATTCCTTTTGTAGAATCTGCAAGTTGATATTTGGATAGCTTTGAGGATTTCGTTGGAAACGGGAATATCTACATATAAAATCTAGACAGAAGCATTCTCAGAAACCTCTTTGTAATGCTTGCATTCAACTCATAGGTTTCAACATTCCCTATCATAGAGTAGGTTTGAAACACTCTTTTTGTAGTATGTGGAAGTGGACATTTGGAGCGCTTTGAGGCCTACGGTGAAAAAGGAAATATCTTCCCATAAAAACTAGACAGAAGCATTCTCAGAAACTTGTTTGTGACGTGTGTATTCAACTAACAGAGTTGAACCTTTCTTTTTACAGAGCAGCTTTGAAACACGCTTTTTGTGGAATCTGCAATTGGAAATTTCGATAGTTCTGAGGATTTCGTTGGAAACGGGATTACAAATAGAAAGTAGACAGCAGCATTCTCAGAAACTGCTTTGTGATGTTTGCATTCAAGTCACCTAGTTGAACATTCCCTTTCATAGAGCAGGTTTGAATCACTGTTTCTGTCGTATCTGGAAGTGGATATTTCGAGCGTTTTCAGGCCTAAGGTGAGAAAGGAAATGTCTTCAAATAAGAACTAGACAGAAGCATTCTCAGAAACTTATTTGTGATGTGTGTCCTCAACTAACAGAGATGAACCTTTGTTTTGACACAGCAGTTTAGAAACACTC
The DNA here is from genome assembly GCF_000001405.40 of Homo sapiens. Classification (NCBI taxonomy): domain Eukaryota; kingdom Metazoa; phylum Chordata; class Mammalia; order Primates; family Hominidae; genus Homo; species Homo sapiens. The sequence continues at coordinate 19,374,201 of NC_000015.10, forward strand.
TTTTTGTAGAATCTACAAGAGGATATTTTGAGAGCATTGAAAATTTCATTGGAAGCGGGAAAACCTTCATATAAAATCTAGACAGCAGCATTCTCAGAAACTTCTTTGTGATGTTTGCATTCAACTCATAGAGTTGAACATTCCCATTCATACAGCAGGTTTGAGACACTCTTTGTATAGCATGTGGAAATGGATATTTGGAGCGCTTTGAGGCCTATGGTGAAGAAGGAAATATCTTCCCAAAAAAACTAGACGAAAGCATTCTCGCAATCTTGTTTGCCATGTGTGTACTCAACTAACAGAGTTGAACCTATCTTTTGACAGAGCAGTTTTGAAACACTCTTTTTGTGGAATCTGCAAGTGGATATTTGGATAGCTTCGAGGATTTCGTTGGAAACGGGAATATCCTCATTTAAAATCTAGACGGAAGCATTCTCAGAACCTGCTTTGTGATGTTTGCATTCAACTCACAGAGCTGAACATTCCCGTTCATAGAGCAGGTTTGAAACACTCTTTCTGTACTATCTGGAAGTGGACATTTCGAGCGCTTTCAGGCCTATGGTGAAAAAGGAAACATCTTCAAATAAAAACTAGACAGAAGCATTCTCAGAAACTTATTTGTGATGTGTGTCCTCAACTCACAGAGTTCAACCTTTGTTTTGATACAGCAGTTTGGAAACACTCTTTTTGTAGAATCTACAAATGGGTATTTGGAGACCTTTGAAAATTTCGTTGGACACGGGAATATCTTCATATAAAATCTAGACAAAAGCATTCTCAGAGTCTTCTTTGTGATGTTTGCATTCAACTCATAGAGTTGAACATTCCCTTTCATACAGCACGTTTGAAACACACTTTGTGGAGTATGTGGAAATGGACATTTCGAGCACTCTTAGGCCTAAGGTGAAAAGGGAAATATCTTCAAATAAAAACTAGTCAGCAGCATTCTCAGAAACCTCTTTGTGATGTGTGTACTCAACTAACAGAGTTGAACCTTCCTTTTCACAGAGCAGTTTGGAAACACTCTTTTTGTGGCATTTGCAAGTGGATATTTGGATAGCTTTGAGGATTTCGTTAGAAACGGGAATATTTTCATATAAAATCTAGACAGAAGCATTCTCAGAATCTTCTTTGTGATGTATGCCCTCAATTCACAGAGTTGAACCTTTGTTTGGATACAGCATTTTGGAAACATTCCTTTTGTAGAATCTGCAAGTTGATATTTGGATAGCTTTGAGGATTTCGTTGGAAACGGGAATATCTACATATAAAATCTAGACAGAAGCATTCTCAGAAACCTCTTTGTAATGCTTGCATTCAACTCATAGGTTTCAACATTCCCTATCATAGAGCAGGTTTGAAACACTCTTTTTGTAGTATGTGGAAGTGGACATTTGGAGCGCTTTGAGGCCTACGGTGAAAAAGGAAATATCTTCCCATAAAAACTAGACAGAAGCATTCTCAGAAACTTGTTTGTGACGTGTGTATTCACCTAACAGAGTTGAACCTTTCTTTTTACAGAGCAGCTTTGAAACACGCTTTTTGTGGAATCTGCAATTGGAAATTTCGATAGTTCTGAGGATTTTGTTGGAAACGGGATTACAAATAGAAAGTAGACAGCAGCATTCTCAGAAACTTATTTGTGATGTGTGTCCTCAACTAACAGAGTTGAACCTTTCTTTTGACACAGCAGTTTGGAAACACTCTTTTTGTAGAATCTACAAGTGGATATTTTGAGAGCATTGAAAATTTCGTTGGAAACGGGAAAACCTTCATATAAAATCTAGACAGAAGCATTCTCAGAAACTTCTTTGTAATGTTTGCATTCAACTCATAGAGTTGAACATTCCCTTTCATACAGCAGGTTTGAAACACTCTTTTTGTAGTATGTGGAAGTGGACATTTGGAGCGCTTTGAGGCCTACGGTGAAAAAGGAAATATGCTTCCCATAAAAACTAGACAGAAGCATTCTCAGAAACTTGTTTGTGACGTGTGTATTCAACTAACAGAGTTGAACCTTTCTTTTTACAGAGCAGCTTTGAAACCCTGTTTCTGTGGAATCTGCAATTGGAAATTTCGATAGTTCTGAGGATTTCGTTGGAAACGGGATTACAAATAGAAAGTAGACAGCAGCATTCTCAGAAACTGCTTTGTGATGTTTGCATTCAAGTCACATAGTTGAACATTCCCTTTCATAGAGCAGGTTTGAATCACTGTTTCTGTAGTATCTGGAAGTGGGTATTTCGAGCGCTTTCAGGCCTAAGGTGAGAAAGGAAATGTCTTCAAATAAGAACTAGACAGAAGCATTCTCAGAAACTTATTTGTGATGTGTGTCCTCAACTAACAGAGATGAACCTTTGTTTTGATACAGCAGTTTGGAAACACTCTTTTTGTAGAATCTACAAGAGGATATTTTGAGAGCATTGAAAATTTCGTTGGAAGCGGGAAAACCTTCATATAAAATCTAGACAGCAGCATTCTCAGAAACTTCTTTGTGATGTTTGCATTCAACTCATAGAGTTGAACATTCCCATTCATACAGCAGGTTTGAGACACTCTTTGTATAGCATGTGGAAATGGATATTTGGAGCGCTTTGAGGCCTATGGTGAAGAAGGAAATATCTTCCCAAAAAAACTAGACGAAAGCATTCTCGCAATCTTGTTTGCCATGTGTGTACTCAACTAACAGAGTTGAACCTATCTTTTGACAGAGCAGTTTTGAAACACTCTTTTTGTGGAATCTGCAAGTGGATATTTGGATAGCTTCGAGGATTTCGTTGGAAACGGGAATATCCTCATTTAAAATCTAGACGGAAGCATTCTCAGAACCTGCTTTGTGATGTTTGCATTCAACTCACAGAGCTGAACATTCCCGTTCATAGAGCAGGTTTGAAACACTCTTTCTGTACTATCTGGAAGTGGACATTTCGAGCGCTTTCAGGCCTATGGTGAAAAAGGAAACATCTTCAAATAAAAACTAGACAGAAGCATTCTCAGAAACTTATTTGTGATGTGTGTCCTCAACTCACAGAGTTCAACCTTTGTTTTGATACAGCAGTTTGGAAACACTCTTTTTGTAGAATCTACAAATGGATATTTGGAGACCTTTGAAAATTTCGTTGGACACGGGAATATCTTCATATAAAATCTAGACAAAAGCATTCTCAGAATCTTCTTTGTGATGTTTGCATTCAACTCATAGAGTTGAACATTCCCTTTCATACAGCACGTTTGAAACACACTTTGTGGAGTATGTGGAAATGGACATTTCGAGCACTCTTAGGCCTAAGGTGAAAAGGGAAATATCTTCAAATAAAAACTAGTCAGCAGCATTCTCAGAAACCTCTTTGTGATGTGTGTACTCAACTAACAGAGTTGAACCTTCCTTTTCACAGAGCAGTTTGGAAACACTCTTTTTGTGGCATTTGCAAGTGGATATTTGGATAGCTTTGAGGATTTCGTTGGAAACGGGAATATTTTCATATAAAATCTAGACAGAAGCATTCTCAGAATCTTCTTTGTGATGTATGCCCTCAATTCACAGAGTTGAACCTTTGTTTGGATACAGCATTTTGGAAACATTCCTTTTGTAGAATCTGCAAGTTGATATTTGGATAGCTTTGAGGATTTCGTTGGAAACGGGAATATCTACATATAAAATCTAGACAGAAGCATTCTCAGAAACCTCTTTGTAATGCTTGCATTCAACTCATAGGTTTCAACATTCCCTATCATAGAGCAGGTTTGAAACACTCTTTTTGTAGTATGTGGAAGTGGACATTTGGAGCGCTTTGAGGCCTACCGTGAAAAAGGAAATATCTTCCCATAAAAACTAGACAGAAGCATTCTCAGAAACTTGTTTGTGACGTGTGTATTCAACTAACAGAGTTGAACCTTTCTTTTTACAGAGCAGCTTTGAAACCCTGTTTCTGTGGAATCTGCAATTGGAAATTTCGATGGTTCTGAGGATTTCGTTGGAAACGGGATTACAAATAGAAAGTAGACAGCAGCATTCTCAGAAACTGCTTTGTGATGTTTGCATTCAAGTCACCTAGTTGAACATTCCCTTTCATAGAGCAGGTTTGAATCACAGTTTCTGTCGTATCTGGAAGTGGATATTTCGAGCGTTTTCAGGCCTAAGGTGAGAAAGGAAATGTCTTCAAATAAGAACTAGACAGAAGCATTCTCAGAAACTTATTTGTGATGTGTGTCCTCAACTAACAGAGTTGAACCTTTCTTTTGACACAGCAGTTTGGAAACACTCTTTTTGTAGAATCTACAAGTGTATATTTTGAGAGCATTGAAAATTTCCTTGGAAACGGGAAAACCTTCATATAAAATCTAGACAGAAGCATTCTCAGAAACTTCTTTGTGATGTTTGCATTCAACTCATAGAGTTGAACATTCCCATTCATACAGCAGGTTTGAGACACTCTTTGTATAGCATGTGGAAATGGATATTTGGAGCGCTTTGAGGCCTATGGTGAAGAAGGAAATATCTTCCCAAAAAAACTAGATGAAACCATTCTCGGAATCTTGTTTGCCATGTGTGTACTCAACTAACAGAGTTGAACCTATCTTTTGACAGAGCAGTTTTGAAACACTCTTTTTGTGGAATCTGCAAGTGGATATTTGGATAGCTTCGAGGATTTCGTTGGAAACGGGAATATCCTCATTTAAAATCTAGACGGAAGCATTCTCAGAACCTGCTTTGTGATATTTGCATTCAACTCACAGAGCTGAACATTCCCGTTCATAGAGCAGGTTTGAAACACTCTTTCTGTACTATCTGGAAGTGGACATTTCGAGCGCTTTCAGGCCTATGGTGAAAAAGGAAACATCTTCAAATAAAAACTAGACAGAAGCATTCTCAGAAACTTATTTGTGATGTGTGTCCTCAACTCACAGAGTTCAACCTTTGTTTTGATACAGCAGTTTGGAAACACTCTTTTTGTAGAATCTACAAATGGATATTTGGAGACCTTTGAAAATTTCGTTGGACACGGGAATATCTTCATATAAAATCTAGACAAAAGCATTCTCAGAATCTTCTTTGTGATGTTTGCATTCAACTCATAGAGTTGAACATTCCCTTTCATACAGCACGTTTGAAACACACTTTGTGGAGTATGTGGAAATGGACATTTCGAGCACTCTTAGGCCTAAGGTGAAAAGGGAAATATCTTCAAATAAAAACTAGTCAGCAGCATTCTCAGAAACCTCTTTGTGATGTGTGTACTCAACTAACAGAGTTGAACCTTCCTTTTCACAGAGCAGTTTGGAAACACTCTTTTTGTGGCATTTGCAAGTGGATATTTGGATAGCTTTGAGGATTTCGTTGGAAACGGGAATATTTTCATATAAAATCTAGACAGAAGCATTCTCAGAATCTTCTTTGTGATGTATGCCCTCAATTCACAGAGTTGAACCTTTGTTTGGATACAGCATTTTGGAAACATTCCTTTTGTAGAATCTGCAAGTTGATATTTGGATAGTTTGAGGATTTCGTTGGAAACGGGAATATCTACATATAAAATCTAGACAGAAGCATTCTCAGAAACCTCTTTGTAATGCTTGCATTCAACTCATAGGTTTCAACATTCCCTATCATAGAGCAGGTTTGAAACACTCTTTTTGTAGTATGTGGAAGTGGACATTTGGAGCGCTTTGAGGCCTACGGTGAAAAAGGAAATATCTTCCCATAAAAACTAGACAGAAGCATTCTCAGAAACTTGTTTGTGACGTGTGTATTCAACTAACAGAGTTGAACCTTTCTTTTTACAGAGCAGCTTTGAAACACGCTTTTTGTGGAATCTGCAATTGGAAATTTCGATAGTTCTGAGGATTTCGTTGGAAACGGGATTACAAATAGAAAGTAGACAGCAGCATTCTCAGAAACTGCTTTGTGATGTTTGCATTCAAGTCACCTAGTTGAACATTCCCTTTCATAGAGCAGGTTTGAATCACTGTTTCTGTCGTATCTGGAAGTGGATATTTCGAGCGTTTTCAGGCCTAAGGTGAGAAAGGAAATGTCTTCAAATAAGAACTAGACAGAAGCATTCTCAGAAACTTATTTGTGATGTGTGTCCTCAACTAACAGAGTTGAACCTTTCTTTTGACACAGCAGTTTGGAAACACTCTTTTTGTAGAATCTACAAGTGGATATTTTGAGAGCATTGAAAATTTCGTTGGAAACGGGGAAAACCTTCATATAAAATCTAGACAGAAGCATTCTCAGAAACTTCTTTGTAATGTTTGCATTCGACTCATAGAGTTGAACATTCCCTTTCATACAGCAGGTTTGAAACACTCTTTTTGTAGTATGTGGAAGTGGACATTTGGAGCGCTTTGAGGCCTACGGTGAAAAAGGAAATATCTTCCCATAAAAACTAGACAGAAGCATTCTCAGAAACTTGTTTGTGACGTGTGTATTCAACTAACAGAGTTGAACCTTTCTTTTTACAGAGCAGCTTTGAAACCCTGTTTCTGTGGAATCTGCAATTGGAAATTTCGATAGTTCTGAGGATTTCGTTGGAAACGGGATTACAAATAGAAAGTAGACAGCAGCATTCTCAGAAACTGCTTTGTGATGTTTGCATTCAAGTCACATAGTTGAACATTCCCTTTCATAGAGCAGGTTTGAATCACTGTTTCTGTAGTATCTGGAAGTGGGTATTTCGAGCGCTTTCAGGCCTAAGGTGAGAAAGGAAATGTCTTCAAATAAGAACTAGACAGAAGCATTCTCAGAAACTTATTTGTGATGTGTGTCCTCAACTAACAGAGATGAACCTTTGTTTTGATACAGCAGTTTGGAAACACTCTTTTTGTAGAATCTACAAGAGGATATTTTGAGAGCATTGAAAATTTCGTTGGAAGCGGGAAAACCTTCATATAAAATCTAGACAGCAGCATTCTCAGAAACTTCTTTGTGATGTTTGCATTCAACTCATAGAGTTGAACATTCCCATTCATACAGCAGGTTTGAGACACTCTTTGTATAGCATGTGGAAATGGATATTTGGAGCGCTTTGAGGCCTATGGTGAAGAAGGAAATATCTTCCCAAAAAAACTAGACGAAAGCATTCTCGCAATCTTGTTTGCCATGTGTGTACTCAACTAACAGAGTTGAACCTATCTTTTGACACAGCAGTTTTGAAACACTCTTTTTGTGGAATCTGCAAGTGGATATTTGGATAGCTTCGAGGATTTCGTTGGAAACGGGAATATCCTCATTTAAAATACTAGACGGAAGCATTCTCGGAACTGCTTTGTGATGTTTGCATTCAACTCACAGAGCTGAACATTCCCGTTCATAGAGCAGGTTTGAAACACTCTTTCTGTACTATCTGGAAGTGGACATTTCGAGCGCTTTCAGGCCTATGGTGAAAAAGGAAACATCTTCAAATAAAAACTAGACAGAAGCATTCTCAGAAACTTATTTGTGATGTGTGTCCTCAACTCACAGAGTTCAACCTTTGTTTTGATACAGCAGTTTGGAAACACTCTTTTTGTAGAATCTACAAATGGATATTTGGAGACCTTTGAAAATTTCGTTGGACACGGGAATATCTTCATATAAAATCTAGACAAAAGCATTCTCAGAATCTTCTTTGTGATGTTTGCATTCAACTCATAGAGTTGAACATTCCCTTTCATACAGCACGTTTGAAACACACTTTGTGGAGTATGTGGAAATGGACATTTCGAGCACTCTTAGGCCTAAGGTGAAAAGGGAAATATCTTCAAATAAAAACTAGTCAGCAGCATTCTCAGAAACCTCTTTGTGATGTGTGTACTCAACTAACAGAGTTGAACCTTCCTTTTCACAGAGCAGTTTGGAAACACTCTTTTTGTGGCATTTGCAAGTGGATATTTGGATAGCTTTGAGGATTTCGTTGGAAACGGGAATATTTTCATATAAAATCTAGACAGAAGCATTCTCAGAATCTTCTTTGTGATGTATGCCCTCAATTCACAGAGTTGAACCTTTGTTTGGATACAGCATTTTGGAAACATTCCTTTTGCAGAATCTGCAAGCTGATATTTGGATAGCTTTGAGGATTTCGTTGGAAACGGGAATATCTACATATAAAATCTAGACAGAAGCATTCTCAGAAACCTCTTTGTAATGCTTGCATTCAACTCATAGGTTTCAACATTCCCTATCATAGAGCAGGTTTGAAACACTCTTTTTGTAGTATGTGGAAGTGGACATTTGGAGCGCTTTGAGGCCTACGGTGAAAAAGGAAATATCTTCCCATAAAAACTAGACAGAAGCATTCTCAGAAACTTGTTTGTGACGTGTGTATTCAACTAACAGAGTTGAACCTTTCTTTTTACAGAGCAGCTTTGAAACACGCTTTTTGTGGAATCTGCAATTGGAAATTTCGATAGTTCTGAGGATTTCGTTGGAAACGGGATTACAAATAGAAAGTAGACAGCAGCATTCTCAGAAACTGCTTTGTGATGTTTGCATTCAAGTCACCTAGTTGAACATTCCCTTTCATAGAGCAGGTTTGAATCACTGTTTCTGTCGTATCTGGAAGTGGATATTTCGAGCGTTTTCAGGCCTAAGGTGAGAAAGGAAATGTCTTCAAATAAGAACTAGACAGAAGCATTCTCAGAAACTTATTTGTGATGTGTGTCCTCAACTAACAGAGTTGAACCTTTCTTTTGACACAGCAGTTTGGAAACACTCTTTTTGTAGAATCTACAAGTGGATATTTTGAGAGCATTGAAAATTTCGTTGGAAACGGGAAAACCTTCATATAAAATCTAGACAGAAGCATTCTCAGAAACTTCTTTGTAATGTTTGCATTCAACTCATAGAGTTGAACATTCCCTTTCATACAGCAGGTTTGAAACACTCTTTTTGTAGTATGTGGAAGTGGACATTTGGAGCGCTTTGAGGCCTACGGTGAAAAAGGAAATATCTTCCCATAAAAACTAGACAGAAGCATTCTCAGAAACTTGTTTGTGACGTGTGTATTCAACTAACAGAGTTGAACCTTTCTTTTTACAGAGCAGCTTTGAAACCCTGTTTCTGTGGAATCTGCAATTGGAAATTTCGATAGTTCTGAGGATTTCGTTGGAAACGGGATTACAAATAGAAAGTAGACAGCAGCATTCTCAGAAACTGCTTTGTGATGTTTGCATTCAAGTCACCTAGTTGAACATTCCCTTTCATAGAGCAGGTTTGAATCACTGTTTCTGTCGTATCTGGAAGTGGATATTTCGAGCGTTTTCAGGCCTAAGGTGAGAAAGGAAATGTCTTCAAATAAGAACTAGACAGAAGCATTCTCAGAAACTTATTTGTGATGTGTGTCCTCAACTAACAGAGTTGAACCTTTCTTTTGACACAGCAGTTTGGAAACACTCTTTTTGTAGAATCTACAAGTGGATATTTTGAGAGCATTGAAAATTTCGTTGGAAACGGGAAAACCTTCATATAAAATCTAGACAGAAGCATTCTCAGAAACTTCTTTGTAATGTTTGCATTCAACTCATAGAGTTGAACATTCCCTTTCATACAGCAGGTTTGAAACACTCTTTTTGTAGTATGTGGACGTGGACATTTGGAGCGCTTTGAGGCCTACGGTGAAAAAGGAAATATCTTCCCATAAAAACTAGACAGAAGCATTCTCAGAAACTTGTTTGTGACGTGTGTATTCAACTAACAGAGTTGAACCTTTCTTTTTACAGAGCAGCTTTGAAACCCTGTTTCTGTGGAATCTGCAATTGGAAATTTCGATAGTTCTGAGGATTTCGTTGGAAACGGGATTACAAATAGAAAGTAGACAGCAGCATTCTCAGAAACTGCTTTGTGATGTTTGCATTCAAGTCACCTAGTTGAACATTCCCTTTCATAGAGCAGGTTTGAATCACTGTTTCTGTAGTATCTGGAAGTGGGTATTTCGAGCGCTTTCAGGCCTAAGGTGAGAAAGGAAATGTCTTCAAATAAGAACTAGACAGAAGCATTCTCAGAAACATATTTGTGATGTGTGTCCTCAACTAACAGAGATGAACCTTTGTTTTGATACAGCAGTTTGGAAACACTCTTTTTGTAGAATCTACAAGAGGATATTTTGAGAGCATTGAAAATTTCGTTAGAAGCGGGAAAACCTTCATATAAAATCTAGACAGCAGCATTCTCAGAAACTTCTTTGTGATGTTTGCATTCAACTCATAGAGTTGAACATTCCCATTCATACAGCAGGTTTGAGACACTCTTTGTATAGCATGTGGAAATGGATATTTGGAGCGCTTTGAGGCCTATGGTGAAGAAGGAAATATCTTCCCAAAAAAACTAGACGAAAGCATTCTCGGAATCTTGTTTGCCATGTGTGTACTCAACTAACAGAGTTGAACCTATCTTTTGACAGAGCAGTTTTGAAACACTCTTTTTGTGGAATCTGCAAGTGGATATTTGGATAGCTTCGAGGATTTCGTTGGAAACGGGAATATCCTCATTTAAAATCCTAGACGGAAGCATTCTCAGAACCTGCTTTGTGATGTTTGCATTCAACTCACAGAGCTGAACATTCCCGTTCATAGAGCAGGTTTGAAACACTCTTTCTGTACTATCTGGAAGTGGACATTTCGAGCGCTTTCAGGCCTATGGTGAAAAAGGAAACATCTTCAAATAAAAACTAGACAGAAGCATTCTCAGAAACTTATTTGTGATGTGTGTCCTCAACTCACAGAGTTCAACCTTTGTTTTGATACAGCAGTTTGGAAACACTCTTTTTGTAGAATCTACAAATGGATATTTGGAGACCTTTGAAAATTTCGTTGGACACGGGAATATCTTCATATAAAATCTAGACAAAAGCATTCTCAGAATCTTCTTTGTGATGTTTGCATTCAACTCATAGAGTTGAACATTCCCTTTCATACAGCACGTTTGAAACACACTTTGTGGAGTATGTGGAAATGGACATTTCGAGCACTCTTAGGCCTAAGGTGAAAAGGGAAATATCTTCAAATAAAAACTAGTCAGCAGCATTCTCAGAAACCTCTTTGTGATGTGTGTACTCAACTAACAGAGTTGAACCTTCCTTTTCACAGAGCAGTTTGGAAACACTCTTTTTGTGGCATTTGCAAGTGGATATTTGGATAGCTTTGAGGATTTCGTTGGAAACGGGAATATTTTCATATAAAATCTAGACAGAAGCATTCTCAGAATCTTCTTTGTGATGTATGCCCTCAATTCACAGAGTTGAACCTTTGTTTGGATACAGCATTTTGGAAACATTCCTTTTGTAGAATCTGCAAGTTGATATTTGGATAGCTTTGAGGATTTCGTTGGAAACGGGAATATCTACATATAAAATCTAGACAGAAGCATTCTCAGAAACCTCTTTGTAATGCTTGCATTCAACTCATAGGTTTCAACATTCCCTATCATAGAGCAGGTTTGAAACACTCTTTTTGTAGTATGTGGAAGTGGACATTTGGAGCGCTTTGAGGCCTACCGTGAAAAAGGAAATATCTTCCCATAAAAACTAGACAGAAGCATTCTCAGAAACTTGTTTGTGACGTGTGTATTCAACTAACAGAGTTGAACCTTTCTTTTTACAGAGCAGCTTTGAAACCCTGTTTCTGTGGAATCTGCAATTGGAAATTTCGATGGTTCTGAGGATTTCGTTGGAAACGGGATTACAAATAGAAAGTAGACAGCAGCATTCTCAGAAACTGCTTTGTGATGTTTGCATTCAAGTCACCTAGTTGAACATTCCCTTTCATAGAGCAGGTTTGAATCACTGTTTCTGTCGTATCTGGAAGTGGATATTTCGAGCGTTTTCAGGCCTAAGGTGAGAAAGGAAATGTCTTCAAATAAGAACTAGACAGAAGCATTCTCAGAAACTTATTTGTGATGTGTGTCCTCAACTAACAGAGTTGAACTTTTCTTTTGACACAGCAGTTTGGAAACACTCTTTTTGTAGAATCTACAGGTGGATATTTTGAGAGCATTGAAAATTTCGTTGGAAACGGGAAAACCTTCATATAAAATCTAGACAGAAGCATTCTCAGAAACTTCTTTGTAATGTTTGCATTCAACTCATAGAGTTGAACATTCCCTTTCATACAGCAGGTTTGAAACACTCTTTTTGTAGTATGTGGAAGTGGACACTTGGAGCGCTTTGAGGCCTACGGTGAAAAAGGAAATATCTTCCCATAAAAACTAGACAGAAGCATTCTCAGAAACTTGTTTGTGACGTGTGTATTCAACTAACAGAGTTGAACCTTTCTTTTTACAGAGCAGCTTTGAAACCCTGTTTCTGTGGAATCTGCAATTGGAAATTTCGATAGTTCTGAGGATTTCGTTGGAAACGGGATTACAAATAGAAAGTAGACAGCAGCATTCTCAGAAACTGCTTTGTGATGTTTGCATTCAAGTCACATAGTTGATCATTCCCTTTCATAGAGCAGGTTTGAATCACTGTTTCTGTAGTATCTGGAAGTGGGTATTTCGAGCGCTTTCAGGCCTAAGGTGAGAAAGGAAATGTCTTCAAATAAGAACTAGACAGAAGCATTCTCAGAAACTTATTTGTGATGTGTGTCCTCAACTAACAGAGATGAACCTTTGTTTTGATACAGCAGTTTGGAAACACTCTTTTTGTAGAATCTACAAGAGGATATTTTGAGAGCATTGAAAATTTCGTTGGAAGCGGGAAAACCTTCATATAAAATCTAGACAGCAGCATTCTCAGAAACTTCTTTGTAATGTTTGCATTCAACTCATAGAGTTGAACATTCCCTTTCATACAGCAGGTTTGAAACACTCTTTTTGTAGTATGTGGAAGTGGACATTTGGAGCGCTTTGAGGCCTACGGTGAAAAAGGAAATATCTTCCCATAAAAACTAGACAGAAGCATTCTCAGAAACTTGTTTGTGACGTGTGTATTCAACTAACAGAGTTGAACCTTTCTTTTTACAGAGCAGCTTTGAAACCCTGTTTCTGTGGAATCTGCAATTGGAAATTTCGATAGTTCTGAGGATTTCGTTGCAAACGGGATTACAAATAGAAAGTAGACAGCAGCATTCTCAGAAACTGCTTTGTGATGTTTGCATTCAAGTCACCTAGTTGAACATTCCCTTTCATAGAGCAGGTTTGAATCACAGTTTCTGTCGTATCTGGAAGTGGATATTTCGAGCGTTTTCAGGCCTAAGGTGAGAAAGGAAATGTCTTCAAATAAGAACTAGACAGAAGCATTCTCAGAAACTTATTTGTGATGTGTGTCCTGAACTAACAGAGATGAACCTTTGTTTTGATACAGCAGTTTGGAAACACTCTTTTTGTAGAATCTACAAGAGGATATTTTGAGAGCATTGAAAATTTCGTTGGAAGCGGGAAAACCTTCATATAAAATCTAGACAGCAGCATTCTCAGAAACTTCTTTGTGATGTTTGCATTCAACTCATAGAGTTGAACATTCCCATTCATACAGCAGGTTTGTATACTCTTTGTATAGCATGTGGAAATGGATATTTGGAGCGCTTTGAGGCCTATGGTGAAGAAGGAAATATCTTCCCAAAAAAACTAGACGAAAGCATTCTCGGAATCTTGTTTGCCATGTGTGTACTCAACTAACAGAGTTGAACCTATCTTTTGACAGAGCAGTTTTGAAACACTCTTTTTGTGGAATCTGCAAGTGGATATTTGGATAGCTTCGAGGATTTCGTTGGAAACGGGAATATCCTCATTTAAAATCTAGACGGAAGCATTCTCAGAACCTGCTTTGTGATGTTTGCATTCAACTCACAGAGCTGAACATTCCCGTTCATAGAGCAGGTTTGAAACACTCTTTCTGTACTATCTGGAAGTGGACATTTCGAGCGCTTTCAGGCCTATGGTGAAAAAGGAAACATCTTCAAATAAAAACTAGACAGAAGCATTCTCAGAAACTTATTTGTGATGTGTGTCCTCAACTCACAGAGTTCAACCTTTGTTTTGATACAGCAGTTTGGAAACACTCTTTTTGTAGAATCTACAAATGGATATTTGGAGACCTTTGAAAATTTCGTTGGACACGGGAATATCTTCATATAAAATCTAGACAAAAGCATTCTCAGAATCTTCTTTGTGATGTTTGCATTCAACTCATAGATTTGAACGTTCCCTTTCATACAGCACGTTTGAAACACACTTTGTGGAGTATGTGGAAATGGACATTTCGAGCACTCTTAGGCCTAAGGTGAAAAGGGAAATATCTTCAAATAAAAACTAGTCAGCAGCATTCTCAGAAACCTCTTTGTGATGTGTGTACTCAACTAACAGAGTTGAACCTTCCTTTTCACAGAGCAGTTTGGAAACACTCTTTTTGTGGCATTTGCAAGTGGATATTTGGATAGCTTTGAGGATTTCGTTGGAAACGGGAATATTTTCATATAAAATCTAGACAGAAGCATTCTCAAAATCTTCTTTGTGATGTATGCCCTCAATTCACAGAGTTGAACCTTTGTTTGGATACAGCATTTTGGAAACATTCCTTTTGTAGAATCTGCAAGTTGATATTTGGATAGCTTTGAGGATTTCGTTGGAAACGGGAATATCTACATATAAAATCTAGACAGAAGCATTCTCAGAAACCTCTTTGTAATGTTTGCATTCAACTCATAGGTTTCAACATTCCCTATCATAGAGCAAGTTTGAAACACTCTTTTTGTAGTATGTGGAAGTGGACATTTGGAGCGCTTTGAGGCCTACGGTGAAAAAGGAAATATCTTCCCATAAAAACTAGAGAGAAGCATTCTCAGAAACTTGTTTGTGACGTGTGTATTCAACTAACAGAGTTGAACCTTTCTTTTTACAGAGCAGCTTTGAAACACGCTTTTTGTGGAATCTGCAATTGGAAATTTCGATAGTTCTGAGGATTTCGTTGGAAACGGGATTACAAATAGAAAGTAGACAGCAGCATTCTCAGAAACTGCTTTGTGATGTTTGCATTCAAGTCACCTAGGTGAACATTCTCTTTCATAGAGCAGGTTTGAATCACTGTTTCTGTCGTATCTGGAAGTGGATATTTCGAGCGTTTTCAGGCCTAAGGTGAGAAAGGAAATGTCTTCAAATAAGAACTAGACAGAAGCATTCTCAGAAACTTATTTGTGATGTGTGTCCTCAACTAACAGAGTTGAACCTTTCTTTTGACACAGCAGTTTGGAAACACTCTTTTTGTAGAATCTACAAGTGGATATTTTGAGAGCATTGAAAATTTCGTTGGAAACGGGAAAACCTTCATATAAAATCTAGACAGAAGCATTCTCAGAAACTTCTTTGTAATGTTTGCATTCAACTCATAGAGTTGAACATTCCCTTTCATACAGCAGGTTTGAAACACTCTTTTTGTAGTATGTGGAAGTGGACATTTGGAGCGCTTTGAGGCCTACGGTGAAAAAGGAAATATCTTCCCATAAAAACTAGACAGAAGCATTCTCAGAAACTTGTTTGTGACGTGTGTATTCAACTAACAGAGTTGAACCTTTCTTTCTACAGAGCAGCTTTGAAACACGCTTTTTGTGGAATCTGCAATTGGAAATTTCGATAGTTCTGAGGATTTCGGTGGAAACGGGATTACAAATACAAAGTAGACAGCAGCATTCTCAGAAACTGCTTTGTGATGTTTGCATTCAAGTCACCTAGTTGAACATTCCCTTTTATAGAGCAGGTTTGAATCACTGTTTCTGTCGTATCTGGAAGTGGATATTTCGAGCGTTTTCAGGCCTAAGGTGAGAAAGGAAATGTCTTCAAATAAGAACTAGACAGAAGCATTCTCAGAAACTTATTTGTGATGTGTGTCCTCAACTAACAGAGATGAACCTTTGTTTTGATACAGCAGTTTGGAAACACTCTTTTTGTAGAATCTACAAGAGGATATTTTGAGAGCATTGAAAATTTCGTTGGATGCGGGAAAACCTTCATATAAAATCTAGACAGCAGCATTCTCAGAAACTTCTTTGTGATGTTTGCATTCAACTCATAGAGTTGAACATTCCCATTCATAAAGCAGGTTTGAGACACTCTTTGTATAGCATGTGGAAATGGATATTTGGAGCGCTTTGAGGCCTATGGTGAAGAAGGAAATATCTTCCCAAAAAAACTAGACGAAAGCATTCTCGGAATCTTGTTTGCCATGTGTGTACTCAACTAACAGAGTTGAACCTATCTTTTGACAGAGCAGTTTTGAAACACTCTTTTTGTGGAATCTGCAAGTGGATATTTGGATAGCTTCGAGGATTTCGTTGGAAACGGGAATATCCTCATTTAAAATCTAGACGGAAGCATTCTCAGAACCTGCTTTGTGATGTTTGCATTCAACTCACAGAGCTGAACATTCCCGTTCATAGAGCAGGTTTGAAACACTCTTTCTGTACTATCTGGAAGTGGACATTTCGAGCGCTTTCAGGCCTATGGTGAAAAAGGAAACATCTTCAAATAAAAACTAGACAGAAGCATTCTCAGAAACTTATTTGTGATGTGTGTCCTCAACTCACAGAGTTCAACCTTTGTTTTGATACAGCAGTTTGGAAACACTCTTTTTGTAGAATCTACAAATGGATATTTGGAGACCTTTGAAAATTTCGTTGGACACGGGAATATCTTCATATAAAATCTAGACAAAAGCATTCTCAGAATCTTCTTTGTGATGTTTGCATTCAACTCATAGAGTTGAACGTTCCCTTTCATACAGCACGTTTGAAACACACTTTGTGGAGTATGTGGAAATGGACATTTCGAGCACTCTTAGGCCTAAGGTGAAAAGGGAAATATCTTCAAATAAAAACTAGTCAGCAGCATTCTCAGAAACCTCTTTGTGATGTGTGTACTCAACTAACAGAGTTGAACCTTCCTTTTCACAGAGCAGTTTGGAAACACTCTTTTTGTGGCATTTGCAAGTGGATATTTGGATAGCTTTGAGGATTTCGTTGGAAACGGGAATATTTTCATATAAAATCTAGACAGAAGCATTCTCAGAATCTTCTTTGTGATGTATGCCCTCAATTCACAGAGTTGAACCTTTGTTTGGATACAGCATTTTGGAAACATTCCTTTTGTAGAATCTGCAAGTTGATATTTGGATAGCTTTGAGGATTTCGTTGGAAACGGGAATATCTACATATAAAATCTAGACAGAAGCGTTCTCAGAAACCTCTTTGTAATGCTTGCATTCAACTCATAGGTTTCAACATTCCCTATCATAGAGCAGGTTTGAAACACTCTTTTTGTAGTATGTGGAAGTGGACATTTGGAGCGCTTTGAGGCCTACGGTGAAAAAGGAAATATCTTCCCATAAAAACTAGACAGAAGCATTCTCAGAAACTTGTTTGTGACGTGTGTATTCAACTAACAGAGTTGAACCTTTCTTTTTACAGAGCAGCTTTGAAACACGCTTTTTGTGGAATCTGCAATTGGAAATTTCGATAGTTCTGAGGATTTCGTTGGAAACGGGATTACAAATAGAAAGTAGACAGCAGCATTCTCAGAAACTGCTTTGTGATGTTTGCATTCAAGTCACCTAGTTGAACATTCCCTTTCATAGAGCAGGTTTGAATCACTGTTTCTGTCGTATCTGGAAGTGGATATTTCGAGCGTTTTCAGGCCTAAGGTGAGAAAGGAAATGTCTTCAAATAAGAACTAGACAGAAGCATTCTCAGAAACTTATTTGTGATGTGTGTCCTCAACTAACAGAGTTGAACTTTTCTTTTGACACAGCAGTTTGGAAACACTCTTTTTGTAGAATCTACAAGTGGATATTTTGAGAGCATTGAAAATTTCGTTGGAAACGGGAAAACCTTCATATAAAATCTAGACAGAAGCATTCTCAGAAACTTCTTTGTAATGTTTGCATTCAACTCATAGAGTTGAACATTCCCTTTCATACAGCAGGTTTGAAACACTCTTTTTGTAGTATGTGGAAGTGGACATTTGGAGCGCTTTGAGGCCTACGGTGAAAAAGGAAATATCTTCCCATAAAAACTAGACAGAAGCATTCTCAGAAACTTGTTTGTGACGTGTGTATTCAACTAACAGAGTTGAACCTTTCTTTTTACAGAGCAGCTTTGAAACACGCTTTTTGTGGAATCTGCAATTGGAAATTTCGATAGTTCTGAGGATTTCGTTGGAAACGGGATTACAAATACAAAGTAGACAGCAGCATTCTCAGAAACTGCTTTGTGGATGTTTGCATTCAAGTCACCTAGTTGAACATTCCCTTTCATAGAGCAGGTTTGAATCACTGTTTCTGTCGTATCTGGAAGTGGATATTTCGAGCGTTTTCAGGCCTAAGGTGAGAAAGGAAATGTCTTCAAATAAGAACTAGACAGAAGCATTCTCAGAAACTTATTTGTGATGTGTGTCCTCAACTAACAGAGTTGAACCTTTCTTTTGACACAGCAGTTTGGAAACACTCTTTTTGTAGAATCTACAAGTGGATATTTTGAGAGCATTGAAAATTTCCTTGGAAACGGGAAAACCTTCATATAAAATCTAGACAGAAGCATTCTCAGAAACTTCTTTGTGATGTTTGCATTCAACTCATAGAGTTGAACATTCCCATTCATACAGCAGGTTTGAGACACTCTTTGTATAGCATGTGGAAATGGATATTTGGAGCGCTTTGAGGCCTATGGTGAAGAAGGAAATATCTTCCCAAAAAAACTAGACGAAAGCATTCTCGGAATCTTGTTTGCCATGTGTGTACTCAACTAACAGAGTTGAACCTATCTTTTGACAGAGCAGTTTTGAAACACTCTTTTTGTGGAATCTGCAAGTGGATATTTGGATAGCTTCGAGGATTTCGTTGGAAACGGGAATATCCTCATTTAAAATCTAGACGGAAGCATTCTCAGAACCTGCTTTGTGATGTTTGCATTCAACTCACAGAGCTGAACATTCCCGTTCATAGAGCAGGTTTGAAACACTCTTTCTGTACTATCTGGAAGTGGACATTTCGAGCGCTTTCAGGCCTATGGTGAAAAAGGAAACATCTTCAAATAAAAACTAGACAGAAGCATCCTCAGAAACTTATTTGTGATGTGTGTCCTCAACTCACAGAGTTCAACCTTTGTTTTGATACAGCAGTTTGGAAACACTCTTTTTGTAGAATCTACAAATGGATATTTGGAGACCTTTGAAAATTTCGTTGGACACGGGAATATCTTCATATAAAATCTAGACAAAAGCATTCTCAGAATCTTCTTTGTGATGTTTGCATTCAACTCATAGAGTTGAACATTCCCTTTCATACAGCACGTTTGAAACACACTTTGTGGAGTATGTGGAAATGGACATTTCGAGCACTCTTAGGCCTAAGGTGAAAAGGGAAATATCTTCAAATAAAAACTAGTCAGCAGCATTCTCAGAAACCTCTTTGTGATGTGTGTACTCAACTAACAGAGTTGAACCTTCCTTTTCACAGAGCAGTTTGGAAACACTCTTTTTGTGGCATTTGCAAGTGGATATTTGGATAGCTTTGAGGATTTCGTTGGAAACGGGAATAGTTTCATATAAAATCTAGACAGAAGCATTCTCAGAATCTTCTTTGTGATGTATGCCCTCAATTCACAGAGTTGAACCTTTGTTTGGATACAGCATTTTGGAAACATTCCTTTTGTAGAATCTGCAAGTTGATATTTGGATAGCTTTGAGGATTTCGTTGGAAACGGGAATATCTACATATAAAATCTAGACAGAAGCATTCTCAGAAACCTCTTTGTAATGCTTGCATTCAACTCATAGGTTTCAACATTCCCTATCATAGAGCAGGTTTGAAACACTCTTTTTGTAGTATGTGGAAGTGGACATTTGGAGCGCTTTGAGGCCTACGGTGAAAAAGGAAATATCTTCCCATAAAAACTAGACAGAAGCATTCTCAGAAACTTGTTTGTGACGTGTGTATTCAACTAACAGAGTTGAACCTTTCTTTTTACAGAGCAGCTTTGAAACCCTGTTTCTGTGGAATCTGCAATTGGAAATTTCGATGGTTCTGAGGATTTCGTTGGAAACGGGATTACAAATAGAAAGTAGACAGCAGCATTCTCAGAAACTGCTTTGTGATGTTTGCATTCAAGTCACCTAGTTGAACATTCCCTTTCATAGAGCAGGTTTGAATCACTGTTTCTGTCGTATCTGGAAGTGGATATTTCGAGCGTTTTCAGGCCTAAGGTGAGAAAGGAAATGTCTTCAAATAAGAACTAGACAGAAGCATTCTCAGAAACTTATTTGTGATGTGTGTCCTCAACTAACAGAGTTGAACCTTTCTTTTGACACAGCAGTTTGGAAACACTCTTTTTGTAGAATCTACAAGTGGATATTTTGAGAGCATTGAAAATTTCGTTGGAAACGGGAAAACCTTTCTATAAAATCTAGACAGAAGCATTCTCAGAAACTTCTTTGTAATGTTTGCATTCAACTCATAGAGTTGAACATTCCCTTTCATACAGCAGGTTTGAAACACTCTTTTTGTAGTATGTGGAAGTGGACATTGGGAGCGCTTTGAGGCCTACGGTGAAAAAGGAAATATCTTCCCATAAAAACTAGACAGAAGCATTCTCAGAAACTTGTTTGTGACGTGTGTATTCAACTAACAGAGTTGAACCTTTCTTTTTACAGAGCAGCTTTGAAACCCTGTTTCTGTGGAATCTGCAATTGGAAATTTCGATAGTTCTGAGGATTTCGTTGGAAACGGGATTACAAATAGAAAGTAGACAGCAGCATTCTCAGAAACTGCTTTGTGATGTTTGCATTCAAGTCACCTAGTTGAACATTCCCTTTCATAGAGCAGGTTTGAATCACTGTTTCTGTAGTATCTGGAAGTGGGTATTTCGAGCGCTTTCAGGCCTAAGGTGAGAAAGGAAATGTCTTCAAATAAGAACTAGACAGAAGCATTCTCAGAAACTTATTTGTGATGTGTGTCCTCAACTAACAGAGATGAACCTTTGTTTTGATACAGCAGTTTGGAAACACTCTTTTTGTAGAATCTACAAGAGGATATTTTGAGAGCATTGAAAATTTCGTTGGAAGCGGGAAAACCTTCATATAAAATCTAGACAGCAGCATTCTCAGAAACTTCTTTGTGATGTTTGCATTCAACTCATAGAGTTGAACATTCCCATTCATACAGCAGGTTTGAGACACTCTTTGTATAGCATGTGGAAATGGATATTTGGAGCACTTTGAGGCCTATGGTGAAGAAGGAAATATCTTCCCAAAAAAACTAGACGAAAGCATTCTCGCAATCTTGTTTGCCATGTGTGTACTCAACTAACAGAGTTGAACCTATCTTTTGACAGAGCAGTTTTGAAACACTCTTTTTGTGGAATCTGCAAGTGGATATTTGGATAGCTTCGAGGATTTCGTTGGAAACGGGAATATCCTCATTTAAAATCTAGACGGAAGCATTCTCAGAACCTGCTTTGTGATGTTTGCATTCAACTCACAGAGCTGAACATTCCCGGTCATAGAGCAGGTTTGAAACACTCTTTCTGTACTATCTGGAAGTGGACATTTCGAGCGCTTTCAGGCCTATGGTGAAAAAGGAAACATCTTCAAATAAAAACTAGACAGAAGCATTCTCAGAAACTTATTTGTGATGTGTGTCCTCAACTCACAGAGTTCAACCTTTGTTTTGATACAGCAGTTTGGAAACACTCTTTTTGTAGAATCTACAAATGGATATTTGGAGACCTTTGAAAATTTCGTTGGACACGGGAATATCTTCATATAAAATCTAGACAAAAGCATTCTCAGAATCTTCTTTGTGATGTTTGCATTCAACTCATAGAGTTGAACATTCCCTTTCATACAGCACGTTTGAAACACACTTTGTGGAGTATGTGGAAATGGACATTTCGAGCACTCCTTAGGCCTAAGGTGAAAAGGGAAATATCTTCAAATAAAAACTAGTCAGCAGCATTCTCAGAAACCTCTTTGTGATGTGTGTACTCAACTAACAGAGTTGAACCTTCCTTTTCACAGAGCAGTTTGGAAACACTCTTTTTGTGGCATTTGCAAGTGGATATTTGGATAGCTTTGAGGATTTCGTTGGAAACGGGAATATTTTCATATAAAATCTAGACAGAAGCATTCTCAGAATCTTCTTTGTGATGTATGCCCTCAATTCACAGAGTTGAACCTCTGTTTGGATACAGCATTTTGGAAACATTCCTTTTGTAGAATCTGTAAGTTGATATTTGGATAGCTTTGAGGATTTCGTTGGAAACGGGAATATCTACATATAAAATCTAGACAGAAGCATTCTCAGAAACCTCTTTGTAATGCTTGCATTCAACTCATAGGTTTCAACATTCCCTATCATAGAGCAGGTTTGAAACACTCTTTTTGTAGTATGTGGAAGTGGACATTTGGAGCGCTTTGAGGCCTACGGTGAAAAAGGAAATATCTTCCCATAAAAACTAGACAGAAGCATTCTCAGAAACTTGTTTGTGACGTGTGTATTCAACTAACAGAGTTGAACCTTTCTTTTTACAGAGCAGCTTTGAAACACGCTTTTTGTGGAATCTGCAATTGGAAATTTCGATAGTTCTGAGGATTTCGTTGGAAACGGGATTACAAATAGAAAGTAGACAGCAGCATTCTCAGAAACTGCTTTGTGATGTTTGCATTCAAGTCACCTAGGTGAACATTCTCTTTCATAGAGCAGGTTTGAATCACTGTTTCTGTCGTATCTGGAAGTGGATATTTCGAGCGTTTTCAGGCCTAAGGTGAGAAAGGAAATGTCTTCAAATAAGAACTAGACAGAAGCATTCTCAGAAACTTATTTGTGATGTGTGTCCTCAACTAACAGAGATGAACCTTTGTTTTGATACAGCAGTTTGGAAACACTCTTTTTGTAGAATCTACAAGAGGATATTTTGAGAGCATTGAAAATTTCGTTGGAAGCGGGAAAACCTTCATATAAAATCTAGACAGCAGCATTCTCAGAAACTTCTTTGTGATGTTTGCATTCAACTCATAGAGTTGAACATTCCCATTCATACAGCAGGTTTGAGACACTCTTTGTATAGCATGTTTAAATGGATATTTGGAGCGCTTTGAGGCCTATGGTGAAGAAGGAAATATCTTCCCAAAAAAACTAGACGAAAGCATTCTCGCAATCTTGTTTGCCATGTGTGTACTCAACTAACAGAGTTGAACCTATCTTTTGACAGAGCAGTTTTGAAACACTCTTTTTGTGGAATCTGCAAGTGGATATTTGGATAGCTTCGAGGATTTCGTTGGAAACGGGAATATCCTCATTTAAAATCTAGACGGAAGCATTCTCAGAACCTGCTTTGTGATGTTTGCATTCAACTCACAGAGCTGAACATTCCCGTTCATAGAGCAGGTTTGAAACACTCTTTCTGTACTATCTGGAAGTGGACATTTCGAGCGCTTTCAGGCCTATGGTGAAAAAGGAAACATCTTCAAATAAAAACTAGACAGAAGCATTCTCAGAAACTTATTTGTGATGTGTGTCCTCAACTCACAGAGTTCAACCTTTGTTTTGATACAGCAGTTTGGAAACACTCTTTTTGTAGAATCTACAAATGGATATTTGGAGACCTTTGAAAATTTCGTTGGACACGGGAATATCTTCATATAAAATCTAGACAAAAGCATTCTCAGAGTCTTCTTTGTGATGTTTGCATTCAACTCATAGAGTTGAACATTCCCTTTCATACAGCACGTTTGAAACACACTTTGTGGAGTATGTGGAAATGGACATTTCGAGCACTCTTAGGCCTAAGGTGAAAAGGGAAATATCTTCAAATAAAAACTAGTCAGCAGCATTCTCAGAAACCTCTTTGTGATGTGTGTACTCAACTAACAGAGTTGAACCTTCCTTTTCACAGAGCAGTTTGGAAACACTCTTTTTGTGGCATTTGCAAGTGGATATTTGGATAGCTTTGAGGATTTCGTTGGAAACGGGAATATTTTCATATAAAATCTAGACAGAAGCATTCTCAGAATCTTCTTTGTGATGTATGCCCTCAATTCACAGAGTTGAACCTTTGTTTGGATACAGCATTTTGGAAACATTCCTTTTGTAGAATCTGCAAGTTGATATTTGGATAGCTTTGAGGATTTCGTTGGAAACGGGTATATCTACATATAAAATCTAGACAGAAGCATTCTCAGAAACCTCTTTGTAATGCTTGCATTCAACTCATAGGTTTCAACATTCCCTATCATAGAGCAGGTTTGAAACACTCTTTTTGTAGTATGTGGAAGTGGACATTTGGAGCGCTTTGAGGCCTACGGTGAAAAAGGAAATATCTTCCCATAAAAACTAGACAGAAGCATTCTCAGAAACTTGTTTGTGACGTGTGTATTCAACTAACAGAGATGAACCTTTCTTTTTACAGAGCAGCTTTGAAACACGCTTTTTGTGGAATCTGCAATTGGAAATTTCGATAGTTCTGAGGATTTCGTTGGAAACGGGATTACAAATAGAAAGTAGACAGCAGCATTCTCAGAAACTTATTTGTGATGTGTGTCCTCAACTAACAGAGTTGAACCTTTCTTTTGACACAGCAGTTTGGAAACACTCTTTTTGTAGAATCTACAAGTGGATATTTTGAGAGCATTGAAAATTTCGTTGGAAACGGGAAAACCTTCATATAAAATCTAGACAGAAGCATTCTCAGAAACTTCTTTGTAATGTTTGCATTCAACTCATAGAGTTGAACATTCCCTTTCATACAGCAGGTTTGAAACACTCTTTTTGTAGTATGTGGACGTGGACATTTGGAGCGCTTTGAGGCCTACGGTGAAAAAGGAAATATCTTCCCATAAAAACTAGACAGAAGCATTCTCAGAAACTTGTTTGTGACGTGTGTATTCAACTAACAGAGTTGAACCTTTCTTTTTACAGAGCAGCTTTGAAACCCTGTTTCTGTGGAATCTGCAATTGGAAATTTCGATAGTTCTGAGGATTTCGTTGGAAACGGGATTACAAATAGAAAGTAGACAGCAGCATTCTCAGAAACTGCTTTGTGATGTTTGCATTCAAGTCACATAGTTGAACATTCCCTTTCATAGAGCAGGTTTGAATCACTGTTTCTGTCGTATCTGGAAGTGGGTATTTCGAGCGCTTTCAGGCCTAAGGTGAGAAAGGAAATGTCTTCAAATAAGAACTAGACAGAAGCATTCTCAGAAACTTATTTGTGATGTGTGTCCTCAACTAACAGAGATGAACCTTTGTTTTGATACAGCAGTTTGGAAACACTCTTTTTGTAGAATCTACAAGAGGATATTTTGAGAGCATTGAAAATTTCGTTGGAAGCGGGAAAACCTTCATATAAAATCTAGACAGCAGCATTCTCAGAAACTTCTTTCTGATGTTTGCATTCAACTCATAGAGTTGAACATTCCCATTCATACAGCAGGTTTGAGACACTCTTTGTATAGCATGTGGAAATGGATATTTGGAGCGCTTTGAGGCCTATGGTGAAGAAGGAAATATCTTCCCAAAAAAACTAGACGAAAGCATTCTCGGAATCTTGTTTGCCATGTGTGTACTCAACTAACAGAGTTGAACCTATCTTTTGACAGAGCAGTTTTGAAACACTCTTTTTGTGGAATCTGCAAGTGGATATTTGGATAGCTTCGAGGATTTCCTTGGAAACGGGAATATCCTCATATAAAATCTAGACGGAAGCATTCTCAGAACCTGCTTTGTGATGTTTGCATTCAACTCACAGAGCTGAACATTCCTGTTCATAGAGCAGGTTTGAAACACTCTTTCTGTACTATCTGGAAGTGGACATTTCGAGCGCTTTCAGGCCTATGGTGAAAAAGGAAATATCTTCAAATAAAAACTAGACAGAAGCATTCTCAGAAACTTATTTGTGATGTGTGTCCTCAACTCACAGAGTTCAACCTTTGTTTTGATACAGCAGTTTGGAAACACTCTTTTTGTAGAATCTACAAATGGATATTTGGAGACCATTGAAAATTTCGTTGGACACGGGAATATCTTCATATAAAATCTAGACAAAAGCATTCTCAGAATCTTCTTTGTGATGTTTGCATTCAACTCATAGAGTTGAACATTCCCTTTCATACAGCACGTTTGGAACACACTTTGTGGAGTATGTGGAAATGGACATTTCGAGCACTCTTAGGCCTAAGGTGAAAAGGGAAATATCTTCAAATAAAAACTAGCCAGCAGCATTCTCAGAAACCTCTTTGTGATGTGTGTACTCAACTAACAGAGTTGAACCTTCCTTTTCACAGAGCAGTTTGGAAACACTCTTTTTGTGGCATTTGCAAGTGGATATTTGGATAGCTTTGAGGATTTCGTTGGAAACGGGAATATTTTCATATAAAATCTAGACAGAAGCATTCTCAGAATCTTCTTTGTGATGTATGCCCTCAATTCACAGAGTTGAACCTTTGTTTGGATACAGCATTTTGGAAACATTCCTTTTGTAGAATCTGCAAGTTGATATTTGGATAGCTTTGAGGATTTCGTTGGAAACGGGAATATCTACATATAAAATCTAGACAGAAGCATTCTCAGAAACCTCTTTGTAATGCTTGCATTCAACTCATAGGTTTCAACATTCCCTATCATAGAGCAGGTTTGAAACACTCTTTTTGTAGTATCTGGAAGTGGACATTTGGAGCGCTTTGAGGCCTACGGTGAAAAAGGAAATATCTTCCCATAAAAACTAGACAGAAGCATTCTCAGAAACTTGTTTGTGACGTGTGTATTCAACTAACAGAGTTGAACCTTTCTTTTTACAGAGCAGCTTTGAAACACGCTTTTTGTGGAATCTGCAATTGGAAATTTCGATAGTTCTGAGGATTTCGTTGGAAACGGGATTACAAATAGAAAGTAGACAGCAGCATTCTCAGAAACTGCTTTGTGATGTTTGCATTCAAGTCACCTAGTTGAACATTCCCTTTCATAGAGCAGGTTTGAATCACTGTTTCTGTCGTATCTGGAAGTGGATATTTCGAGCGTTTTCAGGCCTAAGGTGAGAAAGGAAATGTCTTCAAATAAGAACTAGACAGATAAGCATTCTCAGAAACTTATTTGTGATGTGTGTCCTCAACTAACAGAGTTGAACCTTTCTTTTGACACAGCAGTTTGGAAACACTCTTTTTGTAGAATCTACAAGTGGATATTTTGAGAGCATTGAAAATTTCGTTGGAAACGGGAAAACCTTCATATAAAATCTAGACAGAAGCATTCTCAGAAACTTCTTTGTAATGTTTGCATTCAACTCATAGAGTTGAACATTCCCTTTCATACAGCAGGTTTGAAACACTCTTTTTGTAGTATGTGGAAGTGGACATTTGGAGCGCTTTGAGGCCTACGGTGAAAAAGGAAATATCTTCCCATAAAAACTAGACAGAAGCAATCTCAGAAACTTGTTTGTGACGTGTGTATTCAACTAACAGAGTTGAACCTTTCTTTTTACAGAGCAGCTTTGAAACACGCTTTTTGTGGAATCTGCAATTGGAAATTTCGATAGTTCTGAGGATTTCGTTGGAAACGGGATTACAAATAGAAAGTAGACAGCAGCATTCTCAGAAACTGCTTTGTGATGTTTGCATTCAAGTCACCTAGTTGAACATTCCCTTTCATAGAGCAGGTTTGAATCACAGTTTCTGTCGTATCTGGAAGTGGATATTTCGAGCGTTTTCAGGCCTAAGGTGAGAAAGGAAATGTCTTCAAATAAGAACTAGACAGAAGCATTCTCAGAAACTTATTTGTGATGTGTGTCCTCAACTAACAGAGATGAACCTTTGTTTTGATACAGCAGTTTGGAAACACTCTTTTTGTAGAATCTACAAGAGGATATTTTGAGAGCATTGAAAATTTCGTTGGAAGCGGGAAAACCTTCATATAAAATCTAGACAGCAGCATTCTCAGAAACTTCTTTGTGATGTTTGCATTCAACTCATAGAGTTGAACATTCCCATTCATACAGCAGGTTTGAGACACTCTTTGTATAGCATGTGGAAATGGATATTTGGAGCGCTTTGAGGCCTATGGTGAAGAAGGAAATATCTTCCCCAAAAAACTAGTCGAAAGCATTCTCGGAATCTTGTTTGCCATGTGTGTACTCAACTAACAGAGTTGAACCTATCTTTTGACAGAGCAGTTTTGAAACACTCTTTTTGTGGAATCTGCAAGTGGATATTTGGATAGCTTCGAGGATTTCGTTGGAAACGGGAATATCCTCATTTAAAATCTAGACGGAAGCATTCTCAGAACCTGCTTTGTGATGTTTGCATTCAACTCACAGAGCTGAACATTCCCGTTCATAGAGCAGGTTTGAAACACTCTTTCTGTACTATCTGGAAGTGGACATTTCGAGCGCTTTCAGGCCTATGGTGAAAAAGGAAACATCTTCAAATAAAAACTAGACAGAAGCATTCTCAGAAACTTATTTGTGATGTGTGTCCTCAACTCACAGAGTTCAACCTTTGTTTTGATACAGCAGTTTGGAAACACTCTTTTTGTAGAATCTACAAATGGATATTTGGAGACCTTTGAAAATTTCGTTGGACACGGGAATATCTTCATATAAAATCTAGACAAAAGCATTCTCAGAATCTTCTTTGTGATGTTTGCATTCAACTCATAGAGTTGAACGTTCCCTTTCATACAGCACGTTTGAAACACACTTTGTGGAGTATGTGGAAATGGACATTTCGAGCACTCTTAGGCCTAAGGTGAAAAGGGAAATATCTTCAAATAAAAACTAGTCAGCAAGCATTCTCAGAAACCTCTTTGTGATGTGTGTACTCAACTAACAGAGTTGAACCTTCCTTTTCACAGAGCAGTTTGGAAACACTCTTTTTGTGGCATTTGCAAGTGGATATTTGGATAGCTTTGAGGATTTCGTTGGAAACGGTAATATTTTCATATAAAATCTAGACAGAAGCATTCTCAGAATCTTCTTTGTGATGTATGCCCTCAATTCACAGAGTTGAACCTTTGTTTGGATACAGCATTTTGGAAACATTCCTTTTGTAGAATCTGCAAGTTGATATTTGGATAGCTTTGAGGATTTCGTTGGAAACGGGAATATCTATCTACATATAAAATCTAGACAGAAGCATTCTCAGAAACTTCTTTGTAATGCTTGCATTCAACTCATAGGTTTCAACATTCCCTATCATAGAGCAGGTTTGAAACACTCTTTTTGTAGTATGTGGAAGTGGACATTTGGAGCGCTTTGAGGCCTACGGTGAAAAAGGAAATATCTTCCCATAAAAACTAGACAGAAGCATTCTCAGAAACTTGTTTGTGACGTGTGTATTCAACTAACAGAGTTGAACCTTTCTTTTTACAGAGCAGCTTTGAAACACGCTTTTTGTGGAATCTGCAATTGGAAATTTCGATAGTTCTGAGGATTTCGTTGGAAACGGGATTACAAATAGAAAGTAGACAGCAGCATTCTCAGAAACTGCTTTGTGATGTTTGCATTCAAGTCACCTAGTTGAACATTCCCTTTCATAGAGCAGGTTTGAATCACTGTTTCTGTCGTATCTGGAAGTGGATATTTCGAGCGTTTTCAGGCCTAAGGTGAGAAAGGAAATGTCTTCAAATAAGAACTAGACAGAAGCATTCTCAGAAACTTATTTGTGATGTGTGTCCTCAACTAACAGAGTTGAACCTTTCTTTTGACACAGCAGTTTGGAAACACTCTTTTTGTAGAATCTACAAGTGGATATTTTGAGAGCATTGAAAATTTCGTTGGAAACGGGAAAACCTTCATATAAAATCTAGACAGAAGCATTCTCAGAAACTTCTTTGTAATGTTTGCATTCAACTCATAGAGTTGAACATTCCCTTTCATACAGCAGGTTTGAAACACTCTTTTTGTAGTATGTGGAAGTGGACATTTGGAGCGCTTTGAGGCCTACGGTGAAAAAGGAAATATCTTCCCATAAAAACTAGACAGAAGCATTCTCAGAAACTTGTTTGTGACGTGTGTATTCAACTAACAGAGTTGAACCTTTCTTTTTACAGAGCAGCTTTGAAACCCTGTTTCTGTGGAATCTGCAATTGGAAATTTCGATAGTTCTGAGGATTTCGTTGGAAACGGGATTACAAATAGAAAGTAGACAGCAGCATTCTCAGAAACTGCTTTGTGATGTTTGCATTCAAGTCACCTAGTTGAACATTCCCTTTCATAGAGCAGGTATGAATCACTGTTTCTGTCGTATCTGGAAGTGGATATTTCGAGCGCTTTCAGGCCTAAGGTGAGAAAGGAAATGTCTTCAAATAAGAACTAGACAGAAGCATTCTCAGAAACTTATTTGTGATGTGTGTCCTCAACTAACAGAGATGAACCTTTGTTTTGATACAGCAGTTTGGAAACACTCTTTTTGTAGAATCTACAAGAGGATATTTTGAGAGCATTGAAAATTTCGTTGGAAGCGGGAAAACCTTCATATAAAATCTAGACAGCAGCATTCTCAGAAACTTCTTTGTGATGTTTGCATTCAACTCATAGAGTTGAACATTCCCATTCATACAGCAGGTTTGAGACACTCTTTGTATAGCATGTGGAAATGGATATTTGGAGCGCTTTGAGGCCTATGGTGAAGAAGGAAATATCTTCCCAAAAAAACTAGACGAAAAGCATTCTCGGAATCTTGTTTGCCATGTGTGTACTCAACTAACAGAGTTGAACCTATCTTTTGAGAGAGCAGTTTTGAAACACTCTTTCTGTGGAATCTGCAAGTGGATATTTGGATAGCTTCGAGGATTTCGTTGGAAACGGGAATATCCTCATTTAAAATCTAGACGGAAGCATTCTCAGAACCTGCTTTGTGATGTTTGCATTCAACTCACAGAGCTGAACATTCCCGTTCATAGAGCAGGTTTGAAACACTCTTTCTGTACTATCTGGAAGTGGACATTTCGAGCGCTTTCAGGCCTATGGTGAAAAAGGAAACATCTTCAAATAAAAACTAGACAGAAGCATTCTCAGAAACTTATTTGTGATGTGTGCCCTCAACTCACAGAGTTCAACCTTTGTTTTGATACAGCAGTTTGGAAACACTCTTTTTGTAGAATCTACAAATGGATATTTGGAGACCTTTGAAAATTTCGTTGGACACGGGAATATCTTCATATAAAATCTAGACAAAAGCATTCTCAGAATCTTCTTTGTGATGTTTGCATTCAACTCATAGAGTTGAACATTCCCTTTCATACAGCACGTTTGAAACACACTTTGTGGAGTATGTGGAAATGGACATTTCGAGCACTCTTAGGCCTAAGGTGAAAAGGGAAATATCTTCAAATAAAAACTAGTCAGCAGCATTCTCAGAAACCTCTTTGTGATGTGTGTACTCAACTAACAGAGTTGAACCTTCCTTTTCACAGAGCAGTTTGGAAACACTCTTTTTGTGGCATTTGCAAGTGGATATTTGGATAGCTTTGAGGATTTCGTTGGAAACGGGAATATTTTCATATAAAATCTAGACAGAAGCATTCTCAGAATCTTCTTTGTGATGTATGCCCTCAATTCACAGAGTTGAACCTTTGTTTGGATACAGCATTTTGGAAACATTCCTTTTGTAGAATCTGCAAGTTGATATTTGGATAGCATTGAGGATTTCGTTGGAAACGGGAATATCTACATATAAAATCTAGACAGAAGCATTCTCAGAAACCTCTTTCTAATGTTTGCATTCAACTCATAGGTTTCAACATTCCCTATCATAGAGCAGGTTTGAAACACTCTTTTTGTAGTATGTGGAAGTGGACATTTGGAGCGCTTTGAGGCCTACGGTGAAAAAGGAAATATCTTCCCATAAAAACTAGACAGAAGCATTCTCAGAAACTTGTTTGTGACGTGTGTATTCAACTAACAGAGTTGAACCTTTCTTTTTACAGAGCAGCTTTGAAACCCTGTTTCTGTGGAATCTGCAATTGGAAATTTCTATAGTTCTGAGGATTTCGTTGGAAACGGGATTACAAATAGAAAGTAGACAGCAGCATTCTCAGAAACTTATTTGTGATGTGTGTCCTCAACTAACAGAGTTGAACCTTTCTTTTGACACAGCAGTTTGGAAACACTCTTTTTGTAGAATCTACAAGTGGATATTTTGAGAGCATTGAAAATTTCGTTGGAAACGGGAAAACCTTCATATAAAATCTAGACAGAAGCATTCTCAGAAACTTCTTTGTAATGTTTGCATTCAACTCATAGAGTTGAACATTCCCTTTCATACAGCAGGTTTGAAACACTCTTTTTGTAGTATGTGGAAGTGGACATTTGGAGCGCTTTGAGGCCTACGGTGAAAAAGGAAATATCTTCCCATAAAAAATAGACAGAAGCAATCTCAGAAACTTGTTTGTGACGTGTGTATTCAACTAACAGAGTTGAACCTTTCTTTTTACAGAGCAGCTTTGAAACCCTGTTTCTGTGGAATCTGCAATTGGAAATTTCGATAGTTCTGAGGATTTCGTTGGAAACGGGATTACAAATACAAAGTAGACAGCAGCATTCTCAGAAACTGCTTTGTGATGTTTGCATTCAAGTCACCTAGTTGAACATTCCCTTTCATAGAGCAGGTTTGAATCACTGTTTCTGTAGTATCTGGAAGTGGGTATTTCGAGCGCTTTCAGGCCTAAGGTGAGAAAGGAAATGTCTTCAAATAAGAACTAGACAGAAGCATTCTCAGAAACTTATTTGTGATGTGTGTCCTCAACTAACAGAGATGAACCTTTGTTTTGATACAGCAGTTTGGAAACACTCTTTTTGTAGAATCTACAAGAGGACATTTTGAGAGCATTCAAAATTTCGTTGGAAGCGGGAAAACCTTCATATAAAATCTAGACAGCAGCATTCTCAGAAACTTCTTTGTGATGTTTGCATTCAACTCATAGAGTTGAACATTCCCATTCATACAGCAGGTTTGAGTCACTCTTTGTATAGCATGTGGAAATGGATATTTGGAGCGCTTTGAGGCCTATGGTGAAGAAGGAAATATCTTCCCAAAAAAACTAGACGAAAGCATTCTCGGAATCTTGTTTGCCATGTGTGTACTCAACTAACAGAGTTGAACCTATCTTTTGACAGAGCAGTTTTGAAACACTCTTTTTGTGGAATCTGCAAGTGGATATTTGGATAGCTTCGAGGATTTCGTTGGAAACGGGAATATCCTCATTTAAAATCTAGACGGAAGCATTCTCAGAACCTGCTTTGTGATGTTTGCATTCAACTCACAGAGCTGAACATTCCCGTTCACAGAGCAGGTTTGAAACACTCTTTCTGTACTATCTGGAAGTGGACATTTCGAGCGCTTTCAGGCCTATGGTGAAAAAGGAAACATCTTCAAATAAAAACTAGACAGAAGCATTCTCAGAAACTTATTTGTGATGTGTGTCCTCAACTCACAGAGTTCAACCTTTGTTTTGATACAGCAGTTTGGAAACACTCTTTTTGTAGAATCTACAAATGGATATTTGGAGACCTTTGAAAATTTCGTTGGACACGGGAATATCTTCATATAAAATGCTAGACAAAAGCATTCTCAGAATCTTCTTTGTGATGTTTGCATTCAACTCATAGAGTTGAACATTCCCTTTCATACAGCACGTTTGAAACACACTTTGTGGAGTATGTGGAAATGGACATTTCGAGCACTCTTAGGCCTAAGGTGAAAAGGGAAATATCTTCAAATAAAAACTAGTCAGCAGCATTCTCAGAAACCTCTTTGTGATGTGTGTACTCAACTAACAGAGTTGAACCTTCCTTTTCACAGAGCAGTTTGGAAACACTCTTTTTGTGGCATTTGCAAGTGGATATTTGGATAGCTTTGAGGATTTCGTTGGAAACGGGAATATTTTCATATAAAATCTAGACAGAAGCATTCTCAGAATCTTCTTTGTGATGTATGCCCTCAATTCACAGAGTTGAACCTTTGTTTGGATACAGCATTTTGGAAACATTCCTTTTGTAGAATCTGCAAGTTGATATTTGGATAGCTTTGAGGATTTCGTTGGAAACGGGAATATCTACATATAAAATCTAGACAGAAGCATTCTCAGAAACCTCTTTGTAATGCTTGCATTCAACTCATAGGTTTCAACATTCCCTATCATAGAGCAGGTTTGAAACACTCTTTTTGTAGTATGTGGAAGTGGACATTTGGAGCGCTTTGAGGCCTACCGTGAAAAAGGAAATATCTTCCCATAAAAACTAGACAGAAGCATTCTCAGAAACTTGTTTGTGACGTGTGTATTCAACTAACAGAGTTGAACCTTTCTTTTTACAGAGCAGCTTTGAAACCCTGTTTCTGTGGAATCTGCAATTGGAAATTTCGATAGTTCTGAGGATTTCGTTGGAAACGGGATTACAAATAGAAACTAGACAGCAGCATTCTCAGAAACTGCTTTGTGATGTTTGCATTCAAGTCACATAGTTGAACATTCCCTTTCATAGAGCAGGTTTGAATCACTGTTTCTGTAGTATCTGGAAGTGGGTATTTCGAGCGCTTTCAGGCCTAAGGTGAGAAAGGAAATGTCTTCAAATAAGAACTAGACAGAAGCATTCTCAGAAACTTATTTGTGATGTGTGTCCTCAACTAACAGAGATAAACCTTTGTTTTGATACAGCAGTTTGGAAACACTCTTTTTGTAGAATCTACAAGAGGATATTTTGAGAGCGTTGAAAATTTCGTTGGAAGCGGGAAAACCTTCATATAAAATCTAGACAGCAGCATTCTCAGAAACTTCTTTGTGATGTTTGCATTCAACTCATAGAGTTGAACATTCCCATTCATACAGCAGGTTTGAGACACTCTTTGTATAGCATGTGGAAATGGATATTTGGAGCGCTTTGAGGCCTATGGTGAAGAAGGAAATATCTTCCCAAAAAAACTAGACGAAAGCATTCTCGCAATCTTGTTTGCCATGTGTGTACTCAACTAACAGAGTTGAACCTATCTTTTGACAGAGCAGTTTTGAAACACTCTTTTTGTGGAATCTGCAAGTGGATATTTGGATAGCTTCGAGGATTTCGTTGGAAACGGGAATATCCTCATTTAAAATCTAGACGGAAGCATTCTCGGAACCTGCTTTGTGACGTTTGCATTCAACTCACAGAGCTGAACATTCCCGTTCATAGAGCAGGTTTGAAACACTCTTTCTGTACTATCTGGAAGTGGACATTTCGAGCGCTTTCAGGCCTATGGTGAAAAAGGAAACATCTTCAAATAAAAACTAGACAGAAGCATTCTCAGAAACTTATTTGTGATGTGTGTCCTCAACTCACAGAGTTCAACCTTTGTTTTGATACAGCAGTTTGGAAACACTCTTTTTGTAGAATCTACAAATGGATATTTGGAGACCTTAGAAAATTTCGTTGGACACGGGAATATCTTCATATAAAATCTAGACAAAAGCATTCTCAGAATCTTCTTTGTGATGTTTGCATTCAACTCATAGAGTTGAACATTCCCTTTCATACAGCACGTTTGAAACACACTTTGTGGAGTATGTGGAAATGGACATTTCGAGCACTCTTAGGCCTAAGGTGAAAAGGGAAATATCTTCAAATAAAAACTAGTCAGCAGCATTCTCAGAAACCTCTTTGTGATGTGTGTACTCAACTAACAGAGTTGAACCTTCCTTTTCACAGAGCAGTTTGGAAACACTCTTTTTGTGGCATTTGCAAGTGGATATTTGGATAGCTTTGAGGATTTCGTTGGAAACGGGAATATTTTCATATAAAATCTAGACAGAAGCATTCTCAGAATCTTCTTTGTGATGTATGCCCTCAATTCACAGAGTTGAACCTTTGTTTGGATACAGCATTTTGGAAACATTCCTTTTGTAGAATCTGCAAGTTGATATTTGGATAGCTTTGAGGATTTCGTTGGAAACGGGAATATCTACATATAAAATCTAGACAGAAGCATTCTCAGAAACCTCTTTGTAATGCTTGCATTCAACTCATAGGTTTCAACATTCCCTATCATAGAGCAGGTTTGAAACACTCTTTTTGTAGTATGTGGAAGTGGACATTTGGAGCGCTTTGAGGCCTACGGTGAAAAAGGAAATATCTTCCCATAAAAACTAGACAGAAGCATTCTCAGAAACTTGTTTGTGACGTGTGTATTCAACTAACAGAGTTGAACCTTTCTTTTTACAGAGCAGCTTTGAAACACGCTTTTTGTGGAATCTGCAATTGGAAATTTCGATAGTTCTGAGGATTTCGTTGGAAACGGGATTACAAATAGAAAGTAGACAGCAGCATTCTCAGAAACTGCTTTGTGATGTTTGCATTCAAGTCACCTAGTTGAACATTCCCTTTCATAGAGCAGGTTTGAATCACAGTTTCTGTCGTATCTGGAAGTGGATATTTCGAGCGTTTTCAGGCCTAAGGTGAGAAAGGAAATGTCTTCAAATAAGAACTAGACAGAAGCATTCTCAGAAACTTATTTGTGATGTGTGTCCTCAACTAACAGAGATGAACCTTTGTTTTGATACAGCAGTTTGGAAACACTCTTTTTGTAGAATCTACAAGAGGATATTTTGAGAGCATTGAAAATTTCGTTGGAAGCGGGAAAACCTTCATATAAAATCTAGACAGCAGCATTCTCAGAAACTTCTTTGTGATGTTTGCATTCAACTCATAGAGTTGAACATTCCCATTCATACAGCAGGTTTGAGACACTCTTTGTATAGCATGTGGAAATGGATATTTGGAGCGCTTTGAGGCCTATGGTGAAGAAGGAAATATCTTCCCTAAAAAACTAGACGAAAGCATTCTCGGAATCTTGTTTGCCATGTGTGTACTCAACTAACAGAGTTGAACCTATCTTTTGACAGAGCAGTTTTGAAACACTCTTTTTGTGGAATCTGCAAGTGGATATTTGGATAGCTTCGAGGATTTCGTTGGAAACGGGAATATCCTCATTTAAAATCTAGACGGAAGCATTCTCAGAACCTGCTTTGTGATGTTTGCATTCAACTCACAGAGCTGAACATTCCCGTTCATAGAGCAGGTTTGAAACACTCTTTCTGTACTATCTGGAAGTGGACATTTCGAGCGCTTTCAGGCCTATGGTGAAAAAGGAAACATCTTCAAATAAAAACTAGACAGAAGCATTCTCAGAAACTTATTTGTGATGTGTGTCCTCAACTCACAGAGTTCAACCTTTGTTTTGATACAGCAGTTTGGAAACACTCTTTTTGTAGAATCTACAAATGGATATTTGGAGACCTTTGAAAATTTCGTTGGACACGGGAATATCTTCATATAAAATCTAGACAAAAGCATTCTCAGAATCTTCTTTGTGATGTTTGCATTCAACTCATAGAGTTGAACATTCCCTTTCATACAGCACGTTTGAAACACACTTTGTGGAGTATGTGGAAATGGACATTTCGAGCACTCTTAGGCCTAAGGTGAAAAGGGAAATATCTTCAAATAAAAACTAGTCAGCAGCATTCTCAGAAACCTCTTTGTGATGTGTGTACTCAACTAACAGAGTTGAACCTTCCTTTTCACAGAGCAGTTTGGAAACACTCTTTTTGTGGCATTTGCAAGTGGATATTTGGATAGCTTTGAGGATTTCGTTGGAAACGGGAATATTTTCATATAAAATCTAGACAGAAGCATTCTCAGAATCTTCTTTGTGATGTATGCCCTCAATTCACAGAGTTGAACCTTTGTTTGGATACAGCATTTTGGAAACATTCCTTTTGTAGAATCTGCAAGTTGATATTTGGATAGCTTTGAGGATTTCGTTGGAAACGGGAATATCTACATATAAAATCTAGACAGAAGCATTCTCAGAAACCTCTTTGTAATGTTTGCATTCAACTCATAGGTTTCAACATTCCCTATCATAGAGCAGGTTTGAAACACTCTTTTTGTAGTATGTGGAAGTGGACATTTTGAGCGCTTTGAGGCCTACGGTGAAAAAGGAAATATCTTCCCATAAAAACTAGACAGAAGCATTCTCAGAAACTTGTTTGTGACGTGTGTATTCAACTAACAGAGTTGAACCTTTCTTTTTACAGAGCAGCTTTGAAACCCTGTTTCTGTGGAATCTGCAATTGGAAATTTTGATAGTTCTGAGGATTTCGTTGGAAACGGGATTACAAATAGAAAGTAGACAGCAGCATTCTCAGAAACTGCTTTGTGATGTTTGCATTCAAGTCACATAGTTGAACATTCCCTTTCATAGAGCAGGTTTGAATCACTGTTTCTGTCGTATCTGGAAGTGGGTATTTCGAGCGCTTTCAGGCCTAAGGTGAGAAAGGAAATGTCTTCAAATAAGAACTAGACAGAAGCATTCTCAGAAACTTATTTGTGATGTGTGTCCTCAACTAACAGAGATGAACCTTTGTTTTGATACAGCAGTTTGGAAACACTCTTTTTGTAGAATCTACAAGAGGATATTTTGAGAGCATTGAAAATTTCGTTGGAAGCGGGAAAACCTTCATATAAAATCTAGACAGCAGCATTCTCAGAAACTTCTTTGTGATGTTTGCATTCAACTCATAGAGTTGAACATTCCCATTCATACAGCAGGTTTGAGACACTCTTTGTATAGCATGTGGGAATGGATATTTGGAGCGCTTTGAGGCCTATGGTGAAGAAGGAAATATCTTCCCAAAAAAACTAGACGAAAGCATTCTCGGAATCTTGTTTGCCATGTGTGTACTCAACTAACAGAGTTGAACCTATCTTTTGACAGAGCAGTTTTGAAACACTCTTTTTGTGGAATCTGCAAGTGGATATTTGGATAGCTTCGAGGATTTCGTTGGAAACGGGAATATCCTCATTTAAAATCTAGACGGAAGCATTCTCGGAACCTGCTTTGTGATGTTTGCATTCAACTCACAGAGCTGAACATTCCCGTTCATAGAGCAGGTTTGAAACACTCTTTCTGTACTATCTGGAAGTGGACATTTCGAGCGCTTTCAGGCCTATGGTGAAAAAGGAAACATCTTCAAATACAAACTAGACAGAAGCATTCTCAGAAACTTATTTGTGATGTGTGTCCTCAACTCACAGAGTTCAACCTTTGTTTTGATACAGCAGTTTGGAAACACTCTTTTTGTAGAATCTACAAATGGATATTTGGAGACCTTTGAAAATTTCGTTGGACACGGGAATATCTTCATATAAAATCTAGACAAAAGCATTCTCAGAATCTTCTTTGTGATGTTTGCATTCAACTCATAGAGTTGAACATTCCCTTTCATACAGCACGTTTGAAACACACTTTGTGGAGTATGTGGAAATGGACATTTCGAGCACTCTTAGGCCTAAGGTGAAAAGGGAAATATCTTCAAATAAAAACTAGTCAGCAGCATTCTCAGAAACCTCTTTGTGATGTGTGTACTCAACTAACAGAGTTGAACCTTCCTTTTCACAGAGCAGTTTGGAAACACTCTTTT
Source organism: Homo sapiens (assembly GCF_000001405.40). Classification (NCBI taxonomy): domain Eukaryota; kingdom Metazoa; phylum Chordata; class Mammalia; order Primates; family Hominidae; genus Homo; species Homo sapiens. Next base: position 19,413,602 of record NC_000015.10, read on the forward strand.
TGTGGCATTTGCAAGTGGATATTTGGATAGCTTTGAGGATTTCGTTGGAAACGGGAATATTTTCATATAAAATCTAGACAGAAGCATTCTCAGAATCTTCTTTGTGATGTATGCCCTCAATTCACAGAGTTGAACCTTTGTTTGGATACAGCATTTTGGAAACATTCCTTTTGTAGAATCTGCAAGTTGATATTTGGATAGCTTTGAGGATTTCGTTGGAAACGGGAATATCTACATATAAAATCTAGACAGAAGCATTCTCAGAAACCTCTTTGTAATGCTTGCATTCAACTCATAGGTTTCAACATTCCCTATCATAGAGCAGGTTTGAAACACTCTTTTTGTAGTATGTGGAAGTGGACATTTGGAGCGCTTTGAGTTCTACGGTGAAAAAGGAAATATCTTCCCATAAAAACTAGACAGAAGCATTCTCAGAAACTTGTTTGTGACGTGTGTATTCAACTAACAGAGTTGAACCTTTCTTTTTACAGAGCAGCTTTGAAACACGCTTTTTGTGGAATCTGCAATTGGAAATTTCGATAGTTCTGAGGATTTCGTTGGAAACGGGATTACAAATAGAAAGTAGACAGCAGCATTCTCAGAAACTGCTTTGTGATGTTTGCATTCAAGTCACCTAGTTGAACATTCCCTTTCATAGAGCAGGTTTGAATCACTGTTTCTGTCGTAACTGGAAGTGGATATTTCGAGCGTTTTCAGGCCTAAGGTGAGAAAGGAAATGTCTTCAAATAAGAACTAGACAGAAGCATTCTCAGAAACTTATTTGTGATGTGTGTCCTCAACTAACAGAGATGAACCTTTGTTTTGATACAGCAGTTTGGAAACACTCTTTTTGTAGAATCTACAAGAGGATATTTTGAGAGCATTGAAAATTTCGTTGGAAGCGGGAAAACCTTCATATAAAATCTAGGCAGCAGCATTCTCAGAAACTTCTTTGTGATGTTTGCATTCAACTCATAGAGTTGAACATTCCCATTCATACAGCAGGTTTGAGACACTCTTTGTATAGCATGTGGAAATGGATATTTGGAGCGCTTTGAGGCCTATGGTGAAGAAGGAAATATCTTCCCAAAAAAACTAGACGAAAGCATTCTCGGAATCTTGTTTGCCATGTGTGTACTCAACTAACAGAGTTGAACCTATCTTTTGACAGAGCAGTTTTGGAACACTCTTTTTGTGGAATCTGCAAGTGGATATTTGGATAGCTTCGAGGATTTCGTTGGAAACGGGAATATCCTCATTTAAAATCTAGACGGAAGCATTCTCAGAACCTGCTTTGTGATGTTTGCATTCAACTCACAGAGCTGAACATTCCCGTTCATAGAGCAGGTTTGAAACACTCTTTCTGTACTATCTGGAAGTGGACATTTCGAGCGCTTTCAGGCCTATGGTGAAAAAGGAAACATCTTCAAATAAAAACTAGACAGAAGCATTCTCAGAAACTTATTTGTGATGTGTGTCCTCAACTCACAGAGTTCAACCTTTGTTTTGATACAGCAGTTTGGAAACACTCTTTTTGTAGAATCTACAAATGGATATTTGGAGACCTTTGAAAATTTCGTTGGACACGGGAATATCTTCATATAAAATCTAGACAAAAGCATTCTCAGAATCTTCTTTGTGATGTTTGCATTCAACTCATAGAGTTGAACATTACCTTTCATACAGCACGTTTGAAACACACTTTGTGGAGTATGTGGAAATGGACATTTCGAGCACTCTTAGGCCTAAGGTGAAAAGTGAAATATCTTCAAATAAAAACTAGTCAGCAGCATTCTCAGAAACCTCTTTGTGATGTGTGTACTCAACTAACAGAGTTGAACCTTCCTTTTCACAGAGCAGTTTGGAAACACTCTTTTTGTGGCATTTGCAAGTGGATATTTGGATAGCTTTGAGGATTTCGTTGGAAACGGGAATATTTTCATATAAAATCTAGACAGAAGCATTCTCAGAATCTTCTTTGTGATGTATGCCCTCAATTCACAGAGTTGAACCTTTGTTTGGATACAGCATTTTGGAAACATTCCTTTTGTAGAATCTGCAAGTTGATATTTGGATAGTTTGAGGATTTCGTTGGAAACGGGAATATCTACATATAAAATCTAGACAGAAGCATTCTCAGAAACCTCTTTGTAATGCTTGCATTCAACTCATAGGTTTCAACATTCCCTATCATAGAGCAGGTTTGAAACACTCTTTTTGTAGTATGTGGAAGTGGACATTTGGAGCGCTTTGAGGCCTACGGTGAAAAAGGAAATATCTTCCCATAAAAACTAGACAGAAGCATTCTCAGAAACTTGTTTGTGACGTGTGTATTCAACTAACAGAGTTGAACCTTTCTTTTTACAGAGCAGCTTTGAAACACGCTTTTTGTGGAATCTGCAATTGGAAATTTCGATAGTTCTGAGGATTTCGTTGGAAACGGGATTACAAATAGAAAGTAGACAGCAGCATTCTCAGAAACTGCTTTGTGATGTTTGCATTCAAGTCACCTAGTTGAACATTCCCTTTCATAGAGCAGGTTTGAATCACTGTTTCTGTCGTATCTGGAAGTGGATATTTCGAGCGTTTTCAGGCCTAAGGTGAGAAAGGAAATGTCTTCAAATAAGAACTAGACAGAAGCATTCTCAGAAACTTATTTGTGATGTGTGTCCTCAACTAACAGAGTTGAACCTTTCTTTTGACACAGCAGTTTGGAAACACTCTTTTTGTAGAATCTACAAGTGGATATTTTGAGAGCATTGAAAATTTCGTTGGAAACGGGAAAACCTTCATATAAAATCTAGACAGAAGCATTCTCAGAAACTTCTTTGTAATGTTTGCATTCAACTCATAGAGTTGAACATTCCCTTTCATACAGCAGGTTTGAAACACTCTTTTTGTAGTATGTGGAAGTGGACATTGGGAGCGCTTTGAGGCCTACGGTGAAAAAGGAAATATCTTCCCATAAAAACTAGACAGAAGCATTCTCAGAAACTTGTTTGTGACGTGTGTATTCAACTAACAGAGTTGAACCTTTCTTTTTACAGAGCAGCTTTGAAACCCTGTTTCTGTGGAATCTGCAATTGGAAATTTCGATAGTTCTGAGGATTTCGTTGGAAACGGGATTACAAATAGAAAGTAGACAGCAGCATTCTCAGAAACTGCTTTGTGATGTTTGCATTCAAGTCACCTAGTTGAACATTCCCTTTCATAGAGCAGGTTTGAATCACTGTTTCTGTAGTATCTCGAAGTGGGTATTTCGAGCGCTTTCAGGCCTAAGGTGAGAAAGGAAATGTCTTCAAATAAGAACTAGACAGAAGCATTCTCAGAAACTTATTTGTGATGTGTGTCCTCAACTAACAGAGATGAACCTTTGTTTTGATACAGCAGTTTGGAAACACTCTTTTTGTAGAATCTACAAGAGGATATTTTGAGAGCATTGAAAATTTCGTTGGAAGCGGGAAAACCTTCATATAAAATCTAGACAGCAGCATTCTCAGAAACTTCTTTGTGATGTTTGCATTCAACTCATAGAGTTGAACATTCCCATTCATACAGCAGGTTTGAGACACTCTTTGTATAGCATGTGGAAATGGATATTTGGAGCGCTTTGAGGCCTATGGTGAAGAAGGAAATATCTTCCCAAAAAACTAGACGAAAGCATTCTCGCAATCTTGTTTGCCATGTGTGTACTCAACTAACAGAGTTGAACCTATCTTTTGACAGAGCAGTTTTGAAACACTCTTTTTGTGGAATCTGCAAATGGATATTTGGATAGCTTCGAGGATTTCCTTGGAAACGGGAATATCCTCATATAAAATCTAGACGGAAGCATTCTCAGAACCTGCTTTGTGATGTTTGCATTCAACTCACAGAGCTGAACATTCCTGTTCATAGAGCAGGTTTGAAACACTCTTTCTGTACTATCTGGAAGTGGACATTTCGAGCGCTTTCAGGCCTATGGTGAAAAAGGAAATATCTTCAAATAAAAACTAGACAGAAGCATTCTCAGAAACTTATTTGTGATGTGTGTCCTCAACTCACAGAGTTCAACCTTTGTTTTGATACAGCAGTTTGGAAACACTCTTTTTGTAGAATCTACAAATGGATATTTGGAGACCTTTGAAAATTTCGTTGGACACGGGAATATCTTCATATAAAATCTAGACAAAAGCATTCTCAGAATCTTCTTTGTGATGTTTGCATTCAACTCATAGAGTTGAACATTCCCTTTCATACAGCACGTTTGAAACACACTTTGTGGAGTATGTGGAAATGGACATTTCGAGCACTCTTAGGCCTAAGGTGAAAAGGGAAATATCTTCAAATAAAAACTAGTCAGCAGCATTCTCAGAAACCTCTTTGTGATGTGTGTACTCAACTAACAGAGTTGAACCTTCCTTTTCACAGAGCAGTTTGGAAACACTCTTTTTGTGGCATTTGCAAGTGGATATTTGGATAGCTTTGAGGATTTCGTTGGAAACGGGAATATTTTCATATAAAATCTAGACAGAAGCATTCTCAGAATCTTCTTTGTGATGTATGCCCTCAATTCACAGAGTTGAACCTTTGTTTGGATACAGCATTTTGGAAACATTCCTTTTGTAGAATCTGCAAGTTGATATTTGGATAGTTTGAGGATTTCGTTGGAAACGGGAATATCTACATATAAAATCTAGACAGAAGCATTCTCAGAAACCTCTTTGTAATGCTTGCATTCAACTCATAGGTTTCAACATTCCCTATCATAGAGCAGGTTTGAAACACTCTTTTTGTAGTATGTGGAAGTGGACATTTGGAGCGCTTTGAGGCCTACGGTGAAAAAGGAAATATCTTCCCATAAAAACTAGACAGAAGCATTCTCAGAAACTTGTTTGTGACGTGTGTATTCAACTAACAGAGTTGAACCTTTCTTTTTACAGAGCAGCTTTGAAACACGCTTTTTGTGGAATCTGCAATTGGAAATTTCGATAGTTCTGAGGATTTCGTTGGAAACGGGATTACAAATAGAAAGTAGACAGCAGCATTCTCAGAAACTGCTTTGTGATGTTTGCATTCAAGTCACCTAGTTGAACATTCCCTTTCATAGCAGCAGGTTTGAATCACTGTTTCTGTCGTATCTGGAAGTGGATATTTCGAGCGTTTTCAGGCCTAAGGTGAGAAAGGAAATGTCTTCAAATAAGAACTAGACAGAAGCATTCTCAGAAACTTATTTGTGATGTGTGTCCTCAACTAACAGAGATGAACCTTTGTTTTGATACAGCAGTTTGGAAACACTCTTTTTGTAGAATCTACAAGAGGATATTTTGAGAGCATTGAAAATTTCGTTGGAAGCGGGAAAACCTTCATATAAAATCTAGACAGCAGCATTCTCAGAAACTTCTTTGTGATGTTTGCATTCAACTCATAGAGTTGAACATTCCCATTCATACAGCAGGTTTGAGACACTCTTTGTATAGCATTTGGAAATGGATATTTGGAGCGCTTTGAGGCCTATGGTGAAGAAGGAAATATCTTCCCAAAAAAACTAGACGAAAGCATTCTCGCAATCTTGTTTGCCATGTGTGTACTCAACTAACAGAGTTGAACCTATCTTTTGACAGAGCAGTTTTGAAACACTCTTTTTGTGGAATCTGCAAGTGGATATTTGGATAGCTTCGAGGATTTCGTTGGAAACGGGAATATCCTCATTTAAAATCTAGACGGAAGCATTCTCAGAACCTGCTTTGTGATGTTTGCATTCAACTCACAGAGCTGAACATTCCCGTTCATAGAGCAGGTTTGAAACACTCTTTCTGTACTATCTGGAAGTGGACATTTCGAGCGCTTTCAGGCCTATGGTGAAAAAGGAAACATCTTCAAATAAAAACTAGACAGAAGCATTCTCAGAAACTTATTTGTGATGTGTGTCCTCAACTCACAGAGTTCAACCTTTGTTTTGATACAGCAGTTTGGAAACACTCTTTTTGTAGAATCTACAAATGGATATTTGGAGAACTTTGAAAATTTCGTTGGACACGGGAATATCTTCATATAAAATCTAGACAAAAGCATTCTCAGAATCTTCTTTGTGATGTTTGAATTCAACTCATAGAGTTGAACATTCCCTTTCATACAGCACGTTTGAAACACACTTTGTGGAGTATGTGGAAATGGACATTTCGAGCACTCTTAGGCCTAAGGTGAAAAGGGAAATATCTTCAAATAAAAACTAGTCAGCAGCATTCTCAGAAACCTCTTTGTGATGTGTGTACTCAACTAACAGAGTTGAACCTTCCTTTTCACAGAGCAGTTTGGAAACACTCTTTTTGTGGCATTTGCAAGTGGATATTTGGATAGCTTTGAGGATTTCGTTGGAAACGGGAATATTTTCATATAAAATCTAGACAGAAGCATTCTCAGAATCTTCTTTGTGATGTATGCCCTCAATTCACAGAGTTGAACCTTTGTTTGGATACAGCATTTTGGAAACATTCCTTTTGTAGAATCTGCAAGTTGATATTCGGATAGCTTTGAGGATTTCGTTGGAAACGGGAATATCTACATATAAAATCTAGACAGAAGCATTCTCAGAAACCTCTTTGTAATGCTTGCATTCAACTCATAGGTTTCAACATTCCCTATCATAGAGCAGGTTTGAAACACTCTTTTTGTAGTATGTGGAAGTGGACATTTGGAGCGCTTTGAGGCCTACGGTGAAAAAGGAAATATCTTCCCATAAAAACTAGACAGAAGCATTCTCAGAAACTTGTTTGTGACGTGTGTATTCAACTAACAGAGTTGAACCTTTCTTTTTACAGAGCAGCTTTGAAACACGCTTTTTGTGGAATCTGCAATTGGAAATTTCGATAGTTCTGAGGATTTCGTTGGAAACGGGATTACAAATACAAAGTAGACAGCAGCATTCTCAGAAACTGCTTTGTGATGTTTGCATTCTAGTCACCTAGTTGAACATTCCCTTTCATAGAGCAGGTTTGAATCACAGTTTCTGTCGTATCTGGAAGTGGATATTTCGAGCGCTTTCAGGCCTAAGGTGAGAAAGGAAATGTCTTCAAATAAGAACTAGACAGAAGCATTCTCAGAAACTTATTTGTGATGTGTGTCCTCAACTAACAGAGTTGAACCTTTCTTTTGACACAGCAGTTTGGAAACACTCTTTTTGTAGAATCTACAAGTGGATATTTTGAGAGCATTGAAAATTTCCTTGGAAACGGGAAAACCTTCATATAAAATCTAGACAGAAGCATTCTCAGAAACTTCTTTGTGATGTTTGCATTCAACTCATAGAGTTGAACATTCCCATTCATACAGCAGGTTTGAGACACTCTTTGTATAGCATGTGGAAATGGATATTTGGAGCGCTTTGAGGCCTATGGTGAAGAAGGAAATATCTTCCCAAAAAAACTAGACGAAAGCATTCTCGGAATCTTGTTTGCCATGTGTGTACTCAACTAACAGAGTTGAACCTATCTTTTGACAGAGCAGTTTTGAAACACTCTTTTTGTGGAATCTGCAAGTGGATATTTGGATAGCTTCGAGGATTTCGTTGGAAACGGGAATATCCTCATTTAAAATCTAGACGGAAGCATTCTCAGAACCTGCTTTGTGATGTTTGCATTCAACTCACAGAGCTGAACATTCCCGTTCATAGAGCAGGTTTGAAACACTCTTTCTGTACTATCTGGAAGTGGACATTTCGAGCGCTTTCAGGCCTATGGTGAAAAAGGAAACATCTTCAAATAAAAACTAGACAGAAGCATTCTCAGAAACTTATTTGTGATGTGTGTCCTCAACTCACAGAGTTCAACCTTTGTTTTGATACAGCAGTTTGGAAACACTCTTTTTGTAGAATCTACAAATGGATATTTGGAGAACTTTGAAAATTTCGTTGGACACGGGAATATCTTCATATAAAATCTAGACAAAAGCATTCTCAGAGTCTTCTTTGTGATGTTTGCATTCAACTGATAGAGTTGAACATTCCCTTTCATACAGCACGTTTGAAACACACTTTGTGGAGTATGTGGAAATGGACATTTCGAGCACTCTTAGGCCTAAGGTGAAAAGGGAAATATCTTCAAATAAAAACTAGTCAGCAGCATTCTCAGAAACCTCTTTGTGATGTGTGTACTCAACTAACAGAGTTGAACCTTCCTTTTCACAGAGCAGTTTGGAAACACTCTTTTTGTGGCATTTGCAAGTGGATATTTGGATAGCTTTGAGGATTTCGTTGGAAACGGGAATATTTTCATATAAAATCTAGACAGAAGCATTCTCAGAATCTTCTTTGTGATGTATGCCCTCAATTCACAGAGTTGAACCTTTGTTTGGATACAGCATTTTGGAAACATTCCTTTTGTAGAATCTGCAAGTTGATATTTGGATAGCTTTGAGGATTTCGTTGGAAACGGGAATATCTACATATAAAATCCAGACAGAAGATTTCTCAGAAACCTCTTGGTAATGTTTACATTCAACTCATAGGTTTCAACATTCCCTATCATAGAGCAGGATCGAAACACTCTTTTTGTAGTATGTGGAAGGGGATATGTGGAGCGCTTTGAGGCCTACGGTGAAAAAGGAAATATCTTCCCATAAAAACTAGACAGAAGCATTCTCAGAAACTTGTTTGTGACGTGTGTATTCAACTAACAGAGTTGAACCTTTCTTTTTACAGAGCAGCTTTGAAACACGCTTTTTGTGGAATCTGCAATTGGAAATTTCGATAGTTCTGAGGATTTCGTTGGAAACGGGATTACAAATAGAAAGTAGACAGCAGCATTCTCAGAAACTGCTTTGTGATGTTTGCATTCAAGTCACCTAGTTGAACATTCCCTTTCATAGAGCAGGTTTGAATCACAGTTTCTGTCGTATCTGGAAGTGGGTATTTCGAGCGTTTTCAGGCCTAAGGTGAGAAAGGAAATGTCTTCAAATAAGAACTAGACAGAAGCATTCTCAGAAACTTATTTGTGATGTGTGTCCTCAACTAACAGAGATGAACCTTTGTTTTGATACAGCAGTTTGGAAACACTCTTTTTGTAGAATCTACAAGAGGATATTTTGAGAGCATTGAAAATTTCGTTGGAAGCGGGAAAACCTTCATATAAAATCTAGACAGCAGCATTCTCAGAAACTTCTTTGTGATGTTTGCATTCAACTCATAGAGTTGAACATTCCCATTCATACAGCAGGTTTGAGACACTCTTTGTATAGCATGTGGAAATGGATATTTGGAGCGCTTTGAGGCCTATGGTGAAGAAGGAAATATCTTCCCAAAAAAACTAGACGAAAGCATTCTCGGAATCTTGTTTGCCATGTGTGTACTCAACTAACAGAGTTGAACCTATCTTTTGACAGAGCAGTTTTGAAACACTCTTTTTGTGGAATCTGCAAGTGGATATTTGGACAGCTTCGAGGATTTCCTTGGAAACGGGAATATCCTCATATAAAATCTAGACGGAAGCATTCTCAGAACCTGCTTTGTGATGTTTGCATTCAACTCACAGAGCTGAACATTCCCGTTCATAGAGCAGGTTTGAAACACTCTTTCTGTACTATCTGGAAGTGGACATTTCGAGCGCTTTCAGGCCTATGGTGAAAAAGGAAACATCTTCAAATAAAAACTAGACAGAAGCATTCTCAGAAACTTATTTGTGATGTGTGTCCTCAACTCACAGAGTTCAACCTTTGTTTTGATACAGCAGTTTGGAAACACTCTTTTTGTAGAATCTACAAATGGATATTTGGAGACCTTTGAAAATTTCGTTGGACACGGGAATATCTTCATATAAAATGCTAGACAAAAGCATTCTCAGAATCTTCTTTGTGATGTTTGCATTCAACTCATAGAGTTGAACATTCCCTTTCATACAGCACGTTTGAAACACACTTTGTGGAGTATGTGGAAATGGACATTTCGAGCACTCTTAGGCCTAAGGTGAAAAGGGAAATATCTTCAAATAAAAACTAGTCAGCAGCATTCTCAGAAACCTCTTTGTGATGTGTGTACTCAACTAACAGAGTTGAACCTTCCTTTTCACAGAGCAGTTTGGAAACACTCTTTTTGTGGCATTTGCAAGTGGATATTTGGATAGCTTTGAGGATTTCGTTGGAAACGGGAATATTTTCATATAAAATCTAGACAGAAGCATTCTCAGAATCTTCTTTGTGATGTATGCCCTCAATTCACAGAGTTGAACCTTTGTTTGGATACAGCATTTTGGAAACATTCCTTTTGTAGTATCTGCAAGTTGATATTTGGATAGCTTTGAGGATTTCGTTGGAAACGGGAATATCTACATATAAAACCTAGACAGAAGCATTCTCAGAAACCTCTTTGTAATGTTTGCATTCAACTCATAGGTTTCAACATTCCCTATCATAGAGCAGGTTTGAAACACTCTTTTTGTAGTATGTGGAAGTGGACATTTGGAGCGCTTTGAGGCCTACGGTGAAAAAGGAAATATCTTCCGATAAAAACTAGACAGAAGCATTCTCAGAAACTTGCTTCTGACGTGTATTCAACTAAAAGAGTTGAACCTTTCTTTTTACAGAGCAGCTTTGAAACACACTTTTGTGGAATCTGCAATTGGAAATTTCGATAGTTCTGAGAATTTCTTTGGAAACGGGATTACAAATAGAAAGTAGACAGCAGCATTCTCAGAAACTGCTTTGTGATGTTTGCATTCAAGTCACATAGTTGAACATTCCCTTTCATAGGGCAGGTTTGAATCACTATTTCTGTAGTATCTGGAAGTGGATATTTCGAGCGCTTTCAGGCCTAAGGTGAGAAAGGAAATATCTTCAAATAAGAACTAGACAGAAGCATTCTCAGAAACTTATTTGTGATGTGTGTCCTCAACTAACAGAGTTGAACCTTTGTTTTGATACAGCAGTTTGGAAACACTCTTTTTGTAGAATCTACAAGTGGATATTTTGAGAGCATTTTAAATTTCGTTGGAAGCGGGAAAACCTTCATATAAAATCTAGACAGAAGCATTCTCAGAAACTTCTTTGTAATGTTTGCATTCAACTCATAGAGTTGAACATTCCCTTTCATACAGCAGGTTTGAAACACTGTTTTTGTAGTATGTGGAAGTGGACATTTGGAGCGCTTTGAGGCCTACGGTGAAAAAGGAAATATCTTCCCATAAAAACTAGACAGAAGCATTCTCAGAAACTTGTTTGTGACGTGTGTATTCAACTAACAGAGTTGAACCTTTCTTTTTACAGAGCAGCTTTGAAACCCTGTTTTTGTGGAATCTGCAATTGGAAATTTCGATAGTTCTGAGGATTTCGTTGGAAACGGGATTACAAATAGAAAGTAGACAGCAGCATTCTCAGAAACTGCTTTGTGATGTTTGCATTCAAGTCACATAGTTGAACATTCCCTTTCATAGAGCAGGTTTGAATCACTGTTTCTGTAGTATCTGGAAGTGGGTATTTGGAGCGCTTTCAGGCCTAAGGTGAGAAAGGAAATGTCTTCAAATAAGAACTAGACAGAAGCATTCTCAGAAACTTATTTGTGATGTGTGTCCTCAACTAACAGAGTTGAACCTTTGTTTTGACACAGCAGTTTGGAAACACTCTTTTTGTAGAATCTACAAGTGGATATTTTGAGAGCATTGAAAATTTCGTTGGAAGCAGGAAAACCTTCATATAAAATCTAGACAGAAGCATTCTCAGAAACTTCTTTGTAATGTTTGCATTCAACTCATAGAGTTGAACATTCCCTTTCATACAGCAGGTTTGAAACACTCTTTTTGTAGTATGTGGAAGTGGACATTTGGAGCGCTTTGAGGCCTACGGTGAAAAAGGAAATATCTTCCCATAAAAACTAGACAGAAGCATTCTCAGAAACTTGTTTGTGACGTGTGTATTCAACTAACAGAGTTGAACCTTTCTTTTTACAGAGCAGCTTTGAAAACCTGTTTCTGTGGAATCTGCAATTGGAAATTTCGATAGTTCTGAGGATTTCGTTGGAAACGGGATTACAAATAGAAAGTAGACAGCAGCATTCTCAGAAACTGCTTTGTGATGTTTGCATTCAAGTCACATAGTTGAACATTCCCTTTCATAGAGCAGGTTTGAATCACTGTTTCTGTAGTATCTGGAAGTGGGTATTTCGAGCGCTTTCAGGCCTAAGGTGAGAAAGGAAATGTCTTCAAATAAGAACTAGACAGAAGCATTCTCAGAAACTTATTTGTGATGTGTGTCCTCAACTAACAGAGATGAACCTTTGTTTTGATACAGCAGTCTGGAAACACTCTTTTTGTAGAAACTACAAGAGGATATTTTGAGAGCATTGAAAATTTCGTTGGAAGCGGGAAAACCTTCATATAAAATCTAGACAGCAGCATTCTCAGAAACTTCTTTGTGATGTTTGCATTCAACTCATAGAGTTGAACATTCCCATTCATACAGCAGGTTTGAGTCACTCTTTGTATAGCATGTGGAAATGGATATTTGGAGCGCTTTGAGGCCTATGGTGAAGAAGGAAATATCTTCCCAAAAAAACTAGACGAAAGCATTCTCGGAATCTTGTTTGCCATGTGTGTACTCAACTAACAGAGTTGAACCTATCTTTTGAGAGAGCAGTTTTGAAACACTCTTTCTGTGGAATCTGCAAGTGGATATTTGGATAGCTTCGAGGATTTCGTTGGAAACGGGAATATCCTCATTTAAAATCTAGACGGAAGCATTCTCAGAACCTGCTTTGTGATGTTTGCATTCAACTCACAGAGCTGAACATTCCCGTTCATAGAGCAGGTTTGAAACACTCTTTCTGTACTATCTGGAAGTGGACATTTCGAGCGCTTTCAGGCCTATGGTGAAAAAGGAAACATCTTCAAATAAAAACTAGACAGAAGCATTCTCAGAAACTTATTTGTGATGTGTGTCCTCAACTCACAGAGTTCAACCTTTGTTTTGATACAGCAGTTTGGAAACACTCTTTTTGTAGAATCTACAAATGGATATTTGGAGACCTTTGAAAATTTCGTTGGACACGGGAATATCTTCATATAAAATCTAGACAGAAGCATTCTCAGAATCTTCTTTGTGATGTTTGCATTCAACTCATAGAGTTGAACATTCCCTTTCATACAGCACGTTTGAAACACACTTTGTGGAGTATGTGGAAATGGACATTTCGAGCACTCTTAGGCCTAAGGTGAAAAGGGAAATATCTTCAAATAAAAACTAGTCAGCAGCATTCTCAGAAACCTCTTTGTGATGTGTGTACTCAACTAACAGAGTTGAACCTTCCTTTTCACAGAGCAGTTTGGAAACACTCTTTTTGTGGCATTTGCAAGTGGATATTTGGATAGCTTTGAGGATTTCATTGGAAACGGGAATATTTTCATATAAAATCTAGACAGAAGCATTCTCAGAATCTTCTTTGTGATGTATGCCCTCAATTCACAGAGTTGAACCTTTGTTTGGATACAGCATTTTGGAAACATTCCTTTTGTAGAATCTGCAAGTTGATATTTGGATAGCTTTGAGGATTTCGTTGGAAACGGGAATATCTATCTACATATAAAATCTAGACAGAAGCATTCTCAGAAACCTCTTTGTAATGTTTGCATTCAACTCATAGGTTTCAACATTCCCTATCATAGAGCAGGTTTGAAACACTCTTTTTGTAGTATGTGGAAGTGGACATTTGGAGCGCTTTGAGGCCTACGGTGAAAAAGGAAATATCTTCCCATAAAAACTAGACAGAAGCATTCTCAGAAACTTGTTTGTGACGTGTGTATTCAACTAACAGAGTTGAACCTTTCTTTTTACAGAGCAGCTTTGAAACCCTGTTTCTGTGGAATCTGCAATTGGAAATTTCGATAGTTCTGAGGATTTCGTTGGAAACGGGATTACAAATAGAAAGTAGACAGCAGCATTCTCAGAAACTGCTTTCTGATGTTTGCATTCAAGTCACCTAGATGAACATTCCCTTTCATAGAGCAGGTTTGAATCACTGTTTCTGTAGTATCTGGAAGTGGGTATTTCGAGCGCTTTCAGGCCTAAGGTGAGAAAGGAAATGTCTTCAAATAAGAACTAGACAGAAGCATTCTCAGAAACTTATTTGTGATGTGTGTCCTCAACTAACAGAGATGAACCTTTGTTTTGATACAGCAGTTTGGAAACACTCTTTTTGTAGAATCTACAAGAGGATATTTTGAGAGCATTGAAAATTTCGTTGGAAGCGGGAAAACCTTCATATAAAATCTAGACAGCAGCATTCTCAGAAACTTCTTTGTGATGTTTGCATTCAACTCATAGAGTTGAACATTCCCATTCATACAGCAGGTTTGAGACACTCTTTGTATAGCATTTGGAAATGGATATTTGGAGCGCTTTGAGGCCTATGGTGAAGAAGGAAATATCTTCCCAAAAAAACTAGACGAAAGCATTCTCGGAATCTTGTTTGCCATGTGTGTACTCAACTAACAGAGTTGAACCTATCTTTTGACAGAGCAGTTTTGAAACACTCTTTTTGTGGAATCTGCAAGTGGATATTTGGATAGCTTCGAGGATTTCGTTGGAAACGGGAATATCCTCATTTAAAATCTAGACGGAAGCATTCTCAGAACCTGCTTTGTGATGTTTGCATTCAACTCACAGAGCTGAACATTCCCGTTCATAGAGCAGGTTTGAAACACTCTTTCTGTACTATCTGGAAGTGGACATTTCGAGCGCTTTCAGGCCTATGGTGAAAAAGGAAACATCTTCAAATAAAAACTAGACAGAAGCATTCTCAGAAACTTATTTGTGATGTGTGTCCTCAACTCACAGAGTTCAACCTTTGTTTTGATACAGCAGTTTGGAAACACTCTTTTTGTAGAATCTACAAATGGATATTTGGAGACCTTTGAAAATTTCGTTGGACACGGGAATATCTTCATATAAAATCTAGACAAAAGCATTCTCAGAATCTTCTTTGTGATGTTTGCATTCAACTCATAGAGTTGAACATTCCCTTTCATACAGCACGTTTGAAACACACTTTGTGGAGTATGTGGAAATGGACATTTCGAGCACTCTTAGGCCTAAGGTGAAAAGGGAAATATCTTCAAATAAAAACTAGTCAGCAGCATTCTCAGAAACCTCTTTGTGATGTGTGTACTCAACTAACAGAGTTGAACCTTCCTTTTCACAGAGCAGTTTGGAAACACTCTTTTTGTGGCATTTGCAAGTGGATATTTGGATAGCTTTGAGGATTTCGTTGGAAACGGGAATATTTTCATATAAAATCTAGACAGAAGCATTCTCAGAATCTTCTTTGTGATGTATGCCCTCAATTCACAGAGTTGAACCTCTGTTTGGATACAGCATTTTGGAAACATTCCTTTTGTAGAATCTGTAAGTTGATATTTGGATAGCTTTGAGGATTTCGTTGGAAACGGGAATATCTACATATAAAATCTAGACAGAAGCATTCTCAGAAACCTCTTTGTAATGCTTGCATTCAACTCATAGGTTTCAACATTCCCTATCATAGAGCAGGTTTGAAACACTCTTTTTGTAGTATGTGGAAGTGGACATTTGGAGCGCTTTGAGGCCTACGGTGAAAAAGGAAATATCTTCCCATAAAAACTAGACAGAAGCATTCTCAGAAACTTGTTTGTGACGTGTGTATTCAACTAACAGAGTTGAACCTTTCTTTTTACAGAGCAGCTTTGAAACACGCTTTTTGTGGAATCTGCAATTGGAAATTTCGATAGTTCTGAGGATTTCGTTGGAAACGGGATTACAAATAGAAAGTAGACAGCAGCATTCTCAGAAACTGCTTTGTGATGTTTGCATTCAAGTCACCTAGTTGAACATTCCCTTTCATAGAGCAGGTTTGAATCACTGTTTCTGTCGTATCTGGAAGTGGATATTTCGAGCGTTTTCAGGCCTAAGGTGAGAAAGGAAATGTCTTCAAATAAGAACTAGACAGAAGCATTCTCAGAAACTTATTTGTGATGTGTGTCCTCAACTAACAGAGTTGAACCTTTCTTTTGACACAGCAGTTTGGAAACACTCTTTTTGTAGAATCTACAAGAGGATATTTTGAGAGCATTGAAAATTTCGTTGGAAACGGGAAAACCTTCATATAAAATCTAGACAGAAGCATTCTCAGAAACTTCTTTGTAATGTTTGCATTCAACTCATAGAGTTGAACATTCCCTTTCATACAGCAGGTTTGAAACACTCTTTTTGTAGTATGTGGAAGTGGACATTTGGAGCGCTTTGAGGCCTACGGTGAAAAAGGAAATATCTTCCCATAAAAACTAGACAGAAGCATTCTCAGAAACTTGTTTGTGACGTGTGTATTCAACTAACAGAGTTGAAACTTTCTTTTTACAGAGCAGCTTTGAAACACGCTTTTTGTGGAATCTGCAATTGGAAATTTCGATAGTTCTGAGGATTTCGTTGGAAACGGGATTACAAATAGAAAGTAGACAACAGCATTCTCAGAAACTGCTTTGTGATGTTTGCATTCAACTCATAGAGTTGAACATTCCCATTCATACAGCAGGTTTGAGACACTCTTTGTATAGCATGTGGAAATGGATATTTGGAGCGCTTTGAGGCCTATGGTGAAGAAGGAAATATCTTCCCATAAAAACTAGACGAAAGCATTCTCGGAATCTTGTTTGCCATGTGTGTACTCAACTAACAGAGTTGAACCTATCTTTTGACAGAGCAGTTTTGAAACACTCTTTTTGTGGAATCTGCAAGTGGATATTTGGATAGCTTCGAGGATTTCGTTGGAAACGGGAATATCCTCATTTAAAATCTAGACGGAAGCATTCTCGGAACCTGCTTTGTGATGTTTGCATTCAACTCACAGAGCTGAACATTCCCGTTCATAGAGCAGGTTTGAAACACTCTTTCTGTACTATCTGGAAGTGGACATTTCGAGCGCTTTCAGGCCTATGGTGAAAAAGGAAACATCTTCAAATAAAAACTAGACAGAAGCATTCTCAGAAACTTATTTGTGATGTGTGTCCTCAACTCACAGAGTTCAACCTTTGTTTTGATACAGCAGTTTGGAAACACTCTTTTTGTAGAATCTACAAATGGATATTTGGAGACCTTTGAAAATTTCGTTGGACACGGGAATATCTTCATATAAAATCTAGACAAAAGCATTCTCAGAATCTTCTTTGTGATGTTTGCATTCAACTCATAGAGTTGAACATTCCCTTTCATACAGCACGTTTGAAACACACTTTGTGGAGTATGTGGAAATGGACATTTCGAGCACTCTTAGGCCTAAGGTGAAAAGGGAAATATCTTCAAATAAAAACTAGTCAGCAGCATTCTCAGAAACCTCTTTGTGATGTGTGTACTCAACTAACAGAGTTGAACCTTCCTTTTCACAGAGCAGTTTGGAAACACTCTTTTTGTGGCATTTGCAAGTGGATATTTGGATAGCTTTGAGGATTTCGTTGGAAACGGGAATATTTTCATATAAAATCTAGACAGAAGCATTCTCAGAATCTTCTTTGTGATGTATGCCCTCAATTCACAGAGTTGAACCTTTGTTTGGATACAGCATTTTGGAAACATTCCTTTTGTAGAATCTGCAAGTTGATATTTGGATAGCTTTGAGGATTTCGTTGGAAACGGGAATATCTACATATAAAATCTAGACAGAAGCATTCTCAGAAACCTCTTTGTAATGCTTGCATTCAACTCATAGGTTTCAACATTCCCTATCATAGAGCAGGTTTGAAACACTCTTTTTGTAGTATGTGGAAGTGGACATTTGGAGCGCTTTGAGGCCTACCGTGAAAAAGGAAATATCTTCCCATAAAAACTAGACAGAAGCATTCTCAGAAACTTGTTTGTGACGTGTGTATTCAACTAACAGAGTTGAACCTTTCTTTTTACAGAGCAGCTTTGAAACACGCTTTTTGTGGAATCTGCAATTGGAAATTTCGATAGTTCTGAGGATTTCGTTGGAAACGGGATTACAAATACAAAGTAGACAGCAGCATTCTCAGAAACTGCTTTGTGATGTTTGCATTCAAGTCACCTAGTTGAACATTCCCTTTCATAGAGCAGGTTTGAATCACTGTTTCTGTCGTATCTGGAAGTGGATATTTCGAGCGTTTTCAGGCCTAAGGTGAGAAAGGAAATGTCTTCAAATAAGAACTAGACAGAAGCATTCTCAGAAACTTATTTGTGATGTGTGTCCTCAACTAACAGAGTTGAACCTTTCTTTTGACACAGCAGTTTGGAAACACTCTTTTTGTAGAATCTACAAGTCGATATTTTGAGAGCATTGAAAATTTCGTTGGAAACGGGAAAACCTTCATATAAAATCTAGACAGAAGCATTCTCAGAAACTTCTTTGTAATGTTTGCATTCAACTCATAGAGTTGAACATTCCCTTTCATACAGCAGGTTTGAAACACTCTTTTTGTAGTATGTGGAAGTGGACATTTGGAGCGCTTTGAGGCCTACGGTGAAAAAGGAAATATCTTCCCATAAAAACTAGACAGAAGCATTCTCAGAAACTTGTTTGTGTCGTGTGTATTCAACTAACAGAGTTGAACCTTTCTTTTTACAGAGCATCTTTGAAACACGCTTTTTGTGGAATCTGCAATTGGAAATTTCGATAGTTCTGAGGATTTCGTTGGAAACGGGATTACAAATAGAAAGTAGACAGCAGCATTCTCAGAAACTGCTTTGTGATGTTTGCATTCAAGTCACCTAGTTGAACATTCCCTTTCATAGAGCAGGTTTGAATCACAGTTTCTGTCGTATCTGGAAGTGGATATTTCGAGAGTTTTCAGGCCTAAGGTGAGAAAGGAAATGTCTTCAAATAAGAACTAGACAGAAGCATTCTCAGAAACTTATTTGTGATGTGTGTCCTCAACTAACAGAGATGAACCTTTATTTTGATACAGCAGTTTGGAAACACTCTTTTTGTAGAATCTACAAGAGGATATTTTGAGAGCATTGAAAATTTCGTTGGAAGCGGGAAAACCTTCATATAAAATCTAGACAGCAGCATTCTCAGAAACTTCTTTGTGATGTTTGCATTCAACTCATAGAGTTGAACATTCCCATTCATACAGCAGGTTTGAGACACTCTTTGTATAGCATGTGGAAATGGATATTTGGAGCGCTTTGAGGCCTATGGTGAAGAAGGAAATATCTTCCCAAAAAAACTAGACGAAAGCATTCTCGCAATCTTGTTTGCCATGTGTGTACTCAACTAACAGAGTTGAACCTATCTTTTGACAGAGCAGTTTTGAAACACTCTTTTTGTGGAATCTGCAAGTGGATATTTGGATAGCTTCGAGGATTTCGTTGGAAACGGGAATATCCTCATTTAAAATCTAGACGGAAGCATTCTCAGAACCTGCTTTGTGATGTTTGCATTCAACTCACAGAGCTGAACATTCCCGTTCATAGAGCAGGTTTGAAACACTCTTTCTGTACTATCTGGAAGTGGACATTTCGAGCGCTTTCAGGCCTATGGTGAAAAAGGAAACATCTTCAAATAAAAACTAGACAGAAGCATTCTCAGAAACTTATTTGTGATGTGTGTCCTCAACTCACAGAGTTCAACCTTTGTTTTGATACAGCAGTTTGGAAACACTCTTTTTGTAGAATCTACAAATGGATATTTGGAGACCTTTGAAAATTTCGTTGGACACAGGAATATCTTCATATAAAATCTAGACAAAAGCATTCTCAGAATCTTCTTTGTGATGTTTGCATTCAACTCATAGAGTTGAACATTCCCTTTCATACAGCACCTTTGAAACACACTTTATGGAGTATGTGGAAATGGACATTTCGAGCAATCTTAGGCCTAAGGTGAAAAGGGAAATATCTTCAAATAAAAACTAGTCAGCAGCATTCTCAGAAACCTCTTTGTGATGTGTGTACTCAACTAACAGAGTTGAACCTTCCTTTTCACAGAGCAGTTTGGAAACACTCTTTTTGTGGCATTTGCAAGTGGATATTTGGATAGCTTTGAGGATTTCGTTGGAAACGGGAATATTTTCATATAAAATCTAGACAGAAGCATTCTCAGAATCTTCTTTGTGATGTATGCCCTCAATTCACAGAGTTGAACTTTTGTTTGGATACAGCATTTTGGAAACATTCCTTTTGTAGAATCTGCAAGTTGATATTTGGATAGCTTTGAGGATTTCGTTGGAAACGGGAATATCTACATATAAAATCTAGACAGAAGCATTCTCAGAAACTTCTTTGTAATGCTTGCATTCAACTCATAGGTTTCAACATTCCCTATCATAGAGCAGGTTTGAAACACTCTTTTTGTAGTATGTGGAAGTGGACATTTGGAGCGCCTTGAGGCCTACGGTGAAAAAGGAAATATCTTCCCATAGAAACTAGACAGAAGCAATCTCAGAAACTTGTTTGTGACGTGTGTATTCAACTAACAGAGTTGAACCTTTCTTTTTACAGAGCAGCTTTGAAACACGCTTTTTGTGGAATCTGCAATTGGAAATTTCGATAGTTCTGAGGATTTCGTTGGAAACGGGATTACAAATAGAAAGTAGACAGCAGCATTCTCAGAAACTTATTTGTGATGTGTGTCCTCAACTAACAGAGTTGAACCTTTCTTTTGACACAGCAGTTTGGAAACACTCTTTTTGTAGAATCTACAAGTGGATATTTTGAGAGCATTGAAAATTTCGTTGGAAACGGGAAAACCTTCATATAAAATGCTAGACAGAAGCATTCTCAGAAACTTCTTTGTAATGTTTGCATTCAACTCATAGAGTTGAACATTCCCTTTCATACAGCAGGTTTGAAACACTCTTTTTGTAGTATGTGGACGTGGACATTTGGAGCGCTTTGAGGCCTACGGTGAAAAAGGAAATATCTTCCCATAAAAACTAGACAGAAGCATTCTCAGAAACTTGTTTGTGACGTGTGTATTCAACTAACAGAGTTGAACCTTTCTTTTTACAGAGCAGCTTTGAAACCCTGTTTCTGTGGAATCTGCAATTGGAAATTTCGATAGTTCTGAGGATTTCGTTGGAAACGGGATTACAAATAGGAAAGTAGACAGCAGCATTCTCAGTAAACTGCTTTGTGATGTTTGCATTCAAGTCACCTAGTTGAACATTCCCTTTCATAGAGCAGGTTTGAATCACTGTTTCTGTCGTATCTGGAAGTGGGTATTTCGAGCGCTTTCAGGCCTAAGGTGAGAAAGGAAATGTCTTCAAATAAGAACTAGACAGAAGCATTCTCAGAAACTTATTTGTGATGTGTGTCCTCAACTAACAGAGATGAACCTTTGTTTTGATACAGCAGTTTGGAAACACTCTTTTTGTAGAATCTACAAGAGGATATTTTGAGAGCATTGAAAATTTCGTTGGAAGCGGGAAAACCTTCATATAAAATCTAGACAGCAGCATTCTCAGAATCTTCTTTGTGATGTTTGCATTCAACTCATAGAGTTGAACATTCCCTTTCATACAGCACGTTTGAAACACACTTTGTGGAGTATGTGGAAATGGACATTTCGAGCACTCTTAGGCCTAAGGTGAAAAGGGAAATATCTTCAAATAAAAACTAGTCAGCAGCATTCTCAGAAACCTCTTTGTGATGTGTGTACTCAACTAACAGAGTTGAACCTTCCTTTTCACAGAGCAGTTTGGAAACACTCTTTTTGTGGCATTTGCAAGTGGATATTTGGATAGCTTTGAGGATTTCGTTGGAAACGGGAATATTTTCATATAAAATCTAGACAGAAGCATTCTCAGAATCTTCTTTGTGATGTATGCCCTCAATTCACAGAGTTGAACCTTTGTTTGGATACAGCATTTTGGAAACATTCCTTTTGTAGAATCTGCAAGTTGATATTTGGATAGCTTTGAGGATTTCGTTGGAAACGGGAATATCTACATATAAAATCTAGACAGAAGCATTCTCTCGAAACCTCTTTGTAATGTTTGCATTCAACTCATAGGTTTCAACATTCCCTATCATAGAGCAGGTTTGATACACTCTTTTTGTAGTATGTGGAAGTGGACATTTGGAGCGCTTTGAGGCCTACGGTGAAAAAGGAAATATCTTCCCATAAAAACTAGACAGAAGCATTCTCAGAAACTTGTTTGTGACGTGTGTATTCAACTAACAGAGTTGAACCTTTCTTTTTACAGAGCAGCTTTGAAACACGCTTTTTGTGGAATCTGCAATTGGAAATTTCGATAGTTCTGAGGATTTCGTTGGAAACGGGATTACAAATAGAAAGTAGACAGCAGCATTCTCAGAAACTGCTTTGTGATGTTTGCATTCAAGTCACCTAGTTGAACATTCCCTTTCATAGAGCAGGTTTGAATCACAGTTTCTGTCGTATCTGGAAGTGGATATTTCGAGCGCTTTCAGGCCTAAGGTGAGAAAGGAAATGTCTTCAAATAAGAACTAGACAGAAGCATTCTCAGAAACTTATTTGTGATGTGTGTCCTCAACTAACAGAGATGAACCTTTGTTTTGATACAGCAGTTTGGAAACACTCTTTTTGTAGAATCTACAAGAGGATATTTTGAGAGCATTGAAAATTTCGTTGGAAGCGGGAAAACCTTCATATAAAATCTAGACAGCAGCATTCTCAGAAACTTCTTTGTGATGTTTGCATTCAACTCATAGAGTTGAACATTCCCATTCATACAGCAGGTTTGAGACACTCTTTGTATAGCATGTGGAAATGGATATTTGGAGCGCTTTGAGGCCTATGGTGAAGAAGGAAATATCTTCCCAAAAAAACTAGACGAAAGCATTCTCGGAATCTTGTTTGCCATGTGTGTACTCAACTAACAGAGTTGAACCGATCTTTTGACAGAGCAGTTTTGAAACACTCTTTTTGTGGAATCTTCAAGTGGATGTTTGGATAGCTTCGAGGATTTCGTTGGAAACGGGAATATCCTCATTTAAAATCTAGACGGAAGCATTCTCAGAACCTGCTTTGTGATGTTTGCATTCAACTCACAGAGCTGAACATTCCCGTTCATAGAGCAGGTTTGAAACACTCTTTCTGTACTATCTGGAAGTGGACATTTCGAGCGCTTTCAGGCCTATGGTGAAAAAGGAAACATCTTCAAATAAAAACTAGACAGAAGCATTCTCAGAAACTTATTTGTGATGTGTGTCCTCAACTCACAGAGTTCAACCTTTGTTTTGATACAGCAGTTTGGAAACACTCTTTTTGTAGAATCTACAAATGGATATTTGGAGACCTTTGAAAATTTCGTTGGACACCGGAATATCTTCATATAAAATCTAGACAAAAGCATTCTCAAAATCTTCTTTGTGATGTTTGCATTCAACTCATAGAGTTGAACATTCCCTTTCATACAGCACGTTTGAAACACACTTTGTGGAGTATGTGGAAATGGACATTTCGAGCACTCTTAGGCCTAAGGTGAAAAGGGAAATATCTTCAAATAAAAACTAGTCAGCAGCATTCTCAGAAACCTCTTTGTGATGTGTGTACTCAACTAACAGAGTTGAACCTTCCTTTTCACAGAGCAGTTTGGAAACACTCTTTTTGTGGCATTTGCAAGTGGATATTTGGATAGCTTTGAGGATTTCGTTGGAAACGGGAATATTTTCATATAA
Organism: Homo sapiens; assembly: GCF_000001405.40. Taxonomy (NCBI): domain Eukaryota; kingdom Metazoa; phylum Chordata; class Mammalia; order Primates; family Hominidae; genus Homo; species Homo sapiens. The sequence goes on from NC_000015.10 coordinate 19,437,206, forward strand.
AATCTAGACAAAAGCATTCTCAGAATCTTCTTTGTGATGTATGCCCTCAATTCACAGAGTTGAACCTTTGTTTGGATACAGCATTTTGGAAACATTCCTTTTGTAGAATCTGCAAGTTGATATTTGGATAGCTTTGAGGATTTCGTTGGAAACGGGAATATCTACATATAAAATCTAGACAGAAGCATTCTCAGAAACCTCTTTGTAATGCTTGCATTCAACTCATAGGTTTCAACATTCCCTATCATAGAGCAGGTTTGAAACACTCTTTTTGTAGTATGTGGAAGTGGACATTTGGAGCGCTTTGAGGCCTACGGTGAAAAAGGAAATATCTTCCCATAAAAACTAGACAGAAGCATTCTCAGAAACTTGTTTGTGACGTGTGTATTCAACTAACAGAGTTGAACCTTTCTTTTTACAGAGCAGCTTTGAAACACGCTTTTTGTGGAATCTGCAATTGGAAATTTCGATAGTTCTGAGGATTTCGTTGGAAACGGGATTACAAATAGAAAGTAGACAGCAGCATTCTCAGAAACTGCTTTGTGATGTTTGCATTCAAGTCACCTAGTTGAACATTCCCTTTCATAGAGCAGGTTTGAATCACTGTTTCTGTAGTATCTGGAAGTGGGTATTTCGAGCGCTTTCAGGCCTAAGGTGAGAAAGGAAATGTCTTCAAATAAGAACTAGACAGAAGCATTCTCAGAAACTTATTTGTGATGTGTGTCCTCAACTAACAGAGATGAACCTTTGTTTTGATACAGCAGTTTGGAAACACTCTTTTTGTAGAATCTACAAGAGGATATTTTGAGAGCATTGAAAATTTCGTTGGAAGCGGGTAAACCTTCATATAAAATCTAGACAGCAGCATTCTCAGAAACTTCTTTGTGATGTTTGCATTCAACTCATAGAGTTGAACATTCCCATTCATACAGCAGGTTTGAGACACTCTTTGTATAGCATGTGGAAATGGATATTTGGAGCGCTTTGAGGCCTATGGTGAAGAAGGAAATATCTTCCCAAAAAAACTAGACGAAAGCATTCTCGCAATCTTGTTTGCCATGTGTGTACTCAACTAACAGAGTTGAACCTATCTTTTGACAGAGCAGTTTTGAAACACTCTTTTTGTGGAATCTGCAAGTGGATATTTGGATAGCTTCGAGGATTTCGTTGGAAACAGGAATATCCTCATTTAAAATCTAGACGGAAGCATTCTCAGAACCTGCTTTGTGATGTTTGCATTCAACTCACAGAGCTGAACATTCCCGTTCATAGAGCAGGTTTGAAACACACTTTCTGTACTATCTGGAAGTGGACACTTCGAGCGCTTTCAGGCCTATGGTGAAAAAGGAAACATCTTCAAATAAAAACTAGACAGAAGCATTCTCAGAAACTTATTTGTGATGTGTGTCCTCAGCTCACAGAGTTCAACCTTTGTTTTGATACAGCAGTTTGGAAACACTCTTTTTGTAGAATCTACAAATGGATATTTGGAGACCTTTGAAAATTTCGTTGGAAACGGGAAAACCTTCATATAAAATCTAGACAGAAGCATTCTCAGAATCTTCTTTGTGATGTTTGCATTCAACTCATAGAGTTGAACATTCCCTTTCATACAGCACGTTTGAAACACACTTTGTGGAGTATGTGGAAATGGACATTTCGAGCACTCTTAGGCCTAAGGTGAAAAGGGAAATATCTTCAAATAAAAACTAGTCAGCAGCATTCTCAGAAACCTCTTTGTGATGTGTGTACTCAACTAACAGAGTTGAACCTTTCCTTTTCACAGAGCAGTTTGGAAACACTCTTTTTGTGGCATTTGCAAGTGGATATTTGGATAGCTTTGAGGATTTCGTTGGAAACGGGAATATTTTCATATAAAATCTAGACAGAAGCATTCTCAGAATCTTCTTTGTGATGTATGCCCTCAATTCACAGAGTTGAACCTTTGTTTGGATACAGCATTTTGGAAACATTCCTTTTGTAGAATCTGCAAGTTGATATTTGGATAGCTTTGAGGATTTGGTTGGAAACGGGAATATCTACATATAAAATCTAGACAGAAGCATTCTCAGAAACCTCTTTGTAATGTTTGCATTCAACTCATAGGTTTCAACATTCCCTATCATAGAGCAGGTTTGAAACACTCTTTTTGTAGTATGTGGAAGTGGACATTTGGAGCGCTTTGAGGCCTACGGTGAAAAAGGAAATATGCTTCCCATAAAAACTAGACAGAAGCATTCTCAGAAACTTGTTTGTGACGTGTGTATTCAACTAACAGAGTTGAACCTTTCTTTTTACAGAGCAGCTTTGAAACCCTGTTTCTGTGGAATCTGCAATTGGAAATTTCGATAGTTGCTGAGGATTTCGTTGGAAACGGGATTACAAATAGAAAGTAGACAGCAAGCATTCTCAGAAACTGCTTTGTGATGTTTGCATTCAAGTCACCTAGTTGAACATTCCCTTTCATAGAGCAGGTTTGAATCACTGTTTCTGTCGTATCTGGAAGTGGATATTTCGAGCGTTTTCAGGCCTAAGGTGAGAAAGGAAATGTCTTCAAATAAGAACTAGACAGAAGCATTCTCAGAAACTTATTTGTGATGTGTGTCCTCAACTAACAGAGTTGAACCTTTCTTTTGACACAGCAGTTTGGAAACACTCTTTTTGTAGAATCTACAAGTGGATATTTTGAGAGCATTGAAAATTTCGTTGGAAAGGGGAAAACCTTCATATAAAATCTAGACAGAAGCATTCTCAGAAACTTCTTTGTAATGTTTGCATTCAACTCATAGAGTTGAACATTCCCTTTCATACAGCAGGTTTGAAACACTCTTTTTGTAGTATGTGGAAGTGGACATTTGGAGCGCTTTGAGGCCTACGGTGAAAAAGGAAATATCTTCCCATAAAAACTAGACAGAAGCATTCTCTGAAACTTGTTTGTGACGTGTGTATTCAACTAACAGAGTTGAACCTTTCTTTTTACAGAGCAGCTTTGAAACCCTGTTTCTGTGGAATCTGCAATTGGAAATTTCGATAGTTCTGAGGATTTCGTTGGAAACGGGATTACAAATAGAAAGTAGACAGCAGCATTCTCAGAAACTGCTTTGTGATGTTTGCATTCAAGTCACCTAGTTGAACATTCCCTTTCATAGAGCAGGTTTGAATCACTGTTTCTGTAGTATCTGGAAGTGGGTATTTCGAGCGCTTTCAGGCCTAAGGTGAGAAAGGAAATGTCTTCAAATAAGAACTAGACAGAAGCATTCTCAGAAACTTATTTGTGATGTGTGTCCTCAACTAACAGAGATGAACCTTTGTTTTGATACAGCAGTTTGGAAACACTCTTTTTGTATAATCTACAAGAGGATATGTTGAGAGCATTGAAAATTTCGTTGGAAGCGGGAAAACCTTCATATAAAATCTAGACAGCAGCATTCTCAGAAACTTCTTTGTGATGTTTGCATTCAACTCATAGAGTTGAACATTCCCATTCATACAGCAGGTTTGAGACACTCTTTGTATAGCATGTGGAAATGGATATTTGGAGCGCTTTGAGGCCTATGGTGAAGAAGGAAATATCTTCCCCAAAAAACTAGACGAAAGCATTCTCGCAATCTTGTTTGCCATGTGTGTACTCAACTAACAGAGTTGAACCTATCTTTTGACAGAGCAGTTTTGAAACACTCTTTTTGTGGAATCTGCAAGTGGATATTTGGATAGCTTCGAGGATTTCGTTGGAAACGGGAATATCCTCATTTAAAATCTAGACGGAAGCATTCTCAGAACCTGCTGTGTGATGTTTGCATTCAACTCACAGAGCTGAACATTCCCGTTCATAGAGCAGGTTTGAAACACTCTTTCTGTACTATCTGGAAGTGGACATTTCGAGCGCTTTCAGGCCTATGGTGAAAAAGGAAACATCTTCAAATAAAAACTAGACAGAAGCATTCTCAGAAACTTATTTGTGATGTGTGTCCTCAACTCACAGAGTTCAACCTTTGTTTTGATACAGCAGTTTGGAAACACTCTTTTTGTAGAATCTACAAATGGATATTTGGAGACCTTTGAAAATTTCGTTGGACACGGGAATATCTTCATATAAAATCTAGACAAAAGCATTCTCAGAATCTTCTTTGTGATGTTTGCATTCAACTCATAGAGTTGAACATTCCCTTTCACACAGCACGTTTGAAACACACTTTGTGGAGTATGTGGAAATGGACATTTCGAGCACTCTTAGGCCTAAGGTGAAAAGGGAAATATCTTCAAATAAAAACTAGTCAGCAGCATTCTCAGAAACCTCTTTGTGATGTGTGTACTCAACTAACAGAGTTGAACCTTCCTTTTCACAGAGCAGTTTGGAAACACTCTTTTTGTGGCATTTGCAAGTGGATATTTGGATAGCTTTGAGGATTTCGTTGGAAACGGGAATATTTTCATATAAAATCTAGACAGAAGCATTCTCAGAATCTTCTTTGTGATGTATGCCCTCAATTCACAGAGTTGAACCTTTGTTTGGATACAGCATTTTGGAAACATTCCTTTTGCAGAATCTGCAAGCTGATATTTGGATAGCTTTGAGGATTTCGTTGGAAACGGGAATATCTACATATAAAATCTAGACAGAAGCATTCTCAGAAACCTCTTTGTAATGCTTGCATTCAACTCATAGGTTTCAACATTCCCTATCATAGAGCAGGTTTGAAACACTCTTTTTGTAGTATGTGGAAGTGGACATTTGGAGCGCTTTGAGGCCTACGGTGAATAAAGGAAATATCTTCCCATAAAAACTAGACAGAAGCATTCTCAGAAACTTGTTTGTGACGTGTGTATTCAACTAACAGAGTTGAACCTTTCTTTTTACAGAGCAGCTTTGAAACACGCTTTTTGTGGAATCTGCAATTGGAAATTTTGATAGTTCTGAGGATTTCGTTGGAAACGGGATTACAAATAGAAAGTAGACAGCAGCATTCTCAGAAACTTATTTGTGATGTGTGTCCTCAACTAACGGAGTTGAACCTTTCTTTTGACACAGCAGTTTGGAAACACTCTTTTTGTAGAATCTACAAGTGGATATTTTGAGAGCATTGAAAATTTCGTTGGAAACGGGAAAACCTTCATATAAAATCTAGACAGAAGCATTCTCAGAAACTTCTTTGTAATGTTTGCATTCAACTCATAGAGTTGAACATTCCCTTTCATACAGCAGGTTTGAAACACTCTTTTTGTAGTATGTGGAAGTGGACATTTGGAGCGCTTTGAGGCCTACGGTGAAAAAGGAAATATCTTCCCATAAAAACTAGACAGAAGCATTCTCAGAAACTTGTTTGTGACGTGTGTATTCAACTAACAGAGTTGAACCTTTCTTTTTACAGAGCAGCTTTGAAACACGCTTTTTGTGGAATCTGCAATTGGAAATTTCGATAGTTCTGAGGATTTCGTTGGAAACGGGATTACAAATAGAAAGTAGACAGCAGCATTCTCAGAAACTGCTTTGTGATGTTTGCATTCAAGTAACCTAGTTGAACATTCCCTTTCATAGAGCAGGTTTGAATCACTGTTTCTGTCGTATCTGGAAGTGGATATTTCGAGCGTTTTCAGGCCTAAGGTGAGAAAGGAAATGTCTTCAAATAAGAACTAGACAGAAGCATTCTCAGAAACTTATTTGTGATGTGTGTCCTCAACTAACAGAGATGAACCTTTGTTTTGATACAGCAGTTTGGAAACACTCTTTTTGTAGAATCTACAAGAGGATATTTTGAGAGCATTGAAAATTTCGTTGGAAGCGGGAAAACCTTCATATAAAATCTAGACAGCAGCATTCTCAGAAACTTCTTTGTGATGTTTGCATTCAACTCATAGAGTTGAACATTCCCATTCATACAGCAGGTTTGAGACACTCTTTGTATAGCATGTGGAAATGGATATTTGGAGCACTTTGAGGCCTATGGTGAAGAAGGAAATATCTTCCCAAAAAAACTAGACGAAAGCATTCTCGGAATCTTGTTTGCCATGTGTGTACTCAACTAACAGAGTTGAACCTATCTTTTGACAGAGCAGTTTTGAAACACTCTTTTTGTGGAATCTGCAAGTGGATATTTGGATAGCTTCGAGGATTTCGTTGGAAACGGGAATATCCTCATTTAAAATCTAGACGGAAGCATTCTCAGAACCTGCTTTGTGATGTTTGCATTCAACTCACAGAGCTGAACATTCCCGTTCATAGAGCAGGTTTGAAACACTCTTTCTGTACTATCTGGAAGTGGACATTTCGAGCGCTTTCAGGCCTATGGTGAAAAAGGAAACATCTTCAAATAAAAACTAGACAGAAGCATTCTCAGAAACTTATTTGTGATGTGTGTCCTCAACTCACAGAGTTCAACCTTTGTTTTGATACAGCAGTTTGGAAACACTCTTTTTGTAGAATCTACAAATGGATATTTGGAGACCTTTGAAAATTTCGTTGGACACGGGAATATCTTCATATAAAATCTAGACAAAAGCATTCTCAGAATCTTCTTTGTGATGTTTGCATTCAACTCATAGAGTTGAACATTCCCTTTCATACAGCACGTTTGAAACACACTTTGTGGAGTATGTGGAAATGGACATTTCGAGCACTCTTAGGCCTAAGGTGAAAAGGGAAATATCTTCAAATAAAAACTAGTCAGCAGCATTCTCAGAAACCTCTTTGTGATGTGTGTACTCAACTAACAGAGTTGAACCTTCCTTTTCACAGAGCAGTTTGGAAACACTCTTTTTGTGGCATTTGCAAGTGGATATTTGGATAGCTTTGAGGATTTCGTTGGAAACGGGAATATTTTCATATAAAATCTAGACAGAAGCATTCTCAGAATCTTCTTTGTGATGTATGCCCTCAATTCACAGAGTTGAACCTTTGTTTGGATACAGCATTTTGGAAACATTCCTTTTGTAGAATCTGCAAGTTGATATTTGGATAGCTTTGAGGATTTCGTTGGAAACGGGAATATCTACATATAAAATCTAGACAGAAGCATTCTCAGAAACCTCTTTGTAATGCTTGCATTCAACTCATAGGTTTCAACATTCCCTATCATAGAGCAGGTTTGAAACACTCTTTTTGTAGTATGTGGAAGTGGACATTTGGAGCGCTTTGAGGCCTACCGTGAAAAAGGAAATATCTTCCCATAAAAACTAGACAGAAGCATTCTCAGAAATTTGTTTGTGACGTGTGTATTCAACTAACAGAGTTGAACCTTTCTTTTTACAGAGCAGCTTTGAAACCCTGTTTCTGTGGAATCTGCAATTGGAAATTTCGATAGTTCTGAGGATTTCGTTGGAAACGGGATTACAAATAGAAAGTAGACAGCAGCATTCTCAGAAACTGCTTTGTGATGTTTGCATTCAAGTCACCTAGTTGAACATTCCCTTTCATAGAGCAGGTTTGAATCACTGTTTCTGTAGTATCTGGAAGTGGGTATTTCAAGCGCTTTCAGGCCTAAGGTGAGAAAGGAAATGTCTTCAAATAAGAACTAGACAGAAGCATTCTCAGAAACTTATTTGTGATGTGTGTCCTCAACTAACAGAGATGAACCTTTGTTTTGATACAGCAGTTTGGAAACACTCTTTTTGTAGAATCTACAAGAGGATATTTTGAGAGCATTGAAAATTTCGTTGGAAGCGGGAAAACCTTCATATAAAATCTAGACAGCAGCATTCTCAGAAACTTCTTTGTGATGTTTGCATTCAACTCATAGAGTTGAACATTCCCATTCATACAGCAGGTTTGAGACACTCTTTGTATAGCATGTGGAAATGGATATTTGGAGCGCTTTGAGGCCTATGGTGAAGAAGGAAATATCTTCCCACAAAAACTAGACGAAAGCATTCTCGGAATCTTGTTTGCCATGTGTGTACTCAACTAACAGAGTTGAACCTATCTTTTGACAGAGCAGTTTTGAAACACTCTTTTTGTGGAATCTGCAAGTGGATATTTGGATAGCTTCGAGGATTTCGTTGGAAACGGGAATATCCTCATTTAAAATCTAGACGGAAGCATTCTCAGAACCTGCTTTGTGATGTTTGCATTCAACTCACAGAGCTGAACATTCCCGTTCATAGAGCAGGTTTGAAACACTCTTTCTGTACTATCTGGAAGTGGACATTTCGAGCGCTTTCAGGCCTATGGTGAAAAAGGAAACATCTTCAAATAAAAACTAGACAGAAGCATTCTCAGAAACTTATTTGTGATGTGTGTCCTCAACTCACAGAGTTCAACCTTTGTTTTGATACAGCAGTTTGGAAACACTCTTTTTGTAGAATCTACAAATGGATATTTGGAGACCTTTGAAAATTTCGTTGGACACGGGAATATCTTCATATAAAATCTAGACAAAAGCATTCTCAGAGTCTTCTTTGTGATGTTTGCATTCAACTCATAGAGTTGAACATTCCCTTTCATACAGCACGTTTGAAACACACTTTGTGGAGTATGTGGAAATGGACATTTCGAGCACTCTTAGGCCTAAGGTGAAAAGGGAAATATCTTCAAATAAAAACTAGTCAGCAGCATTCTCAGAAACCTCTTTGTGATGTGTGTACTCAACTAACAGAGTTGAACCTTCCTTTTCACAGAGCAGTTTGGAAACACTCTTTTTGTGGCATTTGCAAGTGGATATTTGGATAGCTTTGAGGATTTCGTTGGAAACGGGAATATTTTCATATAAAATCTAGACAGAAGCATTCTCAGAATCTTCTTTGTGATGTATGCCCTCAATTCACAGAGTTGAACCTTTGTTTGGATACAGCATTTTGGAAACATTCCTTTTGTAGAATCTGCAAGTTGATATTTGGATAGCTTTGAGGATTTTCGTTGGAAACGGGAATATCTACATATAAAATCTAGACAGAAGCATTCTCAGAAACCTCTTTGTAATGCTTGCATTCAACTCATAGGTTTCAACATTCCCTATCATAGAGCAGGTTTGAAACACTCTTTTTGTAGTATGTGGAAGTGGACATTTGGAGCGCTTTGAGGCCTACCGTGAAAAAGGAAATATCTTCCCATAAAAACTAGACAGAAGCATTCTCAGAAACTTGTTTGTGACGTGTGTATTCAACTAACAGAGTTGAACCTTTCTTTTTACAGAGCAGCTTTGAAACCCTGTTTCTGTGGAATCTGCAATTGGAAATTTCGATAGTTCTGAGGATTTCGTTGGAAACGGGATTACAAATAGAAAGTAGACAGCAGCATTCTCAGAAACTGCTTTGTGATGTTTGCATTCAAGTCACCTAGTTGAACATTCCCTTTCATAGAGCAGGTTTGAATCACTGTTTCTGTAGTATCTGGAAGTGTGTATTTCGAGCGCTTTCAGGCCTAAGGTGAGAAAGGAAATGTCTTCAAATAAGAACTAGACAGAAGCATTCTCAGAAACTTATTTGTGATGTGTGTCCTCAACTAACAGAGATGAACCTTTGTTTTGATACAGCAGTTTGGAAACACTCTTTTTGTAGAATCTACAAGAGGATATTTTGAGAGCATTGAAAATTTCGTTGGAAGCGGGAAAACCTTCATATAAAATCTAGACAGCAGCATTCTCAGAAACTTCTTTGTGATGTTTGCATTCAACTCATAGAGTTGAACATTCCCATTCATACAGCAGGTTTGAGACACTCTTTGTATAGCATGTGGAAATGGATATTTGGAGCGCTTTGAGGCCTATGGTGAAGAAGGAAATATCTTCCCAAAAAAACTAGACGAAAGCATTCTCGCAATCTTGTTTGCCATGTGTGTACTCAACTAACAGAGTTGAACCTATCTTTTGACAGAGCAGTTTTGAAGCACTCTTTTTGTGGAATCTGCAAGTGGATATTTGGATAGCTTCGAGGATTTCGTTGGAAACGGGAATATCCTCATTTAAAATCTAGACGGAAGCATTCTCAGAACCTGCTTTGTGATGTTTGCATTCAACTCACAGAGCTGAACATTCCCGTTCATAGAGCAGGTTTGAAACACTCTTTCTGTACTATCTGGAAGTGGACATTTCGAGCGCTTTCAGGCCTATGGTGAAAAAGGAAACATCTTCAAATAAAAACTAGACAGAAGCATTCTCAGAAACTTATTTGTGATGTGTGTCCTCAACTCACAGAGTTCAACCTTTGTTTTGATACAGCAGTTTGGAAACACTCTTTTTGTAGAATCTACAAATGGATATTTGGAGACCTTTGAAAATTTCGTTGGACACGGGAATATCTTCATATAAAATCTAGACAAAAGCATTCTCAGAATCTTCTTTGTGATGTTTGCATTCAACTCATAGAGTTGAACATTCCCTTTCATACAGCACGTTTGAAACACACTTTGTGGAGTATGTGGAAATGGACATTTCGAGCACTCTTAGGCCTAAGGTGAAAAGGGAAATATCTTCAAATAAAAACTAGTCAGCAGCATTCTCAGAAACCTCTTTGTGATGTGTGTACTCAACTAACAGAGTTGAACCTTCCTTTTCACAGAGCAGTTTGGAAACACTCTTTTTGTGGCATTTGCAAGTGGATATTTGGATAGCTTTGAGGATTTCGTTGGAAACGGGAATATTTTCATATAAAATCTAGACAGAAGCATTCTCAAAATCTTCTTTGTGATGTATGCCCTCAATTCACAGAGTTGAACCTTTGTTTGGATACAGCATTTTGGAAACATTCCTTTTGTAGAATCTGCAAGTTGATATTTGGATAGCTTTGAGGATTTCGTTGGAAACGGGAATATCTACATATAAAATCTAGACAGAAGCATTCTCAGAAACCTCTTTGTAATGCTTGCATTCAACTCATAGGTTTCAACATTCCCTATCATAGAGCAGGTTTGAAACACTCTTTTTGTAGTATGTGGAAGTGGACATTTGGAGCGCTTTGAGGCCTACGGTGAAAAAGGAAATATCTTCCCATAAAAACTAGACAGAAGCATTCTCAGAAACTTGTTTGTGACGTGTGTATTCAACTAACAGAGTTGAACCTTTCTTTTTACAGAGCAGCTTTGAAACACGCTTTTTGTGGAATCTGCAATTGGAAATTTCGATAGTTCTGAGGATTTCGTTGGAAACGGGATTACAAATAGAAAGTAGACAGCAGCATTCTCAGAAACTGCTTTGTGATGTTTGCATTCAAGTCACCTAGTTGAACATTCCCTTTCATAGAGCAGGTTTGAATCACTGTTTCTGTCGTATCTGGAAGTGGATATTTCGAGCGTTTTCAGGCCTAAGGTGAGAAAGGAAATGTCTTCAAATAAGAACTAGACAGAAGCATTCTCAGAAACTTATTTGTGATGTGTGTCCTCAACTAACAGAGATGAACCTTTGTTTTGATACAGCAGTTTGGAAACACTCTTTTTGTAGAATCTACAAGAGGATATTTTGAGAGCATTGAAAATTTCGTTGGAAGCGGGAAAACCTTCATATAAAATCTAGACAGCAGCATTCTCAGAAACTTCTTTGTGATGCTTGCATTCAACTCATAGAGTTGAACATTCCCATTCATACAGCAGGTTTGAGACACTCTTTGTATAGCATGTGGAAATGGATATTTGGAGCGCTTTGAGGCCTATGGTGAAGAAGGAAATATCTTCCCAAAAAAACTAGACGAAAGCATTCTCGCAATCTTGTTTGCCATGTGTGTACTCAACTAACAGAGTTGAACCTATCTTTTGACAGAGCAGTTTTGAAACACTCTTTTTGTGGAATCTGCAAGTGGATATTTGGATAGCTTCGAGGATTTCGTTGGAAACGGGAATATCCTCATTTAAAATCTAGACGGAAGCATTCTCGGAACCTGCTTTGTGATGTTTGCATTCAACTCACAGAGCTGAACATTCCCGTTCATAGAGCAGGTTTGAAACACTCTTTCTGTACTATCTGGAAGTGGACATTTCGAGCGCTTTCAGGCCTATGGTGAAAAAGGAAACATCTTCAAATAAAAACTAGACAGAAGCATTCTCAGAAACTTATTTGTGATGTGTGTCCTCAACTCACAGAGTTCAACCTTTGTTTTGATACAGCAGTTTGGAAACACTCTTTTTGTAGAATCTACAAATGGATATTTGGAGACCTTTGAAAATTTCGTTGGACACGGGAATATCTTCATATAAAATCTAGACAAAAGCATTCTCAGAATCTTCTTTGTGATGTTTGCATTCAACTCATAGAGTTGAACATTCCCTTTCATACAGCACGTTTGAAACACACTTTGTGGAGTATGTGGAAATGGACATTTCGAGCACTCTTAGGCCTAAGGTGAAAAGGGAAATATCTTCAAATAAAAACTAGTCAGCAGCATTCTCAGAAACCTCTTTGTGATGTGTGTACTCAACTAACAGAGTTGAACCTTCCTTTTCACAGAGCAGTTTGGAAACACTCTTTTTGTGGCATTTGCAAGTGGATATTTGGATAGCTTTGAGGATTTCGTTGGAAACGGGAATATTTTCATATAAAATCTAGACAGAAGCATTCTCAGAATCTTCTTTGTGATGTATGCCCTCAATTCACAGAGTTGAACCTTTGTTTGGATACAGCATTTTGGAAACATTCCTTTTGTAGAATCTGCAAGTTGATATTTGGATAGCTTTGAGGATTTCGTTGGAAACGGGAATATCTACATATAAAATCTAGACAGAAGCATTCTCAGAAACCTCTTTGTAATGCTTGCATTCAACTCATAGGTTTCAACATTCCCTATCATAGAGCAGGTTTGAAACACTCTTTTTGTAGTATGTGGAAGTGGACATTTGGAGCGCTTTGAGGCCTACGGTGAAAAAGGAAATATCTTCCCATAAAAACTAGACAGAAGCATTCTCAGAAACTTGTTTGTGACGTGTGTATTCAACTAACAGAGTTGAACCTTTCTTTTTACAGAGCAGCTTTGAAACACGCTTTTTGTGGAATCTGCATTTGGAAATTTCGATAGTTCTGAGGATTTCGTTGGAAACGGGATTACAAATAGAAAGTAGACAGCAGCATTCTCAGAAACTTATTTGTGATGTGTGTCCTCAACTAACAGAGTTGAACCTTTCTTTTGACACAGCAGTTTGGAAACACTCTTTTTGTAGAATATACAAGAGGATATTTTCAGAGCATTGAAAATTTCGTTGGAAGCGGGAAAACCTTCATATAAAATCTAGACAGCAGCATTCTCAGAAACTTCTCTGTAATGTTTGCATTCAACTCATAGAGTTGAACATTCCCTTTCATACAGCAGGTTTGAAACACTCTTTTTGTAGTATGTGGAAGTGGACATTTGGAGCGCTTTGAGGCCTACGGTGAAAAAGGAAATATCTTCCCATAAAAACTAGACAGAAGCATTCTCAGAAACTTGTTTGTGACGTGTGTATTCAACTAACAGAGTTGAACCTTTCTTTTTACAGAGCAGCTTTGAAACCCTGTTTCTGTGGAATCTGCAATTGGAAATTTCGATAGTTCTGAGGATTTCGTTGGAAACGGGATTACAAATAGAAAGTAGACAGCAGCATTCTCAGAAACTGCTTTGTGATGTTTGCATTCAAGTCACATAGTTGAACATTCCCTTTCATAGAGCAGGTTTGAATCACTGTTTCTGTAGTATCTGGAAGTGGGTATTTCGAGCGCTTTCAGGCCTAAGGTGAGAAAGGAAATGTCTTCAAATAAGAACTAGACAGAAGCATTCTCAGAAACTTATTTGTGATGTGTGTCCTCAACTAACAGAGATGAACCTTTGTTTTGATACAGCAGTTTGGAAACACTCTTTTTGTAGAATCTACAAGAGGATATTTTGAGAGCATTGAAAATTTCGTTGGAAGCGGGAAAACCTTCATATAAAATCTAGACAGCAGCATTCTCAGAAACTTCTTTGTGATGTTTGCATTCAACTCATAGAGTTGAACATTCCCATTCATAGAGCAGGTTTGAGACACTCTTTGTATAGCATGTGGAAATGGATATTTGGAGCGCTTTGAGGCCTATGGTGAAGAAGGAAATATCTTCCCAAAAAAACTAGACGAAAGCATTCTCGGAATCTTGTTTGCCATGTGTGTACTCAACTAACAGAGTTGAACCTATCTTTTGACAGAGCAGTTTTGAAACACTCTTTTTGTGGAATCTGCAAGTGGATATTTGGATAGCTTCGAGGATTTCGTTGGAAACGGGAATATCCTCATTTAAAATCTAGACGGAAGCATTCTCAGAACCTGCTGTGTGATGTTTGCATTCAACTCACAGAGCTGAACATTCCCGTTCATAGAGCAGGTTTGAAACACTCTTTCTGTACTATCTGGAAGTGGACATTTCGAGCGCTTTCAGGCCTATGGTGAAAAAGGAAACATCTTCAAATAAAAACTAGACAGAAGCATTCTCAGAAACTTATTTGTGATGTGTGTCCTCAACTCACAGAGTTCAACCTTTGTTTTGATACAGCAGTTTGGAAACACTCTTTTTGTAGAATCTACAAATGGATATTTGGAGACCTTTGAAAATTTCGTTGGACACGGGAATATCTTCATATAAAATCTAGACAAAAGCATTCTCAGAGTCTTCTTTGTGATGTTTGCATTCAACTCATAGAGTTGAACATTCCCTTTCATACAGCACGTTTGAAACACACTTTGTGGAGTATGTGGAAATGGACATTTCGAGCACTCTTAGGCCTAAGGTGAAAAGGGAAATATCTTCAAATAAAAACTAGTCAGCAGCATTCTCAGAAACCTCTTTGTGATGTGTGTACTCAACTAACAGAGTTGAACCTTCCTTTTCACAGAGCAGTTTGGAAACACTCTTTTTGTGGCAGTTGCAAGTGGATATTTGGATAGCTTTGAGGATTTCGTTGGAAACGGGAATATTTTCATATAAAATCTAGACAGAAGCATTCTCAGAATCTTCTTTGTGATGTATGCCCTCAATTCACAGAGTTGAACCTTTGTTTGGATACAGCATTTTGGAAACATTCCTTTTGCAGAATCTGCAAGTTGATATTTGGATAGCTTTGAGGATTTCGTTGGAAACGGGAATATCTACATATAAAATCTAGACAGAAGCATTCTCAGAAACCTCTTTGTAATGCTTGCATTCAACTCATAGGTTTCAACATTCCCTATCATAGAGCAGGTTTGAAACACTCTTTTTGTAGTATGTGGAAGTGGACATTTGGAGCGCTTTGAGGCCTACGGTGAAAAAGGAAATATCTTCCCATAAAAACTAGACAGAAGCATTCTCAGAAACTTGTTTGTGACGTGTGTATTCAACTAACAGAGTTGAACCTTTCTTTTTACAGAGCAGCTTTGAAACACGCTTTTTGTGGAATCTGCAATTGGAAATTTTGATAGTTCTGAGGATTTCGTTGGAAACGGGATTACAAATAGAAAGTAGACAGCAGCATTCTCAGAAACTTATTTGTGATGTGTGTCCTCAACTAACAGAGTTGAACCTTTCTTTTGACACAGCAGTTTGGAAACACTCTTTTTGTAGAATCTACAAGTGGATATTTTGAGAGCATTGAAAATTTCGTTGGAAACGGGAAAACCTTCATATAAAATCTAGACAGAAGCATTCTCAGAAACTTCTTTGTAATGTTTGCATTCAACTCATAGAGTTGAACATTCCCTTTCATACAGCAGGTTTGAAACACTCTTTTTGTAGTATGTGGAAGTGGACATTTGGAGCGCTTTGAGGTCTACGGTGAAAAAGGAAATATCTTCCCATAAAAACTAGACAGAAGCATTCTCAGAAACTTGTTTGTGACGTGTGTATTCAACTAACAGAGTTGAACCTTTCTTTTTACAGAGCAGCTTTGAAACCCTGTTTCTGTGGAATCTGCAATTGGAAATTTCGATAGTTCTGAGGATTTCGTTGGAAACGGGATTACAAATACAAAGTAGACAGCAGCATTCTCAGAAACTGCTTTGTGATGTTTGCATTCAAGTCACCTAGTTGAACATTCCCTTTCATAGAGCAGGTTTGAATCACTGTTTCTGTCGTATCTGGAAGTGGATATTTCGAGCGTTTTCAGGCCTAAGGTGAGAAAGGAAATGTCTTCAAATAAGAACTAGACAGAAGCATTCTCAGAAACTTATTTGTGATGTGTGTCCTCAACTAACAGAGTTGAACCTTTCTTTTGACACAGCAGTTTGGAAACACTCTTTTTGTAGAATCTACAAGTCGATATTTTGAGAGCATTGAAAATTTCGTTGGAAACGGGAAAATCTTCATATAAAATCTAGACAGAAGCATTCTCAGAAACTTCTTTGTAATGTTTGCATTCAACTCATAGAGTTGAACATTCCCTTTCATACAGCAGGTTTGAAACACTCTTTTTGTAGTATGTGGAAGTGGACATTTGGAGCGCTTTGAGGCCTACGGTGAAAAAGGAAATATGCTTCCCATAAAAACTAGACAGAAGCATTCTCAGAAACTTGTTTGTGACGTGTGTATTCAACTAACAGAGTTGAACCTTTCTTTTTACAGAGCAGCTTTGAAACCCTGTTTCTGTGGAATCTGCAATTGGAAATTTCGATAGTTCTGAGGATTTCGTTGGAAACGGGATTACAAATAGAAAGTAGACAGCAGCATTCTCAGAAACTGCTTTGTGATGTTTGCGTTCAAGTCACCTAGTTGAACATTCCCTTTCATAGAGCAGGTTTGAATCACTGTTTCTGTAGTATCTGGAAGTGGGTATTTCGAGCGCTTTCAGGCCTAAGGTGAGAAAGGAAATGTCTTCAAATAAGAACTAGACAGAAGCATTCTCAGAAACTTATTTGTGATGTGTGTCCTCAACTAACAGAGATGAACCTTTGTTTTGATACAGCAGTTTGGAAACACTCTTTTTGTAGAATCTACAAGAGGATATTTTGAGAGCATTGAAAATTTCGTTGGAAGCGGGAAAACCTTCATATAAAATCTAGACAGCAGCATTCTCAGAAACTTCTTTGTGATGTTTGCATTCAACTCATAGAGTTGAACATTCCCATTCATACAGCAGGTTTGAGACACTCTTTGTATAGCATGTGGAAATGGATATTTGGAGCGCTTTGAGGCCTATGGTGAAGAAGGAAATATCTTCCCAAAAAAACTAGACGAAAGCATTCTCGGAATCTTGTTTGCCATGTGTGTACTCAACTAACAGAGTTGAACCTATCTTTTGACAGAGCAGTTTTGAAACACTCTTTTTGTGGAATCTGCAAGTGGATATTTGGATAGCTTCGAGGATTTCGTTGGAAACGGGAATATCCTCATTTAAAATCTAGACGGAAGCATTCTCAGAACCTGCTTTGTGATGTTTGCATTCAACTCACAGAGCTGAACATTCCCGTTCATAGAGCAGGTTTGAAACACTCTTTCTGTACTATCTGGAAGTGGACATTTCGAGCGCTTTCAGGCCTATGGTGAAAAAGGAAACATCTTCAAATAAAAACTAGACAGAAGCATTCTCAGAAACTTATTTGTGATGTGTGTCCTCAACTCACAGAGTTCACCTTTGTTTTGATACAGCAGTTTGGAAACACTCTTTTTGTAGAATCTACAAATGGATATTTGGAGACCTTTGAAAATTTCGTTGGACACGGGAATATCTTCATATAAAATCTAGACAAAAGCATTCTCAGAATCTTCTTTGTGATGTTTGCATTCAACTCATAGAGTTGAACATTCCCTTTCATACAGCACGTTTGAAACACACTTTGTGGAGTATGTGGAAATGGACATTTCGAGCACTCTTAGGCCTAAGGTGAAAAGGGAAATATCTTCAAATAAAAACTAGTCAGCAGCATTCTCAGAAACCTCTTTGTGATGTGTGTACTCAACTAACAGAGTTGAACCTTCCTTTTCACAGAGCAGTTTGGAAACACTCTTTTTGTGGCATTTGCAAGTGGATATTTGGATAGCTTTGAGGATTTCGTTGGAAACGGGAATATTTTCATATAAAATCTAGACAGAAGCATTCTCAGAATCTTCTTTGTGATGTATGCCCTCAATTCACAGAGTTGAACCTTTGTTTGGATACAGCATTTTGGAAACATTCCTTTTGTAGAATCTGCAAGTTGATATTTGGATAGCTTTGAGGATTTCGTTGGAAACGGGAATATCTACATATAAAATCTAGACAGAAGCATTCTCAGAAACCTCTTTGTAATGCTTGCATTCAACTCATAGGTTTCAACATTCCCTATCATAGAGCAGGTTTGAAACACTCTTTTTGTAGTATGTGGAAGTGGACATTTGGAGCGCTTTGAGGCCTACGGTGAAAAAGGAAATATCTTCCCATAAAAACTAGACAGAAGCATTCTCAGAAACTTGTTTGTGACGTGTGTATTCAACAAACAGAGTTGAACCTTTCTTTTTACAGAGCAGCTTTGAAACACGCTTTTTGTGGAATCTGCAATTGGAAATTTCGATAGTTCTGAGGATTTCGTTGGAAACGGGATTACAAATAGAAAGTAGACAGCAGCATTCTCAGAAACTTATTTGTGATGTGTGTCCTCAACTAACAGAGTTGAACCTTTCTTTTGACACAGCAGTTTGGAAACACTCTTTTTGTAGAATCTACAAGTGGATATTTTGAGAGCATTGAAAATTTCGTTGGAAACGGGAAAACCTTCATATAAAATCTAGACAGAAGCATTCTCAGAAACTTCTTTGTAATGTTTGCATTCAACCTCATAGAGTTGAACATTCCCTTTCATACAGCAGGTTTGAAACACCCTTTTTGTAGTATGTGGAAGTGGACATTTGGAGCGCTTTGAGGCCTACGGTGAAAAAGGAAATATCTTCCCATAAAAACTAGACAGAAGCATTCTCAGAAACTTGTTTGTGACGTGTGTATTCAACTAACAGAGTTGAACCTTTCTTTTTACAGAGCAGCTTTGAAACCCTGTTTCTGTGGAATCTGCAATTGGAAATTTCGATAGTTCTGAGGATTTCGTTGCAAACGGGATTACAAATAGAAAGTAGACAGCAGCATTCTCAGAAACTGCTTTGTGATGTTTGCATTCAAGTCACATAGTTGAACATTCCCTTTCATAGAGCAGGTTTGAATCCCTGTTTCTGTCGTATCTGGAAGTGGGTATTTCGAGCGTTTTCAGGCCTAAGGTGAGAAAGGAAATGTCTTCAAATAAGAACTAGACAGAAGCATTCTCAGAAACTTATTTGTGATGTGTGTCCTCAACTAACAGAGATGAACCTTTGTTTTGATACAGCAGTTTGGAAACACTCTTTTTGTAGAATCTACAAGAGGATATTTTGAGAGCATTGAAAATTTCGTTGGAAGCGGGAAAACCTTCATATAAAATCTAGACAGCAGCATTCTCAGAAACTTCTTTGTGATGTTTGCATTCAACTCATAGAGTTGAACATTCCCATTCATACAGCAGGTTTGAGACACTCTTTGTATAGCATGTGGAAATGGATATTTGGAGCGCTTTGAGGCCTATGGTGAAGAAGGAAATATCTTCCCACAAAAACTAGACGAAAGCATTCTCGCAATCTTGTTTGCCATGTGTGTACTCAACTAACAGAGTTGAACCTATCTTTTGACAGAGCAGTTTTGAAACACTCTTTTTGTGGAATCTGCAAGTGGATATTTGGATAGCTTCGAGGATTTCGTTGGAAACGGGAATATCCTCATTTAAAATCTAGACGGAAGCATTCTCAGAACCTGTTTGTGATGTTTGCATTCAACTCACAGAGCTGAACATTCCCGTTCATAGAGCAGGTTTGAAACACTCTTTCTGTACTATCTGGAAGTGGACATTTCGAGCGCTTTCAGGCCTATGGTGAAAAAGGAAACATCTTCAAATAAAAACTAGACAGAAGCATTCTCAGAAACTTATTTGTGATGTGTGTCCTCAACTCACAGAGTTCAACCTTTGTTTTGATACAGCAGTTTGGAAACACTCTTTTTGTAGAATCTACAAATGGATATTTGGAGACCTTTGAAAATTTCGTTGGACACGGGAATATCTTCATATAAAATCTAGACAAAAGCATTCTCAGAATCTTCTTTGTGATGTTTGCATTCAACTGATAGAGTTGAACATTCCCTTTCATACAGCACGTTTGAAACACACTTTGTGGAGTATGTGGAAATGGACATTTCGAGCACTCTTAGGCCTAAGGTGAAAAGGGAAATATCTTCAAATAAAAACTAGTCAGCAGCATTCTCAGAAACCTCTTTGTGATGTGTGTACTCAACTAACAGAGTTGAACCTTCCTTTTCACAGAGCAGTTTGGAAACACTCTTTTTGTGGCATTTGCAAGTGGATATTTGGATAGCTTTGAGGATTTCTTTGAAACGGGAATATTTTCATATAAAATCTAGACAGAAGCATTCTCAGAATCTTCTTTGTGATGTATGCCCTCAATTCACAGAGTTGAACCTTTGTTTGGATACAGCATTTTGGAAACATTCCTTTTGCAGAATCTGCAAGCTGATATTTGGATAGCTTTGAGGATTTCGTTGGAAACGGGAATATCTACATATAAAATCTAGACAGAAGCATTCTCAGAAACCTCTTTGTAATGCTTGCATTCAACTCATAGGTTTCAACATTCCCTATCATAGAGCAGGTTTGAAACACTCTTTTTGTAGTATGTGGAAGTGGACATTTGGAGCGCTTTGAGGCCTACGGTGAAAAAGGAAATATCTTCCCATAAAAACTAGACAGAAGCATTCTCAGAAACTTGTTTGTGACGTGTGTATTCAACTAACAGAGTTGAACCTTTCTTTTTACAGAGCAGCTTTGAAACACGCTTTTTGTGGAATCTGCAATTGGAAATTTCGATAGTTCTGAGGATTTCGTTGGAAACGGGATTACAAATAGAAAGTAGACAGCAGCATTCTCAGAAACTGCTTTGTGATGTTTGCATTCAAGTCACCTAGTTGAACATTCCCTTTCATAGAGCAGGTTTGAATCACTGTTTCTGTCGTATCTGGAAGTGGATATTTCGAGCGTTTTCAGGCCTAAGGTGAGAAAGGAAATGTCTTCAAATAAGAACTAGACAGAAGCATTCTCAGAAACTTATTTGTGATGTGTGTCCTCAACTAACAGAGTTGAACCTTTCTTTTGACACAGCAGTTTGGAAACACTCTTTTTGTAGAATCTACAAGTGGATGTTTTGAGAGCATTGAAAATTTCGTTGGAAACGGGAAAACATTCATATAAAATCTAGACAGAAGCATTCTCAGAAACTTCTTTGTAATGTTTGCATTCAACTCATAGAGTTGAACATTCCCTTTCATACAGCAGGTTTGAAACACTCTTTTTGTAGTATGTGGAAGTGGACATTTGGAGCGCTTTGAGTCCTACGGTGAAAAAGGAAATATCTTCCCATAAAAACTAGACAGAAGCAATCTCAGAAACTTGTTTGTGACGTGTGTATTCAACTAACAGAGTTGAACCTTTCTTTTTACAGAGCAGCTTTGAAACACGCTTTTTGTGGAATCTGCAATTGGAAATTTCGATAGTTCTGAGGATTTCGTTGGAAACGGGATTACAAATAGAAAGTAGACAGCAGCATTCTCAGAAACTGCTTTGTGATGTTTGCATTCAAGTCACCTAGTTGAACATTCCCTTTCATAGAGCAGGTTTGAATCACTGTTTCTGTAGTATCTGGAAGTGGGTATTTCGAGCGCTTTCAGGCCTAAGGTGAGAAAGGAAATGTCTTCAAATAAGAACTAGACAGAAGCATTCTCAGAAACTTATTTGTGATGTGTGTCCTCAACTAACAGAGATGAACCTTTGTTTTGATACAGCAGTCTGGAAACACTCTTTTTGTAGAAACTACAAGAGGATATTTTGAGAGCATTGAAAATTTCGTTGGAAGCGGGAAAACCTTCATATAAAATCTAGACAGCAGCATTCTCAGAAACTTCTTTGTGATGTTTGCATTCAACTCATAGAGTTGAACATTCCCATTCATACAGCAGGTTTGAGACACTCTTTGTATAGCATGTGGAAATGGATATTTGGAGCGCTTTGAGGCCTATGGTGAAGAAGGAAATATCTTCCCAAAAAAACTAGACGAAAGAGCATTCTCGCAATCTTGTTTGCCATGTGTGTACTCAACTAACAGAGTTGAACCTATCTTTTGACAGAGCAGTTTTGAAACACTCTTTTTGTGGAATCTGCAAGTGGATATTTGGATAGCTTCGAGGATTTCGTTGGAAACGGGAATATCCTCATTTAAAATCTAGACGGAAGCATTCTCAGAACCTGCTTTGTGATGTTTGCATTCAACTCACAGAGCTGAACATTCCCGTTCATAGAGCAGGTTTGAAACACTCTTTCTGTACTATCTGGAAGTGGACATTTCGAGCGCTTTCAGGCCTATGGTGAAAAAGGAAACATCTTCAAATAAAAACTAGACAGAAGCATTCTCAGAAACTTATTTGTGATGTGTGTCCTCAACTCACAGAGTTCAACCTTTGTTTTGATACAGCAGTTTGGAAACACTCTTTTTGTAGAATCTACAAATGGATATTTGGAGACCTTTGAAAATTTCGTTGGACACGGGAATATCTTCATATAAAATGCTAGACAAAAGCATTCTCAGAATCTTCTTTGTGATGTTTGCATTCAACTCATAGAGTTGAACATTCCCTTTCATACAGCACGTTTGAAACACACTTTGTGGAGTATGTGGAAATGGACATTTCGAGCACTCTTAGGCCTAAGGTGAAAAGGGAAATATCTTCAAATAAAAACTAGTCAGCAGCATTCTCAGAAACCTCTTTGTGATGTGTGTACTCAACTAACAGAGTTGAACCTTCCTTTTCACAGAGCAGTTTGGAAACACTCATTTTGTGGCATTTGCAAGTGGATATTTGGATAGCTTTGAGGATTTCGTTGGAAACGGGAATATTTTCATATAAAATCTAGACAGAAGCATTCTCAGAATCTTCTTTGTGATGTATGCCCTCAATTCACAGAGTTGAACCTTTGTTTGGATACAGCATTTTGGAAACATTCCTTTTGTAGAATCTGCAAGTTCATATTTGGATAGCTTTGAGGATTTCGTTGGAAACGGGAATATCTACATATAAAATCTAGACAGAAGCATTCTCAGAAACCTCTTTGTAATGCTTGCATTCAACTCATAGGTTTCAACATTCCCTATCATAGAGCAGGTTTGAAACACTCTTTTTGTAGTATGTGGAAGTGGACATTTGGAGCGCTTTGAGGCCTACGGTGAAAAAGGAAATATCTTCCCATAAAAACTAGACAGAAGCATTCTCAGAAACTTGTTTGTGACGTGTGTATTCAACTAACAGAGTTGAACCTTTCTTTTTACAGAGCAGCTTTGAAACCCTGTTTCTGTGGAATCTGCAATTGGAAATTTCGATAGTTCTGAGGATTTCGTTGGAAACGGGATTACAAATAGAAAGTAGACAGCAGCATTCTCAGAAACTGCTTTGTGATGTTTGCATTCAAGTCACATAGTTGAACATTCCCTTTCATAGAGCAGGTTTGAATCACTGTTTCTGTCGTATCTGGAAGTGGATATTTCGAGCGTTTTCAGGCCTAAGGTGAGAAAGGAAATGTCTTCAAATAAGAACTAGACAGAAGCATTCTCAGAAACTTGTGATGTGTGTCCTCAACTAACAGAGTTGAACCTTTCTTTTGACACAGCAGTTTGGAAACACTCTTTTTGTAGAATCTACAAGTGGATATTTTGAGAGCATTGAAAATTTCGTTGGAAACGGGAAAACCTTCATATAAAATCTAGACAGAAGCATTCTCAGAAACTTCTTTGTAATGTTTGCATTCAACTCATAGAGTTGAACATTCCCTTTCATACAGCAGGTTTGAAACACTCTTTTTGTAGTATGTGGAAGTGGACATTTGGAGCGCTTTGAGGCCTACGGTGAAAAAGGAAATATCTTCCCATAAAAACTAGACAGAAGCATTCTCAGAAACTTGTTTGTGACGTGTGTATTCAACTAACAGAGTTGAACCTTTCTTTTTACAGAGCAGTTTTGAAACCCTGTTTCTGTGGAATCTGCAATTGGAAATTTCGATAGTTCTGAGGATTTCGTTGGAAACGGGATTACAAATAGAAAGTAGACAGCAGCATTCTCAGAAACTGCTTTGTGATGTTTGCATTCAAGTCACATAGTTGAACATTCCCTTTCATAGAGCAGGTTTGAATCACTGTTTCTGTAGTATCTGGAAGTGGGTATTTCGAGCGCTTTCAGGCCTAAGGTGAGAAAGGAAATGTCTTCAAATAAGAACTAGACAGAAGCATTCTCAGAAACTTATTTGTGATGTGTGTCCTCAACTAACAGAGATGAACCTTTCTTTTGATACAGCAGTTTGGAAACACTCTTTTTGTAGAATCTACAAGAGGATATTTTGAGAGCATTGAAAATTTCGTTGGAAGCGGGAAAACCTTCATATAAAATCTAGACAGCAGCATTCTCAGAAACTTCTTTGTGATGTTTGCATTCAACTCATAGAGTTGAACATTCCCATTCATACAGCAGGTTTGAGACACTCTTTGTATAGCATGTGGAAATGGATATTTGGAGCGCTTTGAGGCCTATGGTGAAGAAGGAAATATCTTCCCAAAAAAACTAGACGAAAGCATTCTCGGAATCTTGTTTGCCATGTGTGTACTCAACTAACAGAGTTGAACCTATCTTTTGACAGAGCAGTTTTGAAACACTCTTTTTGTGGAATCTGCAAGTGGATATTTGGATAGCTTCGAGGATTTCGTTGGAAACGGGAATATCCTCATTTAAAATCTAGACGGAAGCATTCTCAGAACCTGCTTTGTGATGTTTGCATTCAACTCACAGAGCTGAACATTCCCGTTCATAGAGCAGGTTTGAAACACTCTTTCTGTACTATCTGGAAGTGGACATTTCGAGCGCTTTCAGGCCTATGGTGAAAAAGGAAACATCTTCAAATAAAAACTAGACAGAAGCATTCTCAGAAACTTATTTGTGATGTGTGTCCTCAACTCACAGAGTTCAACCTTTGTTTTGATACAGCAGTTTGGAAACACTCTTTTTGTAGAATCTACAAATGGATATTTGGAGACCTTTGAAAATTTCGTTGGACACGGGAATATCTTCATATAAAATCTAGACAAAAGCATTCTCAGAATCTTCTTTGTGATGTTTGCATTCAACTCATAGAGTTGAACATTCCCTTTCATACAGCACGTTTGAAACACACTTTGTGGAGTATGTGGAAATGGACATTTCGAGCACTCTTAGGCCTAAGGTGAAAAGGGAAATATCTTCAAATAAAAACTAGTCAGCAGCATTCTCAGAAACCTCTTTGTGATGTGTGTACTCAACTAACAGAGTTGAACCTTCCTTTTCACAGAGCAGTTTGGAAACACTCTTTTTGTGGCATTTGCAAGTGGATATTTGGATAGCTTTGAGGATTTCGTTGGAAACGGGAATATTTTCATATAAAATCTAGACAGAAGCATTCTCAGAATCTTCTTTGTGATGTATGCCCTCAATTCACAGAGTTGAACCTTTGTTTGGATACAGCATTTTGGAAACATTCCTTTTGTAGAATCTGCAAGTTGATATTTGGATAGCTTTGAGGATTTCGTTGGAAACGGGAATATCTACATATAAAATCTAGACAGAAGCATTCTCAGAAACCTCTTTGTAATGCTTGCATTCAACTCATAGGTTTCAACATTCCCTATCATAGAGCAGGTTTGAAACACTCTTTTTGTAGTATGTGGAAGTGGACATTTGGAGCGCTTTGAGGCCTACGGTGAAAAAGGAAATATCTTCCCATAAAAACTAGACAGAAGCATTCTCAGAAACTTGTTTGTGACGTGTGTATTCAACTAACAGAGTTGAACCTTTCTTTTTACAGAGCAGCTTTGAAACCCTGTTTCTGTGGAATCTGCAATTGGAAATTTCGATAGTTCTGAGGATTTCGTTGGAAACGGGATTACAAATAGAAAGTAGACAGCAGCATTCTCAGAAACTGCTTTGTGATGTTTGCATTCAAGTCACCTAGTTGAACATTCCCTTTCATAGAGCAGGTTTGAATCACTGTTTCTGTAGTATCTGGAAGTGGGTATTTCGAGCGCTTTCAGGCCTAAGGTGAGAAAGGAAATGTCTTCAAATAAGAACTAGACAGAAGCATTCTCAGAAACTTATTTGTGATGTGTGTCCTCAACTAACAGAGATGAACCTTTGTTTTGATACAGCAGTTTGGAAACACTCTTTTTGTAGAATCTACAAGAGGATATTTTGAGAGCATTGAAAATTTCGTTGGAAGCGGGAAAACCTTCATATAAAATCTAGACAGCAGCATTCTCAGAAACTTCTTTGTGATGTTTGCATTCAACTCATAGAGTTGAACATTCCCATTCATACAGCAGGTTTGAGACACTCTTTGTATAGCATGTGGAAATGGATATTTGGAGCGCTTTGAGGCCTATGGTGAAGAAGGAAATATCTTCCCAAAAAAACTAGACGAAAGCATTCTCGGAATCTTGTTTGCCATGTGTGTACTCAACTAACCGAGTTGAACCTATCTTTTGAGAGAGCAGTTTTGAAACACTCTTTCTGTGGAATCTGCAAGTGGATATTTGGATAGCTTCGAGGATTTCGTTGGAAACGGGAATATCCTCATTTAAAATCTAGACGGAAGCATTCTCAGAACCTGCTTTGTGATGTTTGCATTCAACTCACGGAGCTGAACATTCCCGTTCATAGAGCAGGTTTGAAACACTCTTTCTGTACTATCTGGAAGTGGACATTTCGAGCGCTTTCAGGCCTATGGTGAAAAAGGAAACATCTTCAAATAAAAACTAGACAGAAGCATTCTCAGAAACTTATTTGTGATGTGTGTCCTCAACTCACAGAGTTCAACCTTTGTTTTGATACAGCAGTTTGGAAACACTCTTTTTGTAGAATCTACAAATGGATATTTGGAGACCTTTGAAAATTTCGTTGGACACGGGAATATCTTCATATAAAATCTAGACAAAAGCATTCTCAGAATCTTCTTTGTGATGTTTGCATTCAACTCATAGAGTTGAACATTCCCTTTCATACAGCACGTTTGAAACACACTTTGTGGAGTATGTGGAAATGGACATTTCGAGCACTCTTAGGCCTAAGGTGAAAAGGGAAATATCTTCAAATAAAAACTAGTCAGCAGCATTCTCAGAAACCTCTTTGTGATGTGTGTACTCAACTAACAGAGTTGAACCTTCCTTTTCACAGAGCAGTTTGGAAACACTCTTTTTGTGGCATTTGCAAGTGGATATTTGGATAGCTTTGAGGATTTCGTTGGAAACGGGAATATTTTCATATAAAATCTAGACAGAAGCATTCTCAGAATCTTCTTTGTGATGTATGCCCTCAATTCACAGAGTTGAACCTTTGTTTGGATACAGCATTTTGGAAACATTCCTTTTGTAGAATCTGCAAGTTGATATTTGGATAGCTTTGAGGATTTCGTTGGAAACGGGAATATCTACATATAAAATCTAGACAGAAGCATTCTCAGAAACCTCTTTGTAATGCTTGCATTCAACTCATAGGTTTCAACATTCCCTATCATAGAGCAGGTTTGAAACACTCTTTTTGTAGTATGTGGAAGTGGACATTTGGAGCGCTTTGAGGCCTACGGTGAAAAAGGAAATATCTTCCCATAAAAACTAGACAGAAGCATTCTCAGAAACTTGTTTGTGACGTGTGTATTCAACTAACAGAGTTGAACCTTTCCTTTTACAGAGCAGCTTTGAAACCCTGTTTCTGTGGAATCTGCAATTGGAAATTTCGATAGTTCTGAGGATTTCGTTGGAAACGGGATTACAAATAGATAGTAGACAGCAGCATTCTCAGAAACTGCTTTGTGATGTTTGCATTCAAGTCACCTAGTTGAACATTCCCTTTCATAGAGCAGGTTTGAATCACTGTTTCTGTAGTATCTGGAAGTGGGTATTTCGAGCGCTTTCAGGCCTAAGGTGAGAAAGGAAATGTCTTCAAATAAGAACTAGACAGAAGCATTCTCAGAAACTTATTTGTGATGTGTGTCCTCAACTAACAGAGATGAACCTTTGTTTTGATACAGCAGTTTGGAAACACTCTTTTTGTAGAATCTACAAGAGGATATTTTGAGAGCATTGAAAATTTCGTTGGAAGCGGGAAAACCTTCATATAAAATACTAGACAGCAAGCATTCTCAGAAACTTCTTTGTGATGTTTGCATTCAACTCATAGAGTTGAACATTCCCATTCATACAGCAGGTTTGAGACACTCTTTGTATAGCATGTGGAAATGGATATTTGGAGCGCTTTGAGGCCTATGGTGAAGAAGGAAATATCTTCCCAAAAAAACTAGACGAAAGCATTCTCGCAATCTTGTTTGCCATGTGTGTACTCAACTAACAGAGTTGAACCTATCTTTTGACAGAGCAGTTTTGAAACACTCTTTTTGTGGAATCTGCAAGTGGATATTTGGATAGCTTCGAGGATTTCATTGGAAACGGGAATATCCTCATTTAAAATCTAGACGGAAGCATTCTCAGAACCTGCTTTGTGATGTTTGCATTCAACTCACAGAGCTGAACATTCCCGTTCATAGAGCAGGTTTGAAACACTCTTTCTGTACTATCTGGAAGTGGACATTTCGAGCGCTTTCAGGCCTATGGTGAAAAAGGAAACATCTTCAAATAAAAACTAGACAGAAGCATTCTCAGAAACTTATTTGTGATGTGTGTCCTCAACTCACAGAGTTCAACCTTTGTTTTGATACAGCAGTTTGGAAACACTCTTTTTGTAGAATCTACAAATGGATATTTGGAGACCTTTGAAAATTTCGTTGGACACGGGAATATCTTCATATAAAATCTAGACAAAAGCATTCTCAGAATCTTCTTTGTGATGTTTGCATTCAACTCATAGAGTTGAACGTTCCCTTTCATACAGCACGTTTGAAACACACTTTGTGGAGTATGTGGAAATGGACATTTCGAGCACTCTTAGGCCTAAGGTGAAAAGGGAAATATCTTCAAATAAAAACTAGTCAGCAGCATTCTCAGAAACCTCTTTGTGATGTGTGTACTCAACTAACAGAGTTGAACCTTCCTTTTCACAGAGCAGTTTGGAAACACTCTTTTTGTGGCATTTGCAAGTGGATATTTGGATAGCTTTGAGGATTTCGTTGGAAACGGGAATATTTTCATATAAAATCTAGACAGAAGCATTCTCAGAATCTTCTTTGTGATGTATGCCCTCAATTCACAGAGTTGAACCTTTGTTTGGATACAGCATTTTGGAAACATTCCTTTTGTAGAATCTGCAAGTTGATATTTGGATAGCTTTGAGGATTTCGTTGGAAACGGGAATATCTACATATAAAATCTAGACAGAAGCATTCTCAGAAACCTCTTGTAATGCTTGCATTCAACTCATAGGTTTCAACATTCCCTATCATAGAGCAGGTTTGAAACACTCTTTTTGTAGTATGTGGAAGTGGACATTTGGAGCGCTTTGAGGCCTACGGTGAAAAAGGAAATATCTTCCCATAAAAACTAGACAGAAGCATTCTCAGAAACTTGTTTGTGACGTGTGTATTCAACTAACAGAGTTGAACCTTTCTTTTTACAGAGCAGCTTTGAAACACGCTTTTTGTGGAATCTGCAATTGGAAATTTCGATAGTTCTGAGGATTTCGTTGGAAACGGGATTACAAATAGAAAGTAGACAGCAGCATTCTCAGAAACTGCTTTGTGATGTTTGCATTCAAGTCACCTAGTTGAACATTCCCTTTCATAGAGCAGGTTTGAATCACTGTTTCTGTCGTATCTGGAAGTGGAAATTTCAAGCGTTTTCAGGCCTAAGGTGAGAAAGGAAATGTCTTCAAATAAGAACTAGACAGAAGCATTCTCAGAAACTTATTTGTGATGTGTGTCCTCAACTAACAGAGTTGAACCTTTCTTTTGACACAGCAGTTTGGAAACACTCTTTTTGTAGAATCTACAAGTGGATATTTTGAGAGCATTGAAAATTTCGTTGGAAACGGGAAAACCTTCATATAAAATCTAGACAGAAGCATTCTCAGAAACCTCTTTGTAATGTTTGCATTCAACTCATAGGTTTCAACATTCCCTATCATAGAGCAGGTTTGAAACACTCTTTTTGTAGTATGTGGAAGTGGACATTTGGAGCGCTTTGAGGCCTACGGTGAAAAAGGAAATATCTTCCCATAAAAACTAAACAGAAGCATTCTCAGAAACTTGTTTGTGACGTGTGTATTCAACTAACAGAGTTGAACCTTTCTTTTTACAGAGCAGCTTTGAAACCCTGTTTCTGTGGAATCTGCAACTGGAAATTTCGATAGTTCTGAGGATTTCGTTGGAAACGGGATTACAAATAGAAAGTAGACAGCAGCATTCTCAGAAACTGCTTTGTGATGTTTGCATTCAAGTCACCTAGTTGAACATTCCCTTTCATAGAGCAGGTTTGAATCACTGTTTCTGTCGTATCAGGAAGTGGATATTTCGAGCGTTTTCAGGCCTAAGGTGAGAAAGGAAATGTCTTCAAATAAGAACTAGACAGAAGCATTCTCAGAAACTTATTTGTGATGTGTGTCCTCAACTAACAGAGTTGAACCTTTCTTTTGACACAGCAGTTTGGAAACACTCTTTTTGTAGAATCTACAAGTGGATATTTTGAGAGCATTGAAAATTTCGTTGGAAACGGGAAAACCTTCATATAAAATCTAGACAGAAGCATTCTCAGAAACTTCTTTGTAATGTTTGCATTCGACTCATAGAGTTGAACATTCCCTTTCATACAGCAGGTTTGAAACACTCTTTTTGTAGTATGTGGAAGTGGACATTTGGAGCGCTTTGAGGCCTACGGTGAAAAAGGAAATATCTTCCCATAAAAACTAGACAGAAGCATTCTCAGAAACTTGTTTGTGACGTGTGTATTCAACTAACAGAGTTGAACCTTTCTTTTTACAGAGCAGCTTTGAAACCCTGTTTCTGTGGAATCTGCAATTGGAAATTTCGATAGTTCTGAGGATTTCGTTGGAAACGGGATTACAAATAGAAAGTAGACAGCAGCATTCTCAGAAAGTGCTTTGTGATGTTTGCATTCAAGTCACATAGTTGAACATTCCCTTTCATAGAGCAGGTTTGAATCCCTGTTTCTGTCGTATCTGGAAGTGGGTATTTCGAGCGTTTTCAGGCCTAAGGTGAGAAAGGAAATGTCTTCAAATAAGAACTACACAGAAGCATTCTCAGAAACTTATTTGTGATGTGTGTCCTCAACTAACAGAGATGAACCTTTGTTTTGATACAGCAGTTTGGAAACACTCTTTTTGTGGAATCTACAAGAGGATATTTTGAGAGCATTGAAAATTTGGTTGGAAGCGGGAAAACCTTCATATAAAATCTAGACAGCAGCATTCTCAGAAACTTCTTTGTGATGTTTGCATTCAACTCATAGAGTTGAACATTCCCATTCATACAGCAGGTTTGAGACACTCTTTGTATAGCATGTGGAAATGGATATTTGGAGCGCTTTGAGGCCTATGGTGAAGAAGGAAATATCTTCCCAAAAAAACTAGACGAAAGCATTCTCGCAATCTTGTTTGCCATGTGTGTACTCAACTAACAGAGTTGAACCTATCTTTTGACAGAGCAGTTTTGAAACACTCTTTTTGTGGA
This sequence comes from Homo sapiens, assembly GCF_000001405.40. Classification (NCBI taxonomy): domain Eukaryota; kingdom Metazoa; phylum Chordata; class Mammalia; order Primates; family Hominidae; genus Homo; species Homo sapiens. The sequence continues at coordinate 19,468,857 of NC_000015.10, forward strand.
ATCTGCAAGTGGATATTTGGATAGCTTCGAGGATTTCGTTGGAAACGGGAATATCCTCATTTAAAATCTAGACGGAAGCATTCTCAGAACCTGCTTTGTGATGTTTGCATTCAACTCACAGAGCTGAACATTCCCGTTCATAGAGCAGGTTTGAAACACTCTTTCTGTACTATCTGGAAGTGGACATTTCGAGCGCTTTCAGGCCTATGGTGAAAAAGGAAACATCTTCAAATAAAAACTAGACAGAAGCATTCTCAGAAACTTATTTGTGATGTGTGTCCTCAACTCACAGAGTTCAACCTTTGTTTTGATACAGCAGTTTGGAAACACTCTTTTTGTAGAATCTACAAATGGATATTTGGAGAACTTTGAAATTTTCGTTGGACACGGGAATATCTTCATATAAAATCTAGACAAAAGCATTCTCAGAATCTTCTTTGTGATGTTTGCATTCAACTCATAGAGTTGAACATTCCCTTTCATACAGCACGTTTGAAACACACTTTGTGGAGTATGTGGAAATGGACATTTCGAGCACTCTTAGGCCTAAGGTGAAAAGGGAAATATCTTCAAATAAAAACTAGTCAGCAGCATTCTCAGAAACCTCTTTGTGATGTGTGTACTCAACTAACAGAGTTGAACCTTCCTTTTCACAGAGCAGTTTGGAAACACTCTTTTTGTGGCATTTGCAAGTGGATATTTGGATAGCTTTGTGGATTTCGTTGGAAACGGGAATATTTTCATATAAAATCTAGACAGAAGCATTCTCAGAATCTTCTTTGTGATGTATGCCCTCAATTCACAGAGTTGAACCTTTGTTTGGATACAGCATTTTGGAAACATTCCTTTTGTAGAATCTGCAAGTTGATATTTGGATAGCTTTGAGGATTTCGTTGGAAACGGGAATATCTACATATAAAATCTAGACAGAAGCATTCTCAGAAACCTCTTTGTAATGTTTGCATTCAACTCATAGGTTTCAACATTCCCTATCATAGAGCAGGTTTGAAACACTCTTTTTGTAGTATGTGGAAGTGGACATTTGGAGCGCTTTGAGGCCTACGGTGAAAAAGGAAATATCTTCCCATAAAAACTAGACAGAAGCATTCTCAGAAACTTGTTTGTGACGTGTGTATTCAACTAACAGAGTTGAACCTTTCTTTTTACAGAGCAGCTTTGAAACCCTGTTTCTGTGGAATCTGCAATTGGAAACTTCGATAGTTCTGAGGATTTCGTTGGAAACGGGATTACAAATAGAAAGTAGACAGCAGCATTCTCAGAAACTGCTTTGTGATGTTTGCATTCAAGTCACCTAGTTGAACATTCCCTTTCATAGAGCAGGTTTGAATCACTGTTTCTGTAGTATCTGGAAGTGTGTATTTCGAGCGCTTTCAGGCCTAAGGTGAGAAAGGAAATGTCTTCAAATAAGAACTAGACAGAAGCATTCTCAGAAACTTATTTGTGATGTGTGTCCTCAACTAACAGAGATGAACCTTTGTTTTGATACAGCAGTTTGGAAACACTCTTTTTGTAGAATCTACAAGAGGATATTTTGAGAGCATTGAAAATTTCGTTGGAAGCGGGAAAACCTTCATATAAAATCTAGACAGCAGCATTCTCAGAAACTTCTTTGTGATGTTTGCATTCAACTCATAGAGTTGAACATTCCCATTCATACAGCAGGTTTGAGACACTCTTTGTATAGCATGTGGAAATGGATATTTGGAGCGCTTTGAGGCCTATGGTGAAGAAGGAAATATCTTCCCAAAAAAACTAGACGAAAGCATTCTCGGAATCTTGTTTGCCATGTGTGTACTCAACTAACAGAGTTGAACCTATCTTTTGACAGAGCAGTTTTGAAACACTCTTTTTGTGGAATCTGCAAGTGGATATTTGGATAGCTCGAGGATTTCGTTGGAAACGGGAATATCCTCATTTAAAATCTAGACGGAAGCATTCTCGGAACCTGCTTTGTGATGTTTGCATTCAACTCACAGAGCTGAACATTCCCGTTCATAGAGCAGGTTTGAAACACTCTTTCTGTACTATCTGGAAGTGGACATTTCGAGCGCTTTCAGGCCTATGGTGAAAAAGGAAACATCTTCAAATAAAAACTAGACAGAAGCATTCTCAGAAACTTATTTTTGATGTGTGTCCTCAACTCACAGAGTTCAACCTTTGTTTTGATACAGCAGTTTGGAAACACTCTTTTTGTAGAATCTACAAATGGATATTTGGAGACCTTTGAAAATTTCGTTGGACACGGGAATATCTTCATATAAAATCTAGACAAAAGCATTCTCAGAATCTTCTTTGTGATGTTTGCATTCAACTCATAGAGTTGAACATTCCCTTTCATACAGCACGTTTGAAACACACTTTGTGGAGTATGTGGAAATGGACATTTCGAGCACTCTTAGGCCTAAGGTGAAAAGGGAAATATCTTCAAATAAAAACTAGTCAGCAGCATTCTCAGAAACCTCTTTGTGATGTGTGTACTCAACTAACAGAGTTGAACCTTCCTTTTCACAGAGCAGTTTGGAAACACTCTTTTTGTGGCATTTGCAAGTGGATATTTGGATAGCTTTGAGGATTTCGTTGGAAACGGGAATATTTTCATATAAAATCTAGACAGAAGCATTCTCAGAATCTTCTTTGTGATGTATGCCCTCAATTCACAGAGTTGAACCTTTGTTTGGATACAGCATTTTGGAAACATTCCTTTTGTAGAATCTGCAAGTTGATATTTGGATAGCTTTGAGGATTTCGTTGGAAACGGGAATATCTACATATAAAATCTAGACAGAAGCATTCTCAGAAACCTCTTTGTAATGCTTGCATTCAACTCATAGGTTTCAACATTCCCTATCATAGAGCAGGTTTGAAACACTCTTTTTGTAGTATGTGGAAGTGGACATTTGGAGCGCTTTGAGGCCTACCGTGAAAAAGGAAATATCTTCCCATAAAAACTAGACAGAAGCATTCTCAGAAACTTGTTTGTGACGTGTGTATTCAACTAACAGAGTTGAACCTTTCTTTTTACAGAGCAGCTTTGAAACCCTGTTTCTGTGGAATCTGCAAATGGAAATTTCGATAGTTCTGAGGATTTCGTTGGAAACGGGATTACAAATAGAAAGTAGACAGCAGCATTCTCAGAAACTGCTTTGTGATGTTTGCATTCAAGTCACATAGCTGAACATTCCCTTTCATAGAGCAGCTTTGAATCACTGTTTCTGTAGTATCTGGAAGTGGGTATTTCGAGCGCTTTCAGGCCTAAGGTGAGAAAGGAAATGTCTTCAAATAAGAACTAGACAGAAGCATTCTCAGAAACTTATTTGTGATGTGTGTCCTCAACTAACAGAGATGAACCTTTGTTTTGATACAGCAGTTTGGAAACACTCTTTTTGTAGAATCTACAAGAGGATATTTTGAGAGCATTGAAAATTTCGTTGGAAGCGGGAAAACCTTCATATAAAATCTAGACAGCCAGCATTCTCAGCAAACTTCTTTGTGATGTTTGCATTCAACTCATAGAGTTGAACATTCCCATTCATACAGCAGGTTTGAGACACTCTTTGTATAGCATGTGGAAATGGATATTTGGAGCGCTTTGAGGCCTATGGTGAAGAAGGAAATATCTTCCCAAAAAAACTAGACGAAAGCATTCTCGGAATCTTGTTTGCCATGTGTGTACTCAACTAACAGAGTTGAACCTATCTTTTGACAGAGCAGTTTTGAAACACTCTTTTTGTGGAATCTGCAAGTGGATATTTGGATAGCTTCGAGGATTTCGTTGGAAACGGGAATATCCTCATTTAAAATCTAGACGGAAGCATTCTCAGAACCTGCTTTGTGATGTTTGCATTCAACTCACAGAGCTGAACATTCCCGTTCATAGAGCAGGTTTGAAACACTCTTTCTGTACTATCTGGAAGTGGACATTTCGAGCACTTTCAGGCCTATGGTGAAAAAGGAAACCTCTTCAAATAAAAACTAGACAGAAGCATTCTCAGAAACTTATTTGTGATGTGTGTCCTCAACTCACAGAGTTCAACCTTTGTTTTGATACAGCAGTTTGGAAACACTCTTTTTGTAGAATCTACAAATGGATATTTGGAGACCTTTGAAAATTTCGTTGGACACGGGAATATCTTCATATAAAATCTAGACAAAAGCATTCTCAGAATCTTCTTTGTGATGTTTGCATTCAACTCATAGAGTTGAACATTACCTTTCATACAGCACGTTTGAAACACACTTTGTGGAGTATGTGGAAATGGACATTTCGAGCACTCTTAGGCCTAAGGTGAAAAGGGAAATATCTTCAAATAAAAACTAGTCAGCAGCATTCTCAGAAACCTCTTTGTGATGTGTGTACTCAACTAACAGAGTTGAACCTTCCTTTTCACAGAGCAGTTTGGAAACACTCTTTTTGTGGCATTTGCAAGTGGATATTTGGATAGCTTTGAGGATTTCGTTGGAAACGGGAATATTTTCATATAAAATCTAGACAGAAGCATTCTCAGAATCTTCTTTGTGATGTATGCCCTCAATTCACAGAGTTGAACCTTTGTTTGGATACAGCATTTTGGAAATATTCCTTTTGTAGAATCTGCAAGTTGATATTTGGATAGCTTTGAGGATTTCGTTGGAAACGGGAATATCTACATATAAAATCTAGACAGAAGCATTCTCAGAAACCTCTTTGTAATGTTTGCATTCAACTCATAGGTTTCAACATTCCCTATCATAGAGCAGGTTTGAAACACTCTTTTTGTAGTATGTGGAAGTGGACATTTGGAGCGCTTTGAGGCCTACGGTGAAAAAGGAAATATCTTCCCATAAAAACTAGACAGAAGCATTCTCAGAAACTTGTTTGTGACGTGTGTATTCAACTAACAGAGTTGAACCTTTCTTTTTACAGAGCAGCTTTGAAACACGCTTTTTGTGGAATCTGCAATTGGAAATTTCGATAGTTCTGAGGATTTCGTTGGAAACGGGATTACAAATAGAAAGTAGACAGCAGCATTCTCAGAAACTGCTTTGTGATGTTTGCATTCAAGTCACCTAGTTGAACATTCCCTTTCATAGAGCAGGTTTGAATCACTGTTTCTGTCGTATCTGGAAGTGGGTATTTCGAGCGCTTTCAGGCCTAAGGTGAGAAAGGAAATGTCTTCAAATAAGAACTAGACAGAAGCATTCTCAGAAACTTATTTGTGATGTGTGTCCTCAACTAACAGAGATGAACCTTTGTTTTGATACAGCAGTTTGGAAACACTCTTTTTGTAGAATCTACAAGAGGATATTCTGAGAGCATTGAAAATTTCGTTGGAAGCGGGAAAACCTTCATATAAAATCTAGACAGCAGCATTCTCAGAAACTTCTTTGTGATGTTTGCATTCAACTCATAGAGTTGAACATTCCCATTCATACAGCAGGTTTGAGACACTCTTTGTATAGCATGTGGAAATGGATATTTGGAGCGCTTTGAGGCCTATGGTGAAGAAGGAAATATCTTCCCAAAAAAACTAGACGAAAGCATTCTCGGAATCTTGTTTGCCATGTGTGTACTCAACTAACAGAGTTGAACCTATCTTTTGACAGAGCAGTTTTGAAACACTCTTTTTGTGGAATCTGCAAGTGGATATTTGGATAGCTTCGAGGATTTCGTTGGAAATGGGAATATCCTCATTTAAAATCTAGACGGAAGCATTCTCAGAACCTGCTTTGTGATGTTTGCATTCAACTCACAGAGCTGAACATTCCCGTTCATAGAGCAGGTTTGAAACACTCTTTCTGTACTATCTGGAAGTGGACATTTCGAGCGCTTTCAGGCCTATGGTGAAAAAGGAAACATCTTCAAATAAAAACTAGACAGAAGCATTCTCAGAAACTTATTTGTGATGTGTGTCCTCAACTCACAGAGTTCAACCTTTGTTTTGATACAGCAGTTTGGAAACACTCTTTTTGTAGAATCTACAAATGGATATTTGGAGACCTATGAAAATTTCGTTGGACACGGGAATATCTTCATATAAAATCTAGACAAAAGCATTCTCAGAATCTTCTTTGTGATGTTTGCATTCAACTCATAGAGTTGAACATTCCCTTTCATACAGCACGTTTGAAACACACTTTGTGGAGTATGTGGAAATGGACATTTCGAGCACTCTTAGGCCTAAGGTGAAAAGGGAAATATCTTCAAATAAAAACTAGTCAGCAGCATTCTCAGAAACCTCTTTGTGATGTGTGTACTCAACTAACAGAGTTGAACCTTCCTTTTCACAGAGCAGTTTGGAAACACTCTTTTTGTGGCATTTGCAAGTGGATATTTGGATAGCTTTGAGGATTTCGTTGGAAACGGGAATATTTTCATATAAAATCTAGACAGAAGCATTCTCAGAATCTTCTTTGTGATGTATGCCCTCAATTCACAGAGTTGAACCTTTGTTTGGATACAGCATTTTGGAAACATTCCTTTTGTAGAATCTGCAAGTTGATATTTGGATAGCTTTGAGGATTTCGTTGGAAACGGGAATATCTACATATCAAATCTAGACAGAAGCATTCTCAGAAACCTCTTTGTAATGCTTGCATTCAACTCATAGGTTTCAACATTCCCTATCATAGAGCAGGTTTGAAACACTCTTTTTGTAGTATGTGGAAGTGGACATTTGGAGCGCTTTGAGGCCTACCGTGAAAAAGGAAATATCTTCCCATAAAAACTAGACAGAAGCATTCTCAGAAACTTGTTTGTGACGTGTGTATTCAACTAACAGAGTTGAACCTTTCTTTTTACAGAGCAGCTTTGAAACACGCTTTTTGTGGAATCTGCAATTGGAAATTTCGATAGTTCTGAGGATTTCGTTGGAAACGGGATTACAAATAGAAAGTAGACAGCAGCATTCTCAGAAACTGCTTTGTGATGTTTGCATTCAAGTCACCTAGTTGAACATTCCCTTTCATAGAGCAGGTTTGAATCACTGTTTCTGTCGTATCTGGAAGTGGATATTTCGAGCGTTTTCAGGCCTAAGGTGAGAAAGGAAATGTCTTCAAATAAGGACTAGACAGAAGCATTCTCAGAAACTTGTGATGTGTGTCCTCAACTAACAGAGTTGAACCTTTCTTTTGACACAGCAGTTTGGAAACACTCTTTTTGTAGAATCTACAAGTGGATATTTTGAGAGCATTGAAAATTTCGTTGGAAACGGGAAAACCTTCATATAAAATCTAGACAGAAGCATTCTCAGAAACTTCTTTGTAATGTTTGCATTCAACTCATAGAGTTGAACATTCCCTTTCATACAGCAGGTTTGAAACACTCTTTTTGTAGTATGTGGACGTGGACATTTGGAGCGCTTTGAGGCCTACGGTGAAAAAGGAAATATCTTCCCATAAAAACTAGACAGAAGCATTCTCAGAAACTTGTTTGTGACGTGTGTATTCAACTAACAGAGTTGAACCTTTCTTTTTACAGAGCAGCTTTGAAACCCTGTTTCTGTGGAATCTGCAATTGGAAATTTCGATAGTTCTGAGGATTTCGTTGGAAACGGGATTACAAATAGAAAGTAGACAGCAGCATTCTCAGAAACTGCTTTGTGATGTTTGCATTCAAGTCACCTAGTTGAACATTCCCTTTCATAGAGCAGGTTTGAATCACTGTTTCTGTAGTATCTGGAAGTGGGTATTTCGAGCGCTTTCAGGCCTAAGGTGAGAAAGGAAATGTCTTCAAATAAGAACTAGACAGAAGCATTCTCAGAAACTTATTTGTGATGTGTGTCCTCAACTAACAGAGATGAACCTTTGTTTTGATACAGCAGTTTGGAAACACTCTTTTTGTAGAATCTACAAGAGGATATTTTGAGAGCGTTGAAAATTTCGTTGGAAGCGGGAAAACCTTCATATAAAATACTAGACAGCAGCATTCTCAGAAACTTCTTTGTGATGTTTGCATTCAACTCATAGAGTTGAACATTCCCATTCATACAGCAGGTTTGAGACACTCTTTGTATAGCATGTGGAAATGGATATTTGGAGCGCTTTGAGGCCTATGGTGAAGAAGGAAATATCTTCCCAAAATAACTAGACGAAAGCATTCTCGGAATCTTGTTTGCCATGTGTGTACTCAACTAACAGAGTTGAACCTATCTTTTGACAGAGCAGTTTTGAAACACTCTTTTTGTGGAATCTGCAAGTGGATATTTGGATAGCTTCGAGGATTTCGTTGGAAACGGGAATATCCTCATTTAAAATCTAGACGGAAGCATTCTCAGAACCTGCTTTGTGATGTTTGCATTCAACTCACAGAGCTGAACATTCCCGTTCATAGAGCAGGTTTGAAACACTCTTTCTGTACTATCTGGAAGTGGACATTTCGAGCGCTTTCAGGCCTATGGTGAAAAAGGAAACATCTTCAAATAAAAACTAGACAGAAGCATTCTCAGAAACTTATTTGTGATGTGTGTCCTCAACTCACAGAGTTCAACCTTTGTTTTGATACAGCAGTTTGGAAACACTCTTTTTGTAGAATCTACAAATGGATATTTGGAGACCTTTGAAAATTTCGTTGGACACGGGAATATCTTCATATAAAATCTAGACAAAAGCATTCTCAGAATCTTCTTTGTGATGTTTGCATTCAACTCATAGAGTTGAACATTCCCTCTCATACAGCACGTTTGAAACACACTTTGTGGAGTATGTGGAAATGGACATTTCGAGCACTCTTAGGCCTAAGGTGAAAAGGGAAATATCTTCAAATAAAAACTAGTCAGCAGCATTCTCAGAAACCTCTTTGTGATGTGTGTACTCAACTAACAGAGTTGAACCTTCCTTTTCACAGAGCAGTTTGGAAACACTCTTTTTGTGGCATTTGCAAGTGGATATTTGGATAGCTTTGAGGATTTCGTTGGAAACGGGAATATTTTCATATAAAATCTAGACAGAAGCATTCTCAGAATCTTCTTTGTGATGTATGCCCTCAATTCACAGAGTTGAACCTTTGTTTGGATACAGCATTTTGGAAACATTCCTTTTGTAGAATCTGCAAGTTGATATTTGGATAGCTTTGAGGATTTCGTTGGAAACGGGAATATCTACATATAAAATCTAGACAGAAGCATTCTCAGAAACCTCTTTGTAATGCTTGCATTCAACTCATAGGTTTCAACATTCCCTATCATAGAGCAGGTTTGAAACACTCTTTTTGTAGTATGTGGAAGTGGACATTTGGAGCGCTTTGAGGCCTACGGTGAAAAAGGAAATATCTTCCCATAAAAACTAGACAGAAGCATTCTCAGAAACTTGTTTGTGACGTGTGTATTCAACTAACAGAGTTGAACCTTTCTTTTTACAGAGCAGCTTTGAAACCCTGTTTCTGTGGAATCTGCAATTGGAAATTTCGATGGTTCTGAGGATTTCGTTGGAAACGGGATTACAAATAGAAAGTAGACAGCAGCATTCTCAGAAACTGCTTTGTGATGTTTGCATTCAAGTCACCTAGTTGAACATTCCCTTTCATAGAGCAGGTTTGAATCACAGTTTCTGTCGTATCTGGAAGTGGATATTTCGAGCGCTTTCAGGCCTAAGGTGAGAAAGGAAATGTCTTCAAATAAGAACTAGACAGAAGTATTCTCAGAAACTTATTTGTGATGTGTGTCCTCAACTAACAGAGATGAACCTTTGTTTTGATACAGCAGTTTGGAAACACTCTTTTTGTAGAATCTACAAGAGGATATTTTGAGAGCATTGAAAATTTCGTTGGAAGCGGGAAAACCTTCATATAAAATCTAGACAGCAGCATTCTCAGAAACTTCTTTGTGATGTTTGCATTCAACTCATAGAGTTGAACATTCCCATTCATACAGCAGGTTTGAGACACTCTTTGTATAGCATGTGGAAATGGATATTTGGAGCGCTTTGAGGCCTATGGTGAAGAAGGAAATATCTTCCCAAAAAAACTAGACGAAAGCATTCTCGGAATCTTGTTTGCCATGTGTGTACTCAACTAACAGAGTAGAACCTATCTTTTGACAGAGCAGTTTTGAAACACTCTTTTTGTGGAATCTGCAAGTGGATATTTGGATAGCTTCGAGGATTTCGTTGGAAACGGGAATATCCTCATTTAAAATCTAGACGGAAGCATTCTCAGAACCTCCTTTGTGATGTTTGCATTCAACTCACAGAGCTGAACATTCCCGTTCATAGAGCAGGTTTGAAACACTCTTTCTGTACTATCTGGAAGTGGACATTTCGAGCGCTTTCAGGCCTATGGTGAAAAAGGAAATATCTTCAAATAAAAACTAGACAGAAGCATTCTCAGAACCTTATTTGTGATGTGTGTCCTCAACTCACAGAGTTCAACCTTTGTTTTGATACAGCAGTTTGGAAACACTCTTTTTGTAGAAACTACAAATGGATATTTGGAGACCTTTGAAAATTTCGTTGGACACGGGAATATCTTCATATAAAATCTAGACAAAAGCATTCTCAGAATCTTCTTTGTGATGTTTGCATTCAACTCATAGAGTTGAACATTCCCTTTCATACAGCACGTTTGAAACACACTTTGTGGAGTATGTGGAAATGGACATTTCGAGCACTCTTAGGCCTAAGGTGAAAAGGGAAATATCTTCAAATAAAAACTAGTCAGCAGCATTCTCAGAAACCTCTTTGTGATGTGTGTACTCAACTAACAGAGTTGAACCTTCCTTTTCACAGAGCAGTTTGGAAACACTCTTTTTGTGGCATTTGCAAGTGGATATTTGGATAGCTTTGAGGATTTCGTTGGAAACGGGAATATTTTCATATAAAATGCTAGACAGAAGCATTCTCAGAATCTTCTTTGTGATGTATTCCCTCAATTCACAGAGTTGAACCTTTGTTTGGATACAGCATTTTGGAAACATTCCTTTTGTAGAATCTGCAAGTTGATATTTGGATAGCTTTGAGGATTTCGTTGGAAACGGGAATATCTACATATAAAATCTAGACAGAAGCATTCTCAGAAACCTCTTTGTAATGTTTGCATTCAACTCATAGGTTTCAACATTCCCTATCATAGAGCAGGTTTGAAACACTCTTTTTGTAGTATGTGGAAGTGGACATTTGGAGCGCTTTGAGGCCTACGGTGAAAAAGGAAATATCTTCCCATAAAAACTAGACAGAAGCATTCTCAGAAACTTGTTTGTGACGTGTGTATTCAACTAACAGAGTTGAACCTTTCTTTTTACACAGCAGCTTTGAAACACGCTTTTTGTGGAATCTGCAATTGGAAATTTCGATAGTTCTGAGGATTTCGTTGGAAACGGGATTACAAATAGAAAGTAGACAGCAGCATTCTCAGAAACTTATTTGTGATGTGTGTCCTCAACTAACAGAGTTGAACCTTTCTTTTGACACAGCAGTTTGGAAACACTCTTTTTGTAGAATCTACAAGTGGATATTTTGAGAGCATTGAAAATTTCGTTGGAAACGGGAAAACCTTCATATAAAATCTAGACAGAAGCATTCTCAGAAACTTCTTTGTAATGTTTGCATTCAACTCATAGAGTTGAACATTCCCTTTCATACAGCAGGTTTGAAACACCCTTTTTGTAGTATGTGGAAGTGGACATTTGGAGCGCTTTGAGGCCTACGGTGAAAAAGGAAATATCTTCCCATAAAAACTAGACAGAAGCATTCTCAGAAACTTGTTTGTGACGTGTGTATTCAACTAACAGAGTTGAACCTTTCTTTTTACAGAGCAGCTTTGAAACCCTGTTTCTGTGGAATCTGCAATTGGAAATTTCGATAGTTCTGAGGATTTCGTTGGAAACGGGATTACAAATTGAAAGTAGACAGCAGCATTCTCAGAAACTGCTTTGTGATGTTTGCATTCAAGTCACCTAGTTGAACATTCCCTTTCATAGAGCAGGTTTGAATCACTGTTTCTGTCGTATCTGGAAGTGGATATTTCGAGCGTTTTCAGGCCTAAGGTGAGAAAGGAAATGTCTTCAAATAAGAACTAGACAGAAGCATTCTCAGAAACTTATTTGTGATGTGTGTCCTCAACTAACAGAGATGAACCTTTGTTTTGATACAGCAGTTTGGAAACACTCTTTTTGTAGAATCTACAAGAGGATATTTTGAGAGCATTGAAAATTTCGTTGGAAGCGGGAAAACCTTCATATAAAATCTAGACAGCAGCATTCTCAGAAACTTCTTTGTGATGTTTGCATTCAACTCATAGAGTTCAACATTCCCATTCATACAGCAGGTTTGAGACACTCTTTGTATAGCATGTGGAAATGGATATTTGGAGCGCTTTGAGGCCTATGGTGAAGAAGGAAATATCTTCCCAAAAAAACTAGACGAAAGCATTCTCGGAATCTTGTTTGCCATGTGTGTACTCAACTAACAGAGTTGAACCTATCTTTTGACAGAGCAGTTTTGAAACACTCTTTTTGTGGAATCTGCAAGTGGATATTTGGATAGCTTCGAGGATTTCGTTGGAAACGGGAATATCCTCATTTAAAATCTAGACGGAAGCATTCTCAGAACCTGCTTTGTGATGTTTGCATTCAACTCACAGAGCTGAACATTCCCGTTCATAGAGCAGGTTTGAAACACTCTTTCTGTACTATCTGGAAGTGGACATTTCGAGCGCTTTCAGGCCTATGGTGAAAAAGGAAACATCTTCAAATAAAAACTAGACAGAAGCATTCTCAGAAAACTTATTTGTGATGTGTGTCCTCAACTCACAGAGTTCAACCTTTGTTTTGATACAGCAGTTTGGAAACACTCTTTTTGTAGAATCTACAAATGGATATTTGGAGACCTTTGAAAATTTCGTTGGACACGGGAATATCTTCATATAAAATCTAGACAAAAGCATTCTCAGAATCTTCTTTGTGATGTTTGCATTCAACTCATAGAGTTGAACATTCCCTTTCATACAGCACGTTTGAAACACACTTTGTGGAGTATGTGGAAATGGACATTTCGAGCACTCTTAGGCCTAAGGTGAAAAGGGAAATATCTTCAAATAAAAACTAGTCAGCAGCATTCTCAGAAACCTCTTTGTGATGTGTGTACTCAACTAACAGAGTTGAACCTTCCTTTTCACAGAGCAGTTTGGAAACACTCTTTTTGTGGCATTTGCAAGTGGATATTTGGATAGCTTTGAGGATTTCGTTGGAAACGGGAATATTTTCATATAAAATCTAGACAGAAGCATTCTCAGAATCTTCTTTGTGATGTATGCCCTCAATTCACAGAGTTGAACCTTTGTTTGGATACAGCATTTTGGAAACATTCCTTTTGCAGAATCTGCAAGTTGATATTTGGATAGCTTTGAGGATTTCGTTGGAAACGGGAATATCTACATATAAAATCTAGACAGAAGCATTCTCAGAAACCTCTTTGTAATGCTTGCATTCAACTCATATGTTTCAACATTCCCTATCATAGAGCAGGTTTGAAACACTCTTTTTGTAGTATGTGGAAGTGGACATTTGGAGCGCTTTGAGGCCTACCGTGAAAAAGGAAATATCTTCCCATAAAAACTAGACAGAAGCATTCTCAGAAACTTGTTTGTGACGTGTGTATTCAACTAACAGAGTTGAACCTTTCTTTTTACAGAGCAGCTTTGAAACCCTGTTTCTGTGGAATCTGCAATTGGAAATTTCGATAGTTCTGAGGATTTCGTTGGAAACGGGATTACAAATAGAAAGTAGACAGCAGCATTCTCAGAAACTGCTTTGTGATGTTTGCATTCAAGTCACCTAGTTGAACATTCCCTTTCATAGAGCAGGTTTGAATCACTGTTTCTGTCGTATCTGGAAGTGGATATTTCGAGCGTTTTCAGGCCTAAGGTGAGAAAGGAAATGTCTTCAAATAAGAACTAGACAGAAGCATTCTCAGAAACTTATTTGTGATGTGTGTCCTCAACTAACAGAGTTGAACCTTTCTTTTGACACAGCAGTTTGGAAACACTCTTTTTGTAGAATCTACAAGTGGATATTTTGAGAGCATTGAAAATTTCGTTGGAAACGGGAAAACCTTCATATAAAATCTAGACAGAAAGCATTCTCAGAAACTTCTTTGTAATGTTTGCATTCAACTCATAGGAGTTGAACATTCCCTTTCATACAGCAGGTTTGAAACACTCTTTTTGTAGTATGTGGACGTGGACATTTGGAGCGCTTTGAGGCCTACGGTGAAAAAGGAAATATCTTCCCATAAAAACTAGACAGAAGCATTCTCAGAAACTTGTTTGTGACGTGTGTATTCAACTAACAGAGTTGAACCTTTCTTTTTACAGAGCAGCTTTGAAACCCTGTTTCTGTGGAATCTGCAATTGGAAATTTCGATAGTTCTGAGGATTTCGTTGCAAACGGGATTACAAATAGAAAGTAGACAGCAGCATTCTCAGAAACTGCTTTGTGATGTTTGCATTCAAGTCACATTGTTGAACATTCCCTTTCATAGAGCAGGTTTGAAACACTGTTTCTGTAGTATCTGGAAGTGGGTATTTCGAGCACTTTCAGGCCTAAGGTGAGAAAGGAAATGTCTTCAAATAAGAACTAGACAGAAGCATTCTCAGAAACTTATTTGTGATGTGTGTCCTCAACTAACAGAGATGAACCTTTGTTTTGATACAGCAGTTTGGAAACACTCTTTTTGTAGAATCTACAAGAGGATATTTTGAGAGCATTGAAAATTTCGTTGGAAGCGGGAAAACCTTCATATAAAATCTAGACAGCAGCATTCTCAGAAACTTCTTTGTGATGTTTGCATTCAACTCATAGAGTTGAACATTCCCATTCATACAGCAGATTTGAGACACTCTTTGTATAGCATGTGGAAATGGATATTTGGAGCGCTTTGAGGCCTATGGTGAAGAAGGAAATATCTTCCCAAAAAAACTAGACGAAAGCATTCTCGGAATCTTGTTTGCCATGTGTGTACTCAACTAACAGAGTTGAACCTATCTTTTGACAGAGCAGTTTTGAAACACTCTTTTTGTGGAATCTGCAAGTGGATATTTGGATAGCTTCGAGGATTTCGTTGGAAACGGGAATATCCTCATTTAAAATCTAGACGGAAGCATTCTCAGAACCTGCTTTGTGATGTTTGCATTCAACTCACAGAGCTGAACATTCCCGTTCATAGAGCAGGTTTGAAACACTCTTTCTGTACTATCTGGAAGGGGACATTTCGAGCGCTTTCAGGCCTATGGTGAAAAAGGAAACATCTTCAAATAAAAACTAGACAGAAGCATTCTCAGAAACTTATTTGTGATGTGTGTCCTCAACTCACAGAGTTCAACCTTTGTTTTGATACAGCAGTTTGGAAACACTCTTTTTGTAGAATCTACAAATGGATATTTGGAGACCTTTGAAAATTTCGTTGGACACGGGAATATCTTCATATAAAATCTAGACAAAAGCATTCTCAGAATCTTCTTTGTGATGTTTGCATTCAACTCATAGAGTTGAACATTCCCTTTCATACAGCACGTTTGAAACACACTTTGTGGAGTATGTGGAAATGGACATTTCGAGCACTCTTAGGCCTAAGGTGAAAAGGGAAATATCTTCAAATAAAAACTAGTCAGCAGCATTCTCAGAAACCTCTTTGTGATGTGTGTCCTCAACTAACAGAGTTGAACCTTTCCTTTGACACAGCAGATTGGAAACACTCTTTTTGTAGAATCTACAAGTGGATATTTTGAGAGCATTGAAAATTTCCTTGGAAACGGGAAAACCTTCATATAAAATCTAGACAGAAGCATTCTCAGAAACTTCTTTGTAATGTTTGCATTCAAGTCATAGAGTTGAACATTCCCTTTCATACAGCAGGTTTGAAACACTCTTTTTGTAGTATGTGGAAGTGGACATTTGGAGCGCTTTGAGGCCTACGGTGAAAAAGGAAATATCTTCCCATAAAAACTAGACAGAAGCAATCTCAGAAACTTGTTTGTGACGTGTGTATTCAACTAACAGAGTTGAACCTTTCTTTTTACAGAGCAGCTTTGAAACCCTGTTTCTGTGGAATCTGCAATTGGAAATTTCGATAGTTCTGAGGATTTCGTTGGAAACGGGATTACAAATAGAAAGTAGACAGCAGCATTCTCAGAAACTGCTTTGTGATGTTTGCATTCAAGTCACCTAGTTGAACATTCCCTTTCATAGAGCAGGTTTGAATCACTGTTTCTGTCGTATCTGGAAGTGGATATTTCGAGCGTTTTCAGGCCTAAGGTGAGAAAGGAAATGTCTTCAAATAAGAACTAGACAGAAGCATTCTCAGAAACTTATTTGTGATGTGTGTCCTCAACTAACAGAGTTGAACCTTTCTTTTGACACAGCAGTTTGGAAACACTCTTTTTGTAGAATCTACAAGTGGATATTTTCAGAGCATTGAAAATTTCGTTGGAAACGGGAAAACCTTCATATAAAATCTAGACAGAAGCATTCTCAGAAACTTCTTTGTAATGTTTGCATTCAACTCATAGAGTTGAACATTCCCTTTCATACAGCAGGTTTGAAACACTCTTTTTGTAGTATGTGGAAGTGGACATTTGGAGCGCTTTGAGGCCTACGGTGAAAAAGGAAATATCTTCCCATAAAAACTAGACAGAAGCATTCTCAGAAACTTGTTTGTGACGTGTGTATTCAACTAACAGAGTTGAACCTTTCTTTTTACAGAGCAGCTTTGAAACCCTGTTTCTGTGGAATCTGCAATTGGAAATTTCGATAGTTCTGAGGATTTCGTTGGAAACGGGATTACAAATAGAAAGTAGACAGCAGCATTCTCAGAAACTGCTTTGTGATGTTTGCATTCAAGTCACATAGTTGAACATTCCCTTTCATAGAGCAGGTTTGAATCACTGTTTCTGTAGTATCTGGAAGTGGGTATTTCGAGCGCTTTCAGGCCTAAGGTGAGAAAGGAAATGTCTTCAAATAAGAACTAGACAGAAGCATTCTCAGAAACTTATTTGTGATGTGTGTCCTCAACTAACAGAGATGAACCTTTGTTTTGATACAGCAGTTTGGAAACACTCTTTTTGTAGAATCTACAAGAGGATATTTTGAGAGCATTGAAAATTTCGTTGGAAGCGGGAAAACCTTCATATAAAATCTAGACAGCAGCATTCTCAGAAACTTCTTTGTGATGTTTGCATTCAACTCATAGAGTTGAACATTCCCATTCATACAGCAGGTTTGAGACACTCTTTGTATAGCATGTGGAAATGGATATTTGGAGCGCTTTGAGGCCTATGGTGAAGAAGGAAATATCTTCCCAAAAAACTAGACGAAAGCATTCTCGGAATCTTGTTTGCCATGTGTGTACTCAACTAACAGAGTTGAACCTATCTTTTGACAGAGCAGTTTTGAAACACTCTTTTTGTGGAATCTGCAAGTGGATATTTGGATAGCTTCGAGGATTTCGTTGGAAACGGGAATATCCTCATTTAAAATCTAGACGGAAGCATTCTCAGAACCTGCTTTGTGATGTTTGCATTCAACTCACAGAGCTGAACATTCCCGTTCATAGAGCAGGTTTGAAACAGTCTTTCTGTACTATCTGGAAATGGACATTTCGAGCGCTTTCAGGCCTATGGTGAAAAAGGAAACATCTTCAAATAAAAACTAGACAGAAGCATTCTCAGAAACTTATTTGTGATGTGTGTCCTCAACTCACAGAGTTCAACCTTTGTTTTGATACAGCAGTTTGGAAACACTCTTTTTGTAGAATCTACAAATGGATATTTGGAGACCTTTGAAAATTTCGTTGGACACGGGAATATCTTCATATAAAATCTAGACAAAAGCATTCTCAGAATCTTCTTTGTGATGTTTGCATTCAACTCATAGAGTTGAACGTTCCCTTTCATACAGCACGTTTGAAACACACTTTGTGGAGTATGTGGAAATGGACATTTCGAGCACTCTTAGGCCTAAGGTGAAAAGGGAAATATCTTCAAATAAAAACTAGTCAGCAGCATTCTCAGAAACCTCTTTGTGATGTGTGTACTCAACTAACAGAGTTGAACCTTCCTTTTCACAGAGCAGTTTGGAAACACTCTTTTTGTGGCATTTGCAAGTGGATATTTGGATAGCTTTGAGGATTTCGTTGGAAACGGGAATATTTTCATATAAAATCTAGACAGAAGCATTCTCAGAATCTTCTTTGTGATGTATGCCCTCAATTCACAGAGTTGAACCTTTGTTTGGATACAGCATTTTGGAAACATTCCTTTTGTAGAATCTGCAAGTTGATATTTGGATAGTTTGAGGATTTCGTTGGAAACGGGAATATCTACATATAAAATCTAGACAGAAGCATTCTCAGAAACCTCTTTGTAATGCTTGCATTCAACTCATAGGTTTCAACATTCCCTATCATAGAGCAGGTTTGAAACACTCTTTTTGTAGTATGTGGAAGTGGACATTTGGAGCGCTTTGAGGCCTACGGTGAAAAAGGAAATATCTTCCCATAAAAACTAGACAGAAGCATTCTCAGAAACTTGTTTGTGACGTGTGTATTCAACTAACAGAGTTGAACCTTTCTTTTTACAGAGCAGCTTTGAAACCCTGTTTCTGTGGAATCTGCAATTGGAAATTTCGATAGTTCTGAGGATTTCGTTGCAAACGGGATTACAAATAGAAAGTAGACAGCAGCATTCTCAGAAACTGCTTTGTGATGTTTGCATTCAAGTCACATTGTTGAACATTCCCTTTCATAGAGCAGGTTTGAAACACTGTTTCTGTAGTATCTGGAAGTGGGTATTTCGAGCACTTTCAGGCCTAAGGTGAGAAAGGAAATGTCTTCAAATAAGAACTAGACAGAAGCATTCTCAGAAACTTATTTGTGATGTGTGTCCTCAACTAACAGAGATGAACCTTTGTTTTGATACAGCAGTTTGGAAACACTCTTTTTGTAGAATCTACAAGAGGATATTTTGAGAGCATTGAAAATTTCGTTGGAAGCGGGAAAACCTTCATATAAAATCTAGACAGCAGCATTCTCAGAAACTTCTTTGTGATGTTTGCATTCAACTCATAGAGTTGAACATTCCCATTCATACAGCAGGTTTGAGACACTCTTTGTATAGCATGTGGAAATGGATATTTGGAGCGCTTTGAGGCCTATGGTGAAGAAGGAAATATCTTCCCAAAAAAACTAGACGAAAGCATTCTCGGAATCTTGTTTGCCATGTGTGTACTCAACTAACAGAGTTGAACCTATCTTTTGACAGAGCAGTTTTGAAACACTCTTTTTGTGGAATCTGCAAGTGGATATTTGGATAGCTTCGAGGATTTCGTTGGAAACGGGAATATCCTCATTTAAAACCTAGACGGAAGCATTCTCAGAACCTGCTTTGTGATGTTTGCATTCAACTCACAGAGCTGAACATTCCCGTTCATAGAGCAGGTTTGAAACACTCTTTCTGTACTATCTGGAAGTGGACATTTCGAGCGCTTTCAGGCCTATGGTGAAAAAGGAAACATCTTCAAATAAAAACTAGACAGAAGCATTCTCAGAAACTTATTTGTGATGTGTGTCCTCAACTCACAGAGTTCAACCTTTGTTTTGATACAGCAGTTTGGAAACACTCTTTTTGTAGAATCTACAAATGGATATTTGGAGACCTTTGAAAATTTCGTTGGACACGGGAATATCTTCATATAAAATCTAGACAAAAGCATTCTCAGAGTCTTCTTTGTGATGTTTGCATTCAACTCATAGAGTTGAACATTCCCTTTCATACAGCACGTTTGAAACACACTTTGTGGAGTATGTGGAAATGGACATTTCGAGCACTCTAAGGCCTAAGGTGAAAAGGGAAATATCTTCAAATAAAAACTAGTCAGCAGCATTCTCAGAAACCTCTTTGTGATGTGTGTACTCAACTAACAGAGTTGAACCTTCCTTTTCACAGAGCAGTTTGGAAACACTCTTTTTGTGGCATTTACAAGTGGATATTTGGATAGCTTTGAGGATTTCGTTGGAAACGGGAATATTTTCATATAAAATCTAGACAGAAGCATTCTCAGAATCTTCTTTGTGATGTATTCCCTCAATTCACAGAGTTGAACCTTTGTTTGGATACAGCATTTTGGAAACATTCCTTTTGTAGAATCTGCAAGTTGATATTTGGATAGCTTTGAGGATTTCGTTGGAAACGGGAATATCTACATATAAAATCTAGACAGAAGCATTCTCAGAAACCTCTTTGTAATGCTTGCATTCAACTCATAGGTTTCAACATTCCCTATCATAGAGCAGGTTTGAAACACTCTTTTTGTAGTATGTGGAAGTGGACATTTGGAGCGCTTTGAGGCCTACCGTGAAAAAGGAAATATCTTCCCATAAAAACTAGACAGAAGCATTCTCAGAAACTTGTTTGTGACGTGTGTATTCAACTAACAGAGTTGAACCTTTCTTTTTACAGAGCAGCTTTGAAACACGCTTTTTGTGGAATCTGCAATTGGAAATTTCGATAGTTCTGAGGATTTCGGTGGAAACGGGATTACAAATAGAAAGTAGACAGCAGCATTCTCAGAAACTTATTTGTGATGTGTGTCCTCAACTAACAGAGTTGAACCTTTCTTTTGACACAGCAGTTTGGAAACACTCTTTTTGTAGAATCTACAAGTGGATATTTTGAGAGCATTGAAAATTTCGTTGGAAACGGGAAAACCTTCATATAAAATCTAGACAGAAGCATTCTCAGAAACTTCTTTGTAATGTTTGCATTCAACTCATAGAGTTGAACATTCCCTTTCATAGAGCAGGTTTGAAACACTCTTTTTGTAGTATGTGGAAGTGGACATTTGGAGCGCTTTGAGGCCTACGGTGAAAAAGGAAATATCTTCCCATAAAAACTAGACAGAAGCATTCTCAGAAACTTGTTTGTGACGTGTGTATTCAACTAACAGAGTTGAACCTTTCTTTTTACAGAGCAGCTTTGAAACCCTGTTTCTGTGGAATCTGCAATTGGAAATTTCGATAGTTCTGAGGATTTCGTTGGAAACGGGATTACAAATAGAAAGTAGACAGCAGCATTCTCAGAAACTGCTTTGTGATGTTTGCATTCAAGTCACCTAGTTGAACATTCCCTTTCATAGAGCAGGTTTGAATCACTGTTTCTGTAGTATCTGGAAGTGGGTATTTCGAGCGCTTTCAGGCCTAAGGTGAGAAAGGAAATGTCTTCAAATAAGAACTAGACAGGAAGCATTCTCAGAAACTTATTTGTGATGTGTGTCCTCAACTAACAGAGATGAACCTTTGTTTTGATACAGCAGTTTGGAAACACTCTTTTTGTAGAATCTACAAGAGGATATTTTGAGAGCATTGAAAATTTCGTTGGAAGCGGGAAAACCTTCATATAAAATCTAGACAGCAGCATTCTCAGAAACTTCTTTGTGATGTTTGCATTCAACTCATAGAGTTGAACATTCCCATTCATACAGCAGGTTTGAGACACTCTTTGTATAGCATGTGGAAATGGATATTTGGAGCGCTTTGAGGCCTATGGTGAAGAAGGAAATATCTTCCCAAAAAAACTAGACGAAAGCATTCTCGGAATCTTGTTTGCCATGTGTGTACTCAACTAACAGAGTTGAAACTATCTTTTGACAGAGCAGTTTTGAAACACTCTTTTTGTGGAATCTGCAAGTGGATATTTGGATAGCTTCGAGGATTTCGTTGGAAACGGGAATATCCTCATTTAAAATCTAGACGGAAGCATTCTCAGAACCTGCTTTGTGATGTTTGCATTCAACTCACAGAGCTGAACATTCCCGTTCATAGAGCAGGTTTGAAACACTCTTTCTGTACTATCTGGAAGTGGACATTTCGAGCGCTTTCAGGCCTATGGTGAAAAAGGAAACATCTTCAAATAAAAACTAGACAGAAGCATTCTCAGAAACTTATTTGTGATGTGTGTCCTCAACTCACAGAGTTCAACCTTTGTTTTGATACAGCAGTTTGGAAACACTCTTTTTGTAGAATCTACAAATGGATATTTGGAGACCTTTGAAAATTTCGTTGGACACGGGAATATCTTCATATAAAATCTAGACAAAAGCATTCTCAGAATCTTCTTTGTGATGTTTGCATTCAACTCATAGAGTTGAACATTCCCTTTCATACAGCACGTTTGAAACACACTTTGTGGAGTATGTGGAAATGGACATTTCGAGCACTCTTAGGCCTAAGGTGAAAAGGGAAATATCTTCAAATAAAAACTAGTCAGCAGCATTCTCAGAAACCTCTTTGTGATGTGTGTACTCAACTAACAGAGTTGAACCTTCCTTTTCACAGAGCAGTTTGGAAACACTCTTTTTGTGGCATTTGCAAGTGGATATTTGGATAGCTTTGAGGATTTCGTTGGAAACGGGAATATTTTCATATAAAATGCTAGACAGAAGCATTCTCAGAATCTTCTTTGTGATGTATGCCCTCAATTCACAGAGTTGAACCTTTGTTTGGATACAGCATTTTGGAAACATTCCTTTTGTAGAATCTGCAAGTTGATATTTGGATAGCTTTGAGGATTTCGTTGGAAACGGGAATATCTACATATAAAATCTAGACAGAAGCATTCTCAGAAACCTCTTTGTAATGCTTGCATTCAACTCATAGGTTTCAACATTCCCTATCATAGAGCAGGTTTGAAACACTCTTTTTGTAGTATGTGGAAGTGGACATTTGGAGCGCTTTGAGGCCTACGGTGAAAAAGGAAATATCTTCCCATAAAAACTAGACAGAAGCATTCTCAGAAACTTGTTTGTGACGTGTGTATTCAACTAACAGAGTTGAACCTTTCTTTTTACAGAGCAGCTTTGAAACCCTGTTTCTGTGGAATCTGCAATTGGAAATTTCGATAGTTCTGAGGATTTCGTTGGAAACGGGATTACAAGTAGAAAGTAGACAGCAGCATTCTCAGAAACTGCTTTGTGATGTTTGCATTCAAGTCACCTAGTTGAACATTCCCTTTCATAGAGCAGGTTTGAATCACTGTTTCTGTAGTATCTGGAAGTGGGTATTTCGAGCGCTTTCAGGCCTAAGGTGAGAAAGGAAATGTCTTCAAATAAGAACTAGACAGAAGCATTCTCAGAAACTTATTTGTGATGTGTGTCCTCAACTAACAGAGATGAACCTTTCTTTTGATACAGCAGTTTGGAAACACTCTTTTTGTAGAATCTACAAGAGGATATTTTGAGAGCATTGAAAATTTCGTTGGAAGCGGGAAAACCTTCATATAAAATCTAGACAGCAGCATTCTCAGAAACTTCTTTGTGATGTTTGCATTCAACTCATAGAGTTGAACATTCCCATTCATACAGCAGGTTTGAGACACTCTTTGTATAGCATGTGGAAATGGATATTTGGAGCGCTTTGAGGCCTATGGTGAAGAAGGAAATATCTTCCCAAAAAAACTAGACGAAAGCATTCTCAGAATCTTGTTTGCCATGTGTGTACTCAACTAACAGAGTTGAACCTATCTTTTGACAGAGCAGTTTTGAAACACTCTTTTTGTGGAATCTGCAAGTGGATATTTGGATAGCTTCGAGGATTTTGTTGGAAACGGGAATATCCTCATTTAAAATCTAGACGGAAGCATTCTCAGAACCTGCTTTGTGATGTTTGCATTCAACTCACAGAGCTGAACATTCCCGTTCATAGAGAAGGTTTGAAACACTCTTTCTGTACTATCTGGAAGTGGACATTTCGAGCGCTTTCAGGCCTATGGTGAAAAAGGAAACATCTTCAAATAAAAACTAGACAGAAGCATTCTCAGAAACTTATTTGTGATGTGTGTCCTCAACTCACAGAGTTCAACCTTTGTTTTGATACAGCAGTTTGGAAACACTCTTTTTGTAGAATCTACAAATGGATATTTGGAGACCTTTGAAAATTTCGTTGGACACGGGAATATCTTCATATAAAATCTAGACAAAAGCATTCTCAGAGTCTTCTTTGTGATGTTTGCATTCAACTCATAGAGTTGAACATTCCCTTTCATACAGCACGTTTGAAACACACTTTGTGGAGTATGTGGAAATGGACATTTCGAGCACTCTTAGGCCTAAGGTGAAAAGGGAAATATCTTCAAATAAAAACTAGTCAGCAGCATTCTCAGAAACCTCTTTGTGATGTGTGTACTCAACTAACAGAGTTGAACCTTCCTTTTCACAGAGCAGTTTGGAAACACTCTTTTTGTGGCATTTGCAAGTGGATATTTGGATAGCTTTGAGGATTTCGTTGGAAACGGCAATATTTTCATATAAAATCTAGACAGAAGCATTCTCAGAATCTTCTTTGTGATGTATGCCCTCAATTCACAGAGTTGAACCTTTGTTTGGATACAGCATTTTGGAAACATTCCTTTTGTAGAATCTGCAAGTTGATATTTGGATAGCTTTGAGGATTTCGTTGGAAACGGGAATATCTACATATAAAATCTAGACAGAAGCATTCTCAGAAACCTCTTTGTAATGCTTGCATTCAACTCATAGGTTTCAACATTCCCTATCATAGAGCAGGTTTGAAACACTCTTTTTGTAGTATGTGGAAGTGGACATTTGGAGCGCTTTGAGGCCTACGGTGAAAAAGGAAATATCTTCCCATAAAAACTAGACAGAAGCATTCTCAGAAACTTGTTTGTGACGTGTGTATTCAACTAACAGAGTTGAACCTTTCTTTTTACAGAGCAGCTTTGAAACCCTGTTTCTGTGGAATCTGCAATTGGAAATTTCGATGGTTCTGAGGATTTCGTTGGAAACGGGATTACAAATAGAAAGTAGACAGCAGCATTCTCAGAAACTGCTTTGTGATGTTTGCATTCAAGTCACCTAGTTGAACATTCCCTTTCATAGAGCAGGTTTGAATCACTGTTTCTGTCGTATCTGGAAGTGGATATTTCGAGCGTTTTCAGGCCTAAGGTGAGAAAGGAAATGTCTTCAAATAAGAACTAGACAGAAGCATTCTCAGAAACTTATTTGTGATGTGTGTCCTCAACTAACAGAGTTGAACCTTTCTTTTGACACAGCAGTTTGGAAACACTCTTTTTGTAGAATCTACAAGTGGATATTTTGAGAGCATTGAAAATTTCTTTGGAAACGGGAAAACCTTCATATAAAATCTAGACAGAAGCATTCTCAGAAACTTCTTTGTAATGTTTGCATTCAACTCATAGAGTTGAACATTCCCTTTCATACAGCAGGTTTGAAACACTCTTTTTGTAGTATGTGGAAGTGGACATTTGGAGCGCTTTGAGGCCTACGGTGAAAAAGGAAATATCTTCCCATAAAAACTAGACAGAAGCATTCTCCGAAACTTGTTTGTGACGTGTGTATTCAACTAACAGAGTTGAACCTTTCTTTTTACAGAACAGCTTTGAAAACCTGTTTTTGTGTAATCTGCAATTGGAAATTTCGATAGTTCTAAGGATTTCGTTGGAAACGGGATTACAAATAGAAAGTAGACAGCAGCATTCTCAGAAACTGCTTTGTGATGTTTGCATTCAAGTCACATAGTTGAAAATTCCCTTTCATAGAGCAGGTTTGAATCACTGTTTCTGTAGTATCTGGAAGTGGGTATTTCGAGCGCTTTCAGGCCTAAGGTGAGAAAGGAAATGTCTTCAAATAAGAACTAGACAGAAGCATTCTCAGAAACTTATTTGTGATGTGTGTCCTCAACTAACAGAGATGAACCTTTGTTTTGATACAGCAGTTTGGAAACACTCTTTTTGTAGAATCTACAAGAGGATATTTTGAGAGCATTGAAAATTTCGTTGGAAGCGGGAAAACCTTCATATAAAATCTAGACAGCAGCATTCTCAGAAACTTCTTTGTGATGTTTGCATTCAACTCATAGAGTTGAACATTCCCATTCATACAGCAGGTTTGAGACACTCTTTGTATAGCATGTGGAAATGGATATTTGGAGCGCTTTGAGGCCTATGGTGAAGAAGGAAATATCTTCCCAAAAAAACTAGACGAAAGCATTCTCGCAATCTTGTTTGCCATGTGTGTACTCAACTAACAGAGTTGAACCTATCTTTTGACAGAGCAGTTTTGAAACACTCTTTTTGTGGAATCTGCAAGTGGATATTTGGATAGCTTCGAGGATTTCGTTGGAAACGGGAATATCCTCATTTAAAATGCTAGACGGAAGCATTCTCAGAACCTGCTTTGTGATGTTTGCATTCAACTCACAGAGCTGAACATTCCCGTTCATAGAGCAGGTTTGAAACACTCTTTCTGTACTATCTGGAAGTGGACATTTCGAGCGCTTTCAGGCCTATGGTGAAAAAGGAAACATCTTCAAATAAAAACTAGACAGGAAGCATTCTCAGAAACTTATTTGTGATGTGTGTCCTCAACTCACAGAGTTCAACCTTTGTTTTGATACAGCAGTTTGGAAACACTCTTTTTGTAGAATCTACAAATGGATATTTGGAGACCTTTGAAAATTTCGTTGGACACGGGAATATCTTCATATAAAATCTAGACAAAAGCATTCTCAGAGTCTTCTTTGTGATGTTTGCATTCAACTCATAGAGTTGAACATTCCCTTTCATACAGCACGTTTGAAACGCACTTTGTGGAGTATGTGGAAATGGACATTTCGAGCACTCTTAGGCCTAAGGTGAAAAGGGAAATATCTTCAAATAAAAACTAGTCAGCAGCATTCTCAGAAACCTCTTTGTGATGTGTGTACTCAACTAACAGAGTTGAACCTTCCTTTTCACAGAGCAGTTTGGAAACACTCTTTTTGTGGCATTTGCAAGTGGATATTTGGATAGCTTTGAGGATTTCGTTGGAAACGGGAATATTTTCATATAAAATCTAGACAGAAGCATTCTCAGAATCTTCTTTGTGATGTATGCCCTCAATTCACAGAGTTGAACCTTTGTTTGGATACAGCATTTTGGAAAAATCCCTTTTGTAGAATCTGCAAGTTGATATTTGGATAGCTTTGAGGATTTCGTTGGAAACGGGAATATCTACATATAAAATCTAGACAGAAGCATTCTCAGAAACCTCTTTGTAATGCTTGCATTCAACTCATAGGTTTCAACATTCCCTATCATAGAGCAGGTTTGAAACACTCTTTTTGTAGTATGTGGAAGTGGACATTTGGAGCGCTTTGAGGCCTACGGTGAAAAAGGAAATATCTTCCCATAAAAACTAGACAGAAGCATTCTCAGAAACTTGTTTGTGACGTGTGTATTCAACTAACAGAGTTGAACCTTTCTTTTTACAGAGCAGCTTTGAAACACGCTTTTTGTGGAATCTGCAATTGGAAATTTCGATAGTTCTGAGGATTTCGTTATAAACGGGATTACAAATAGAAAGTAGACAGCAGCATTCTCAGAAACTGCTTTGTGATGTTTGCATTCAAGTCACCTAGTTGAACATTCCCTTTCATAGAGCAGGTTTGAATCACTGTTTCTGTCGTATCTGGAAGTGGATATTTCGAGCGTTTTCAGGCCTAAGGTGAGAAAGGAAATGTCTTCAAATAAGAACTAGACAGAAGCATTCTCAGAAACTTATTTGTGATGTGTGTCCTCAACTAACAGAGTTGAACCTTTCTTTTGACACAGCAGTTTGGAAACACTCTTTTTGTAGAATCTACAAGTGGATATTTTGAGAGCATTGAAAATTTCCTTGGAAACGGGAAAACCTTCATATAAAATCTAGACAGAAGCATTCTCAGAAACTTCTTTGTGATGTTTGCATTCAACTCATAGAGTTGAACATTCCCATTCATACAGCAGGTTTGAGACACTCTTTGTATAGCATGTGGAAATGGATATTTGGAGCGCTTTGAGGCCTATGGTGAAGAAGGAAATATCTTCCCAAAAAAACTAGACGAAAGCATTCTCGGAATCTTGTTTGCCATGTGTGTACTCAACTAACAGAGTTGAACCTATCTTTTGACAGAGCAGTTTTGAAACACTCTTTTTGTGGAATCTGCAAGTGGATATTTGGATAGCTTCGAGGATTTCGTTGGAAACGGGAATATCCTCATTTAAAATCTAGACGGAAGCATTCTCAGAACCTGCTTTGTGATGTTTGCATTCAACTCACAGAGCTGAACATTCCCATTCATAGAGCAGGTTTGAAACACTCTTTCTGTACTATCTGGAAGTGGACATTTCGAGCGCTTTCAGGCCTATGGTGAAAAAGGA
This sequence comes from Homo sapiens, assembly GCF_000001405.40. NCBI lineage: Eukaryota > Metazoa > Chordata > Mammalia > Primates > Hominidae > Homo > Homo sapiens. Next base: position 19,497,049 of record NC_000015.10, read on the forward strand.
AACATCTTCAAATAAAAACTAGACAGAAGCATTCTCAGAAACTTATTTGTGATGTGTGTCCTCAACTCACAGAGTTCAACCATTGTTTTGATACAGCAGTTTGGAAACACTCTTTTTGTAGAATCTACAAATGGATATTTGGAGACCTTTGAAAATTTCGTTGGACACGGGAATATCTTCATATGAAATCTAGACAAAAGCATTCTCAGAATCTCCTTTGTGATGTTTGCATTCAACTCATAGAGTTGAATATTCCCTTTCATACAGCACGTTTGAAACACACTTTGTGGAGTATGTGGAAATGGACATTTCGAGCACTCTTAGGCCTAAGGTGAAAAGGGAAATATCTTCAAATAAAAACTAGTCAGCAGCATTCTCAGAAACCTCTTTGTGATGTGTGTACTCAACTAACAGAGTTGAACCTTCCTTTTCACAGAGCAGTTTGGAAACACTCTTTTTGTGGCATTTGCAAGTGGATATTTGGATAGCTTTGAGGATTTCGTTGGAAACGGGAATATTTTCATATAAAATCTAGACAGAAGCATTCTCAGAATCTTCTTTGTGATGTATGCCCTCAATTCACAGAGTTGAACCTTTGTTTGGATACAGCATTTTGGAAACATTCCTTTTGTAGAACCTGCAAGTTGATATTTGGATAGCTTTGAGGATTTCGTTGGAAACGGGAATATCTACATATAAAATCTAGACAGAAGCATTCTCAGAAACCTCTTTGTAATGCTTGCATTCAACTCATAGGTTTCAACATTCCCTATCATAGAGCAGGTTTGAAACACTCTTTTTGTAGTATGTGGAAGTGGACATTTGGAGCGCTTTGAGGCCTACAGTGAAAAAGGAAATATCTTCCCATAAAAACTAGACAGAAGCATTCTCAGAAACTTGTTTGTGACGTGTGTATTCAACTAACAGAGTTGAACCTTTCTTTTTACAGAGCAGCTTTGAAACCCTGTTTCTGTGGAATCTGCAATTGGAAATTTCGATAGTTCTGAGGATTTCGTTGGAAACGGGATTACAAATAGAAAGTAGACAGCAGCATTCTCAGAAACTGCTTTGTGATGTTTGCATTCAAGTCACATTGTTGAACATTCCCTTTCATAGAGCAGGTTTGAAACACTGTTTCTGTAGTATCTGGAAGTGGGTATTTCGAGCACTTTCAGGCCTAAGGTGAGAAAGGAAATGTCTTCAAATAAGAACTAGACAGAAGCATTCTCAGAAACTTATTTGTGATGTGTGTCCTCAACTAACAGAGATGAACCTTTGTTTTGATACAGCAGTTTGGAAACACTCTTTTTGTAGAATCTACAAGAGGATATTTTGAGAGCATTGAAAATTTCGTTGGAAGCGGGAAAACCTTCATATAAAATCTAGACAGCAGCATTCTCAGAAACTTCTTTGTGATGTTTGCATTCAACTCATAGAGTTGAACATTCCCATTCATACAGCAGGTTTGAGACACTCTTTGTATAGCATGTGGAAATGGATATTTGGAGCGCTTTGAGGCCTATGGTGAAGAAGGAAATATCTTCCCAAAAAAACTAGACGAAAGCATTCTCGCAATCTTGTTTGCCATGTGTGTACTCAACTAACAGAGTTGAACCTATCTTTTGACAGAGCAGTTTTGAAACACTCTTTTTGTGGAATCTGCAAGTGGATATTTGGATAGCTTCGAGGATTTCGTTGGAAACGGGAATATCCTCATTTAAAATCTAGACGGAAGCATTCTCAGAACCTGCTTTGTGATGTTTGCATTCAACTCACAGAGCTGAACATTCCCGTTCATAGAGCAGGTTTGAAACACTCTTTCTGTACTATCTGGAAGTGGACATTTCGAGCGCTTTCAGGCCTATGGTGAAAAAGGAAACATCTTCAAATAAAAACTAGACAGAAGCATTCTCAGAAACTTATTTGTGATGTGTGTCCTCAACTCACAGAGTTCAACCTTTGTTTTGATACAGCAGTTTGGAAACACTCTTTTTGTAGAATCTACAAATGGATATTTGGAGACCTTTGAAAATTTCGTTGGACACCGGGAATATCTTCATATAAAATCTAGACAAAAGCATTCTCAGAATCTTCTTTGTGATGTTTGCATTCAACTCATAGAGTTGAACATTCCCTTTCATACAGCACGTTTGAAACACACTTTGTGGAGTATGTGGAAATGGACATTTCGAGCACTCTTAGGCCTAAGGTGAAAAGGGAAATATCTACAAATAAAAACTAGTCAGCAGCATTCTCAGAAACCTCTTTGTGATGTGTGTACTCAACTAACAGAGTTGAACCTATCTTTTGACAGAGCAGTTTGGAAACACTCTTTTTGTGGCATTTGCAAGTGGATATTTGGATAGCTTTGAGGATTTCGTTGGAAACGGGAATATTTTCATATAAAATCTACACAGAAGCATTCTCAGAATCTTCTTTGTGATGTATGTCCTCAATTCACAGAGTTGAACCTTTGTTTGGATACAGCATTTTGGAAACATTCCTTTTGTAGAATCTGCAAGTTGATATTTGGATAGCTTTGAGGATTTCGTTGGAAACGGGAATATCTACATATAAAATCTAGACAGAAGCATTCTCAGAAACCTCTTTGTAATGCTTGCATTCAACTCATAGGTTTCAACATTCCCTATCATAGAGCAGGTTTGAAACACTCTTTTTGTAGTATGTGGAAGTGGACATTTGGAGCGCTTTGAGGCCTACGGTGAATAAAGGAAATATCTTCCCATAAAAACTAGACAGAAGCATTCTCAGAAACTTGTTTGTGACGTGTGTATTCAACTAACAGAGTTGAACCTTTCTTTTTACAGAGCAGCTTTGAAACACGCTTTTTGTGGAATCTGCAATTGGAAATTTCGATAGTTCTGAGGATTTCGTTGGAAACGGGATTACAAATAGAAAGTAGACAGCAGCATTCTCAGAAACTGCTTTGTGATGTTTGCATTCAAGTCACCTAGTTGAACATTTCCTTTCATAGAGCAGGTTTGAATCACAGTTTCTGTCGTATCTGGAAGTGGATATTTCGAGCGCTTTCAGGCCTAAGGTGAGAAAGGAAATGTCTTCAAATAAGAACTAGACAGAAGCATTCTCAGAAACTTATTTGTGATGTGTGTCCTCAACTAACAGAGATGAACCTTTGTTTTGATACAGCAGTTTGGAAACACTCTTTTTGTAGAATCTACAAGAGGATATTTTGAGAGCATTGAAAATTTCGTTGGAAGCGGGAAAACCTTCATATAAAATCTAGACAGCAGCATTCTCAGAAACTTCTTTGTGATGTTTGCATTCAACTCATAGAGTTGAACATTCCCATTCATACAGCAGGTTTGAGACACTCTTTGTATAGCATGTGGAAATGGATATTTGGAGCGCTTTGAGGCCTATGGTGAAGAAGGAAATATCTTCCCAAAAAAACTAGACGAAAGCATTCTCGCAATCTTGTTTGCCATGTGTGTACTCAACTAACAGAGTTGAACCTATCTTTTGACAGAGCAGTTTTGAAACACTCTTTTTGTGGAATCTGCAAGTGGATATTTGGATAGCTTCGAGGATTTCGTTGGAAACGGGAATATCCTCATTTAAAATACTAGACGGAGCATTCTCAGAACCTGCTTTGTGATGTTTGCATTCAACTCACAGAGCTGAACATTCCCGTTCATAGAGCAGGTTTGAAACACTCTTTCTGTACTATCTGGAAGTGGACATTTCGAGCGCTTTCAGGCCTATGGTGAAAAAGGAAACATCTTCAAATAAAAACTAGACAGAAGCATTCTCAGAAACTTATTTGTGATGTGTGTCCTCAACTCACAGAGTTCAACCTTTGTTTTGATACAGCAGTTTGGAAACACTCTTTTTGTAGAATCTACAAATGGATATTTGGAGACCTTTGAAAATTTTGTTGGACACGGGAATATCTTCATATAAAATCTAGACAAAAGCATTCTCAGAATCTTCTTTGTGATGTTTGCATTCAACTCATAGAGTTGAACATTCCCTTTCATACAGCACGTTTGAAACACACTTTGTGGAGTATGTGGAAATGGACATTTCGAGCACTCTTAGGCCTAAGGTGAAAAGGGAAATATCTTCAAATAAAAACTAGTCAGCAGCATTCTCAGAAACCTCTTTGTGATGTGTGTACTCAACTAACAGAGTTGAACCTTCCTTTTCACAGAGCAGTTTGGAAACACTCTTTTTGTGGCATTTGCAAGTGGATATTTGGATAGCTTTGAGGATTTCGTTGGAAACGGGAATATTTTCATATAAAATCTAGACAGAAGCATTCTCAGAATCTTCTTTGTGATGTATGCCCTCAATTCACAGAGTTGAACCTTTGTTTGGATACAGCATTTTGGAAACATTCCTTTTGTAGAATCTGCAAGTTGATATTTGGATAGCTTTGAAGATTTCGTTGGAAACGGGAATATCTACATATAAAATCTAGACAGGAAGCATTCTCAGAAACCTCTTTGTAATGCTTGCATTCAACTCATAGGTTTCAACATTCCCTATCATAGAGCAGGTTTGAAACACTCTTTTTGTAGTATGTGGAAGTGGACATTTGGAGCGCTTTGAGGCCTACGGTGAAAAAGGAAATATCTTCCCATAAAAACTAGACAGAAGCATTCTCAGAAACTTGTTTGTGACGTGTGTATTCAACTAACAGAGTTGAACCTTTCTTTTTACAGAGCAGCTTTGAAACACGCTTTTTGTGGAATCTGCAATTGGAAATTTCGATAGTTCTGAGGATTTCGTTGGAAACGGGATTACAAATAGAAAGTAGACAGCAGCATTCTCAGAAACTGCTTTGTGATGTTTGCATTCAAGTCACCTAGTTGAACATTCCCTTTCATAGAGCAGGTTTGAATCACTGTTTCTGTCGTATCTGGAAGTGGATATTTCGAGCGTTTTCAGGCCTAAGGTGAGAAAGGAAATGTCTTCAAATAAGAACTAGACAGAAGCATTCTCAGAAACTTATTTGTGATGTGTGTCCTCAACTAACAGAGTTGAACCTTTCTTTTGACACAGCAGTTTGGAAACACTCTTTTTGTAGAATCTACAAGTGGATATTTTGAGAGCATTGAAAATTTCGTTGGAAACGGGAAAACCTTCATATAAAATCTAGACAGAAGCATTCTCAGAAACTTCTTTGTAATGTTTGCATTCAACTCATAGAGTTGAACATTCCCTTTCATACAGCAGGTTTGAAACACTCTTTTTGTAGTATGTGGACGTGGACATTTGGAGCGCTTTGAGGCCTACGGTGAAAAAGGAAATATCTTCCCATAAAAACTAGACAGAAGCATTCTCAGAAACTTGTTTGTGACGTGTGTATTCAACTAACAGAGTTGAACCTTTCTTTTTACAGAGCAGCTTTGAAACCCTGTTTCTGTGGAATCTGCAATTGGAAATTTCGATAGTTCTGAGGATTTCGTTGGAAACGGGATTACAAATAGAAAGTAGACAGCAGCATTCTCAGAAACTGCTTTCTGATGTTTGCATTCAAGTCACCTAGATGAACATTCCCTTTCATAGAGCAGGTTTGAATCACTGTTTCTGTAGTATCTGGAAGTGGGTATTTCGAGCGCTTTCAGGCCTAAGGTGAGAAAGGAAATGTCTTCAAATAAGAACTAGACAGAAGCATTCTCAGAAACTTATTTGTGATGTGTGTCCTCAACTAACAGAGATGAACCTTTGTTTTGATACAGCAGTTTGGAAACACTCTTTTTGTAGAATCTACAAGAGGATATTTTGAGAGCATTGAAAATTTCGTTGGAAGCGGGAAAACCTTCATATAAAATCTAGACAGCAGCATTCTCAGAAACTTCTTTGTGATGTTTGCATTCAACTCATAGAGTTGAACATTCCCATTCATACAGCAGGTTTGAGACACTCTTTGTATAGCATGTGGAAATGGATATTTGGAGCGCTTTGAGGCCTATGGTGAAGAAGGAAATATCTTCCCAAAAAAACTAGACGAAAGCATTCTCGGAATCTTGTTTGCCATGTGTGTACTCAACTAACAGAGTAGAACCTATCTTTTGACAGAGCAGTTTTGAAACACTCTTTTTGTGGAATCTGCAAGTGGATATTTGGATAGCTTCGAGGATTTCGTTGGAAACGGGAATATCCTCATTTAAAATCTAGACGGAAGCATTCTCAGAACCTGCTTTGTGATGTTTGCATTCAACTCACAGAGCTGAACATTCCCGTTCATAGAGCAGGTTTGAAACACTCTTTCTGCACTATCTGGAAGTGGACATTTCGAGCGCTTTCAGGCCTATGGTGAAAAAGGAAACATCTTCAAATAAAAACTAGACAGAAGCATTCTCAGAAACTTATTTGTGATGTGTGTCCTCAACTCACAGAGTTCAACCTTTGTTTTGATACAGCAGTTTGGAAACACTCTTTTTGTAGAATCTACAAATGGATATTTGGAGAACTTTGAAAATTTCGTTGGACACGGGAATATCTTCATATAAAATCTAGACAAAAGCATTCTCAGAATCTTCTTTGTGATGTTTGCATTCAACTCATAGAGTTGAACATTCCCTTTCATACAGCACGTTTGAAACACACTTTGTGGAGTATGTGGAAATGGACATTTCGAGCACTCTTAGGCCTAAGGTGAAAAGGGAAATATCTTCAAATAAAAACTAGTCAGCAGCATTCTCAGAAACCTCTTTGTGATGTGTGTACTCAACTAACAGAGTTGAACCTTCCTTTTCACAGAGCAGTTTGGAAACACTCTTTTTGTGGCATTTGCAAGTGGATATTTGGATAGCTTTGAGGATTTCGTTGGAAACGGGAATATTTTCATATAAAATGCTAGACAGAAGCATTCTCAGAATCTTCTTTGTGATGTATGCCCTCAATTCACAGAGTTGAACCTTTGTTTGGATACAGCATTTTGGAAACATTCCTTTTGTAGAATCTGCAAGTTGATATTTGGATAGTTTGAGGATTTCGTTGGAAACGGGAATATCTACATATAAAATCTAGACAGAAGCATTCTCAGAAACCTCTTTGTAATGCTTGCATTCAACTCATAGGTTTCAACATTCCCTATCATAGAGCAGGTTTGAAACACTCTTTTTGTAGTATGTGGAAGTGGACATTTGGAGCGCTTTGAGGCCTACGGTGAAAAAGGAAATATCTTCCCATAAAAACTAGACAGAAGCATTCTCAGAAACTTGTTTGTGACGTGTGTATTCAACTAACAGAGTTGAACCTTTCTTTTTACAGAGCAGCTTTGAAACACGCTTTTTGTGGAATCTGCAATTGGAAATTTCGATAGTTCTGAGGATTTCGTTGGAAACGGGATTACAAATAGAAAGTAGACAGCAGCATTCTCAGAAACTGCTTTGTGATGTTTGCATTCAAGTCACCTAGTTGAACATTCCCTTTCATAGAGCAGGTTTGAATCACTGTTTCTGTCGTATCTGGAAGTGGATATTTCGAGCGTTTTCAGGCCTAAGGTGAGAAAGGAAATGTCTTCAAATAAGAACTAGACAGAAGCATTCTCAGAAACTTATTTGTGATGTGTGTCCTCAACTAACAGAGATGAACCTTTGTTTTGATACAGCAGTTTGGAAACACTCTTTTTGTAGAATCTACAAGAGGATATTTTGAGAGCATTGAAAATTTCGTTGGATGCGGGAAAACCTTCATATAAAATCTAGACAGCAGCATTCTCAGAAACTTCTTTGTGATGTTTGCATTCAACTCATAGAGTTGAACATTCCCATTCATACAGCAGGTTTGAGACACTCTTTATATAGCATGTGGAAATGGATATTTGGAGCGCTTTGAGGCCTATGGTGAAGAAGGAAATATCTTCCCAAAAAAACTAGACGAAAGCATTCTCGGAATCTTGTTTGCCATGTGTGTACTCAACTAACAGAGTTGAACCTATCTTTTGACAGAGCAGTTTTGAAACACTCTTTTTGTGGAATCTGCAAGTGGATATTTGGATAGCTTCGAGGATTTCGTTGGAAACGGGAATATCCTCATATAAAATCTAGACGGAAGCATTCTCAGAACCTGCTTTGTGATGTTTGCATTCAACTCACAGAGCTGAACATTCCCGTTCATAGAGCAGGTTTGAAACACTCTTTCTGTACTATCTGGAAGTGGACATTTCGAGCGCTTTCAGGCCTATGGTGAAAAAGGAAACATCTTCAAATAAAAACTAGACAGAAGCATTCTCAGAAACTTATTTGTGATGTGTGTCCTCAACTCACAGAGTTCAACCTTTGTTTTGATACAGCAGTTTGGAAACACTCTTTTTGTAGAATCTACAAATGGATATTTGGAGACCTTTGAAAATTTCGTTGGACACGGGAATATCTTCATATAAAATCTAGACAAAAGCATTCTCAGAATCTTCTTTGTGATGTTTGCATTCAACTCATAGAGTTGAACATTCCCTTTCATACAGCACGTTTGAAACACACTTTGTGGAGTATGTGGAAATGGACATTTCGAGCACTCTTAGGCCTAAGGTGAAAAGGGAAATATCTTCAAATAAAAACTAGTCAGCAGCATTCTCAGAAACCTCTTTGTGATGTGTGTACTCAACTAACAGAGTTGAACCTTCCTTTTCACAGAGCAGTTTGGAAACACTCTTTTTGTGGCATTTGCAAGTGGATATTTGGATAGCTTTGAGGATTTCGTTGGAAACGGGAATATTTTCATATAAAATCTAGACAGAAGCATTCTCAGAATCTTCTTTGTGATGTATGCCCTCAATTCACAGAGGTTGAACCTTTGTTTGGATACAGCATTTTGGAAACATTCCTTTTGTAGAATCTGCAAGTTGATATTTGGATAGCTTTGAGGATTTCGTTGGAAACGGGAATATCTACATATAAAATCTAGACAGAAGCATTCTCAGAAACCTCTTTGTAATGCTTGCATTCAACTCATAGGTTTCAACATTCCCTATCATAGAGCAGGTTTGAAACACTCTTTTTGTAGTATGTGGAAGTGGACATTTGGAGCGCTTTGAGGCCTACCGTGAAAAAGGAAATATCTTCCCATAAAAACTAGACAGAAGCATTCTCAGAAACTTGTTTGTGACGTGTGTATTCAACTAACAGAGTTGAACCTTTCTTTTTACAGAGCAGCTTTGAAACACGCTTTTTGTGGAATCTGCAATTGGAAATTTCGATAGTTCTGAGGATTTCGTTGGAAACGGGATTACAAATAGAAAGTAGACAGCAGCATTCTCAGAAACTGCTTTGTGATGTTTGTATTCAAGTCACCTAGTTGAACATTCCCTTTCATAGAGCAGGTTTGAATCACTGTTTCTGTCGTATCTGGAAGTGGATATTTCGAGCGTTTTCAGGCCTAAGGTGAGAAAGGAAATGTCTTCAAATAAGAACTAGACAGAAGCATTCTCAGAAACTTATTTGTGATGTGTGTCCTCAACTAACAGAGTTGAACCTTTCTTTTGACACAGCAGTTTGGAAACACTCTTTTTGTAGAATCTACAAGTGGATATTTTGAGAGCATTGAAAATTTCGTTGGAAACGGGAAAACCTTCATATAAAATCTAGACAGAAGCATTCTCAGAAACTTCTTTGTAATGTTTGCATTCAACTCATAGAGTTGAACATTCCCTTTCATACAGCAGGTTTGAAACACTCTTTTTGTAGTATGTGGACGTGGACATTTGGAGCGCTTTGAGGCCTACGGTGAAAAAGGAAATATCTTCCCATAAAAACTAGACAGAAGCATTCTGAGAAACTTGTTTGTGACGTGTGTATTCAACTAACAGAGTTGAACCTTTCTTTTTACAGAGCAGCTTTGAAACCCTGTTTCTGTGGAATCTGCAATTGGAAATTTCGATAGTTCTGAGGATTTCGTTGGAAACGGGATTACAAATAGAAAGTAGACAGCAGCATTCTCAGAAACTGCTTTGTGATGTTTGCATTCAAGTCACCTAGTTGAACATTCCCTTTCATAGAGCAGGTTTGAATCACTGTTTCTGTAGTATCTGGAAGTGGGTATTTCGAGCGCTTTCAGGCCTAAGGTGAGAAAGGAAATGTCTTCAAATAAGAACTAGACAGAAGCATTCTCAGAAACTTATTTGTGATGTGTGTCCTCAACTAACAGAGATGAACCTTTGTTTTGATACAGCAGTTTGGAAACACTCTTTTTGTAGAATCTACAAGAGGATATTTTGAGAGCATTGAAAATTTTGTTGGAAGCGGGAAAACCTTCATATAAAATCTAGACAGCAGCATTTCTCAGAAACTTCTTTGTGATGTTTGCATTCAACTCATAGAGTTGAACATTCCCATTCATACAGCAGGTTTGAGACACTCTTTGTATAGCATGTGGAAATGGATATTTGGAGCGCTTTGAGGCCTATGGTGAAGAAGGAAATATCTTCCCAAAAAAACTAGACGAAAGCATTCTCGCAATCTTGTTTGCCATGTGTGTACTCAACTAACAGAGTTGAACCTATCTTTTGACAGAGCAGTTTTGAAACACTCTTTTTGTGGAATCTGCAAGTGGATATTTGGATAGCTTCGAGGATTTCGTTGGAAACGGGAATATCCTCATTTAAAATCTAGACGGAAGCATTCTCAGAACCTGCTTTGTGATGTTTGCATTCAACTCAAGAGCTGAACATTCCCGTTCATAGAGCAGGTTTGAAACACTCTTTCTGTACTATCTGGAAGTGGACATTTCGAGCGCTTTCAGGCCTATGGTGAAAAAGGAAACATCTTCAAATAAAAACTAGACAGAAGCATTCTCAGAAACTTATTTGTGATGTGTGTCCTCAACTCACAGAGTTCAACCTTTGTTTTGATACAGCAGTTTGGAAACACTCTTTTTGTAGAATCTACAAATGGATATTTGGAGAACTTTGAAAATTTCGTTGGACATGGGAATATCTTCATATAAAATCTAGACAAAAGCATTCTCAGAATCTTCTTTGTGATGTTTGAATTCAACTCATAGAGTTGAACATTCCCTTTCATACAGCACGTTTGAAACACACTTTGTGGAGTATGTGGAAATGGACATTTCGAGCACTCTTAGGCCTAAGGTGAAAAGGGAAATATCTTCAAATAAAAACTAGTCAGCAGCATTCTCAGAAACCTCTTTGTGATGTGTGTACTCAACTAACAGAGTTGAACCTTCCTTTTCACAGAGCAGTTTGGAAACACTCTTTTTGTGGCATTTGCAAGTGGATATTTGGATAGCTTTGAGGATTTCGTTGGAAACGGGAATATTTTCATATAAAATCTAGACAGAAGCATTCTCAGAATCTTCTTTGTGATGTATGCCCTCAATTCACAGAGTTGAACCTTTGTTTGGATACAGCATTTTGGAAACATTCCTTTTGCAGAATCTGCAAGTTGATCTTTGGATAGCTTTGAGGATTTCGTTGGAAACGGGAATATCTACATATAAAATCTAGACAGAAGCATTCTCAGAAACCTCTTTGTAATGCTTGCATTCAACTCATAGGTTTCAACATTCCCTATCATAGAGCAGGTTTGAAACACTCTTTTTGTAGTATGTGGAAGTGGACATTTGGAGCGCTTTGAGGCCTACCGTGATAAAGGAAATATCTTCCCATAAAAACTAGACAGAAGCATTCTCAGAAACTTGTTTGTGACGTGTGTATTCAACTAACAGAGTTGAACCTTTCTTTTTACAGAGCAGCTTTGAAACACGCTTTTTGTGGAATCTGCAATTGGAAATTTCGATAGTTCTGAGGATTTCGTTGGAAACGGGATTACAAATAGAAAGTAGACAGCAGCATTCTCAGAAACTGCTTTGTGATGTTTGCATTCAAGTCACATAGTTGAACATTCCCTTTCATAGAGCAGGTTTGAATCACTGTTTCTGTAGTATCTGGAAGTGGGTATTTCGAGCGCTTTCAGGCCTAAGGTGAGAAACGAAATGTCTTCAAATAAGAACTAGACAGAAGCATTCTCAGAAACTTATTTGTGATGTGTGTCCTCAACTAACAGAGATGAACCTTTGTTTTGATACAGCAGTTTGGAAACACTCTTTTTGTAGAATCTACAAGAGGATATTTTGAGAGCATTGAAAATTTCGTTGGAAGCGGGAAAACCTTCATATAAAATCTAGACAGAAGCATTCTCAGAAACTTCTTTGTGATGTTTGCATTCAACTCATAGAGTTGAACATTCCCATTCATACAGCAGGTTTGAGACACTCTTTGTATAGCATGTGGAAATGGATATTTGGAGCGCTTTGAGGCCTATGGTGAAGAAGGAAATATCTTCCCAAAAAAACTAGACGAAAGCATTCTCGCAATCTTGTTTGCCATGTGTGTACTCAACTAACAGAGTTGAACCTATCTTTTGACAGAGCAGTTTTGAAACACTCTTTTTGTGGAATCTGCAAGTGGATATTTGGATAGCTTCGAGGATTTCGTTGGAAACGGGAATATCCTCATTTAAAATCTAGACGGAAGCATTCTCGGAACCTGCTTTGTGATGTTTGCATTCAACTCACAGAGCTGAACATTCCCGTTCATAGAGCAGGTTTGAAACACTCTTTCTGTACTATCTGGAAGTGGACATTTCGAGCGCTTTCAGGCCTATGGTGAAAAAGGAAACATCTTCAAATAAAAACTAGACAGAAGCATTCTCAGAAACTTATTTGTGATGTGTGTCCTCAACTCACAGAGTTCAACCTTTGTTTTGATACAGCAGTTTGGAAACACTCTTTTTGTAGAATCTACAAATGGATATTTGGAGACCTTTGAAAATTTCGTTGGACACGGGAATATCTTCATATAAAATCTAGACAAAACCATTCTCAGAATCTTCTTTGTGATGTTTGCATTCAACTCATAGAGTTGAACATTCCCTTTCATACAGCACGTTTGAAACACACTTTGTGGAGTATGTGGAAATGGACATTTCGAGCACTCTTAGGCCTAAGGTGAAAAGGGAAATATCTTCAAATAAAAACTAGTCAGCAGCATTCTCAGAAACCTCTTTGTGATGTGTGTACTCAACTAACAGAGTTGAACCTTCCTTTTCACAGAGCAGTTTGGAAACACTCTTTTTGTGGCATTTGCAAGTGGATATTTGGATAGCTTTGAGGATTTCGTTGGAAACGGGAATATTTTCATATAAAATTTAGACAGAAGCATTCTCAGAATCTTCTTTGTGATGTATGCCCTCAATTCACAGAGTTGAACCTTTGTTTGGATACAGCATTTTGGAAACATTCCTTTTGTAGAATCTGCAAGTTGATATTTGGATAGCTTTGAGGATTTCGTTGGAAACGGGAATATCTACATATAAAATCTAGACAGAAGCATTCTCAGAAACCTCTTTCTAATGTTTGCATTCAACTCATAGGTTTCAACATTCCCTATCATAGAGCAGGTTTGAAACACTCTTTTTGTAGTATGTGGAAGTGGACATTTGGAGCGCTTTGAGGCCTACGGTGAAAAAGGAAATATCTTCCCATAAAAACTAGACAGAAGCATTCTCAGAAACTTGTTTGTGACGTGTGTATTCAACTAACAGAGTTGAACCTTTCTTTTTACAGAGCAGCTTTGAAACCCTGTTTCTGTGGAATCTGCAATTGGAAATTTCGATAGTTCTGAGGATTTCGTTGGAAACGGGATTACAAATAGAAAGTAGACAGCAGCATTCTCAGAAACTGCTTTGTGATGTTTGCATTCAAGTCACCTAGTTGAACATTCCCTTTCATAGAGGAGGTTTGAATCACTGTTTCTGTCGTATCAGGAAGTGGATATTTCGAGCGTTTTCAGGCCTAAGGTGAGAAAGGAAATGTCTTCAAATAAGAACTAGACAGAAGCATTCTCAGAAACTTATTTGTGATGTGTGTCCTCAACTAACAGAGATGAACCTTTGTTTTGATACAGCAGTTTGGAAACACTCTTTTTGTAGAATCTACAAGAGGATATTTTGAGAGCATTGAAAATTTCGTTGGAAGCGGGAAAACCTTCATATAAAATCTAGACAGCAGCATTCTCAGAAACTTCTTTGTGATGTTTGCATTCAACTCATAGAGGTGAACATTCCCATTCATACAGCAGGTTTGAGACACTCTTTGTATAGCATGTGGAAATGGATATTTGGAGCGCTTTGAGGCCTATGGTGAAGAAGGAAATATCTTCCCAAAAAAACTAGACGAAAGCATTCTCGCAATCTTGTTTGCCATGTGTGTACTCAACTAACAGAGTTGAACCTATCTTTTGACAGAGCAGTTTTGAAACACTCTTTTTGTGGAATCTGCAAGTGGATATTTGGATAGCTTCGAGGATTTCGTTGGAAACGGGAATATCCTCATTTAAAATCTAGACGGAAGCATTCTCAGAACCTGCTTTGTGATGTTTGCATTCAACTCACAGAGCTGAACATTCCCGTTCATAGAGCAGGTTTGAAACACTCTTTCTGTACTATCTGGAAGTGGACATTTCGAGCGCTTTCAGGCCTATGGTGAAAAAGGAAACATCTTCAAATAAAAACTAGACAGGAAGCATTCTCAGAAACTTATTTGTGATGTGTGTCCTCAACTCACAGAGTTCAACCTTTGTTTTGATACAGCAGTTTGGAAACACTCTTTTTGTAGAATCTACAAATGGATATTTGGAGACCTTTGAAAATTTCGTTGGACACGGGAATATCTTCATATAAAATCTAGACAAAAGCATTCTCAGAATCTTCTTTGTGATGTTTGCATTCAACTCATAGAGTTGAACGTTCCCTTTCATACAGCACGTTTGAAACACACTTTGTGGAGTATGTGGAAATGGACATTTCGAGCACTCTTAGGCCTAAGGTGAAAAGGGAAATATCTTCAAATAAAAACTAGTCAGCAGCATTCTCAGAAACCTCTTTGTGATGTGTGTACTCAACTAACAGAGTTGAACCTTCCTTTTCACAGAGCAGTTTGGAAACACTCTTTTTGTGGCATTTGCAAGTGGATATTTGGATAGCTTTGAGGATTTCGTTGGAAACGGGAATATTTTCATATAAAATCTAGACAGAAGCATTCTCAGAATCTTCTTTGTGATGTATGCCCTCAATTCACAGAGTTGAACCTTTGTTTGTATACAGCATTTTGGAAACATTCCTTTTGTAGAATCTGCACGTTGATATTTGGATAGCTTTGAGGATTTCGTTGGAAACGGGAATATCTACATATAAAATCTAGACAGAAGCATTCTCAGAAACCTCTTTGTAATGTTTGCATTCAACTCATAGGTTTCAACATTCCCTATCATAGAGCAGGTTTGAAACACTCTTTTTGTAGTATGTGGAAGTGGACATTTGGAGCGCTTTGAGGCCTACGGTGAAAAAGGAAATATCTTCCCATAAAAACTAGACAGAAGCATTCTCAGAAACTTGTTTGTGACGTGTGTATTCAACTAACAGAGTTGAACCTTTCTTTTTACAGAGCAGCTTTGAAACACGCTTTTTGTGGAATCTGCAATTGGAAATTTCGATAGTTCTGAGGATTTCGTTGGAAACGGGATTACAAATAGAAAGTAGACAGCAGCATTCTCAGAAACTGCTTTGTGATGTTTGCATTCAAGTCACCTAGTTGAACATTCCCTTTCGTAGAGCAGGTTTGAATCACAGTTTCTGTCGTATCTGGAAGTGGATATTTCGAGCGTTTTCAGGCCTAAGGTGAGAAAGGAAATGTCTTCAAATAAGAACTAGACAGAAGCATTCTCAGAAACTTATTTGTGATGTGTGTCCTCAACTAACAGAGATGAACCTTTGTTTTGATACAGCAGTTTGGAAACACTCTTTTTGTAGAATCTACAAGAGGATATTTTGAGAGCATTGAAAATTTCGTTGGAAGCGGGAAAACCTTCATATAAAATCTAGACAGCAGCATTCTCAGAAACTTCTTTGTGATGTTTGCATTCAACTCATAGAGTTGAACATTCCCATTCATACAGCAGGTTTGAGACACTCTTTGTATAGCATGTGGAAATGGATATTTGGAGCGCTTTGAGGCCTATGGTGAAGAAGGAAATATCTTCCCAAAAAAACTAGACGAAAGCATTCTCGGAATCTTGTTTGCCATGTGTGTACTCAACTAACCGAGTTGAACCTATCTTTTGAGAGAGCAGTTTTGAAACACTCTTTCTGTGGAATCTGCAAGTGGATATTTGGATAGCTTCGAGGATTTCCTTGGAAACGGGAATATCCTCATTTAAAATCTAGACGGAAGCATTCTCAGAACCTGCTTTGTGATGTTTGCATTCAACTCACGGAGCTGAACATTCCCGTTCATAGAGCAGGTTTGAAACACTCTTTCTGTACTATCTGGAAGTGGACATTTTGAGCGCTTTCAGGCCTATGGTGAAAAAGGAAACATCTTCAAATAAAAACTAGACAGAAGCATTCTCAGAAACTTATTTGTGATGTGTGTCCTCAACTCACAGAGTTCAACCTTTGTTTTGATACAGCAGTTTGGAAACACTCTTTTTGTAGAATCTACAAATGGATATTTGGAGACCTTTGAAAATTTCGTTGGACACGGGAATATCTTCATATAAAATCTAGACAAAAGCATTCTCAGAGTCTTCTTTGTGATGTTTGCATTCAACTGATAGAGTTGAACATTCCCTTTCATACAGCACGTTTGAAACACACTTTGTGGAGTATGTGGAAATGGACATTTCGAGCACTCTTAGGCCTAAGGTGAAAAGGGAAATATCTTCAAATAAAAACTAGTCAGGAGCATTCTCAGAAACCTCTTTGTGATGTGTGTACTCAACTAACAGAGTTGAACCTTCCTTTTCACAGAGCAGTTTGGAAACACTCTTTTTGTGGCATTTGCAAGTGGATATTTGGATAGCTTTGAGGATTTCGTTGGAAACGGGAATATTTTCATATAAAATCTAGACAGAAGCATTCTCAGAATCTTCTTTGTGATGTATTCCCTCAATTCACAGAGTTGAACCTTTGTTTGGATACAGCATTTTGGAAACATTCCTTTTGTAGAATCTGCAAGTTGATATTTGGATAGCTTTGAGGATTTCGTTGGAAACGGGAATATCTACATATAAAATCTAGACAGAAGCATTCTCAGAAACCTCTTTGTAATGCTTGCATTCAACTCATAGGTTTCAACATTCCCTATCATAGAGCAGGTTTGAAACACTCTTTTTGTAGTATGTGGAAGTGGACATTTGGAGCGCTTTGAGGCCTACGGTGAAAAAGGAAATATCTTCCCATAAAAACTAGACAGAAGCATTCTCAGAAACTTGTTTGTGACGTGTGTATTCAACTAACAGAGTTGAACCTTTCTTTTTACAGAGCAGCTTTGAAACACGCTTTTTGTGGAATCTGCAATTGGAAATTTCGATAGTTCTGAGGATTTCGTTGGAAACGGGATTACAAATAGAAAGTAGACAGCAGCATTCTCAGAAACTGCTTTGTGATGTTTGCATTCAAGTCACCTAGTTGAACATTCCCTTTCATAGAGCAGGTTTGAATCACTGTTTCTGTCGTATCTGGAAGTGGATATTTCGAGCGTTTTCAGGCCTAAGGTGAGAAAGGAAATGTCTTCAAATAAGAACTAGACAGAAGCATTCTCAGAAACTTATTTGTGATGTGTGTCCTCAACTAACAGAGTTGAACCTTTCTTTTGACACAGCAGTTTGGAAACACTCTTTTTGTAGAATCTACAAGTGGATATTTTGAGAGCATTGAAAATTTCGTTGGAAACGGGAAAACCTTCATATAAAAAATAGACAGAAGCATTCTCAGAAACTTCTTTGTAATGTTTGCATTCGACTCATAGAGTTGAACATTCCCTTTCATACAGCAGGTTTGAAACACTCTTTTTGTAGTATGTGGAAGTGGACATTTGGAGCGCTTTGAGGCCTACGGTGAAAAAGGAAATATCTTCCCATAAAAACTAGACAGAAGCATTCTCAGAAACTTGTTTGTGACGTGTGTATTCAACTAACAGAGTTGAACCTTTCTTTTTACAGAGCAGCTTTGAAACCCTGTTTCTGTGGAATCTGCAATTGGAAATTTCGATAGTTCTGAGGATTTCGTTGGAAACGGGATTACAAATAGAAAGTAGACAGCAGCATTCTCAGAAACTGCTTTGTGATGTTTGCATTCAAGTCACATAGTTGAACATTCCCTTTCATAGAGCAGGTTTGAATCACTGTTTCTGTAGTATCTGGAAGTGGGTATTTCGAGCGCTTTCAGGCCTAAGGTGAGAAAGGAAATGTCTTCAAATAAGAACTAGACAGAAGCATTCTCAGAAACTTATTTGTGATGTGTGTCCTCAACTAACAGAGATGAACCTTTGTTTTGATACAGCAGTTTAGAAACACTCTTTTTGTAGAATCTACAAGAGGATATTTTGAGAGCATTGAAAATTTCGTTGGAAGCGGGAAAACCTTCATATAAAATCTAGACAGCAGCATTCTCAGAAACTTCTTTGTGATGTTTGCATTCAACTCATAGAGTTGAACATTCCCATTCGTACAGCAGGTTTGAGACACTCTTTGTATAGCATGTGGAAATGGATATTTGGAGCGCTTTGAGGCCTATGGTGAAGAAGGAAATATCTTCCCAAAAAAACTAGACGAAAGCATTCTCGCAATCTTGTTTGCCATGTGTGTACTCAACTAACAGAGTTGAACCTATCTTTTGACAGAGCAGTTTTGAAACACTCTTTTTGTGGAATCTGCAAGTGGATATTTGGATAGCTTCGAGGATTTCGTTGGAAACGGGAATATCCTCATTTAAAATCTAGACGGAAGCATTCTCGGAACCTGCTTTGTGATGTTTGCATTCAACTCACAGAGCTGAACATTCCCGTTCATAGAGCAGGTTTGAAACACTCTTTCTGTACTATCTGGAAGTGGACATTTCGAGCGCTTTCAGGCCTATGGTGAAAAAGGAAACATCTTCAAATAAAAACTAGACAGAAGCATTCTCAGAAACTTATTTGTGATGTGTGTCCTCAACTCACAGAGTTCAACCTTTGTTTTGATACAGCAGTTTGGAAACACTCTTTTTGTAGAATCTACAAATGGATATTTGGAGACCTTTGAAAATTTCGTTGGACACGGGAATATCTTCATATAAAATCTAGACAAAAGCATTCTCAGAATCTTCTTTGTGATGTTTGCATTCAACTCATACAGTTGAACATTCCCTTTCATACAGCACGTTTGAAACACACTTTGTGGAGTATGTGGAAATGGACATTTCGAGCACTCTTAGGCCTAAGGTGAAAAGGGAAATATCTTCAAATAAAAACTAGTCAGCAGCATTCTCAGAAACCTCTTTGTGATGTGTGTACTCAACTAACAGAGTTGAACCTTCCTTTTCACAGAGCAGTTTGGAAACACTCTTTTTGTGGCATTTGCAAGTGGATATTTGGATAGCTTTGAGGATTTCGTTGGAAACGGGAATATTTTCATATAAAATCTAGACAGAAGCATTCTCAGAATCTTCTTTGTGATGTATGCCCTCAATTCACAGAGTTGAACCTTTGTTTGGATACAGCATTTTGGAAACATTCCTTTTGCAGAATCTGCAAGTTGATATTTGGATAGCTTTGAGGATTTCGTTGGAAACGGGAATATCTACATATAAAATCTAGACAGAAGCATTCTCAGAAACCTCTTTGTAATGCTTGCATTCAACTCATAGGTTTCAACATTCCCTATCATAGAGCAGGTTTGAAACACTCTTTTTGTAGTATGTGGAAGTGGACATTTGGAGCGCTTTGAGGCCTACGGTGAAAAAGGAAATATCTTCCCATAAAAACTAGACAGAAGCATTCTCAGAAACTTGTTTGTGACGTGTGTATTCAACTAACAGAGTTGAACCTTTCTTTTTACAGAGCAGCTTTGAAACACGCTTTTTGTGGAATCTGCAATTGGAAATTTCGATAGTTCTGAGGATTTCGGTGGAAACGGGATTACAAATAGAAAGTAGACAGCAGCATTCTCAGAAACTTATTTGTGATGTGTGTCCTCAACTAACAGAGTTGAACCTTTCTTTTGACACAGCAGTTTGGAAACACTCTTTTTGTAGAATCTACAAGTGGATATTTTGAGAGCATTGAAAATTTCGTTGGAAACGGGAAAACCTTCATATAAAATCTAGACAGAAGCATTCTCAGAAACTTCTTTGTAATGTTTGCATTCTACTCATAGAGTTGAACATTCCCTTTCATACAGCAGGTTTGAAACACTCTTTTTGTAGTATGTGGAAGTGGACATTTGGAGCGCTTTGAGGCCTACGGTGAAAAAGGAAATATCTTCCCATAAAAACTAGACAGAAGCATTCTCAGAAACTTGTTTGTGACGTGTGTATTCAACTAACAGAGTTGAACCTTTCTTTTTACAGAGCAGCTTTGAAACCCTGTTTCTGTGGAATCTGCAATTGGAAATTTCGATAGTTCTGAGGATTTCGTTGCAAACGGGATTACAAATAGAAAGTAGACAGCAGCATTCTCAGAAACTGCTTTGTGATGTTTGCATTCAAGTCACCTAGTTGAACATTCCCTTTCATAGAGCAGGTTTGAATCACTGTTTCTGTCGTATCTGGAAGTGGATATTTCGAGCGTTTTCAGGCCTAAGGTGAGAAAGGAAATGTCTTCAAATAAGAACTAGACAGAAGCATTCTCAGAAACTTATTTGTGATGTGTGTCCTCAACTAACAGAGTTGAACCTTTTTTTTGACACAGCAGTTTGGAAACACTCTTTTTGTAGAATCTACAAGAGGATATTTTGAGAGCATTGAAAATTTCGTTGGAAACGGGAAAACCTTCATATAAAATCTAGACAGAAGCATTCTCAGAAACTTCTTTGTAATGTTTGCATTCAACTCATAGAGTTGAACATTCCCTTTCATACAGCAGGTTTGAAACACTCTTTTTGTAGTATGTGGAAGTGGACATTTGGAGCGCTTTGAGGCCTACGGTGAAAAAGGAAATATCTTCCCATAAAAACTAGACAGAAGCATTCTCAGAAACTTGTTTGTGACGTGTGTATTCAACTAACAGAGTTGAACCTTTCTTTTTACAGAGCAGCTTTGAAACACGCTTTTTGTGGAATCTGCAATTGGAAATTTCGATAGTTCTGAGGATTTCGTTGGAAACGGGATTACAAATAGAAAGTAGACAGCAGCATTGCTCAGAAACTGCTTTGTGATGTTTGCATTCAAGTCACCTAGTTGAACATTCCCTTTCATAGAGCAGGTTTGAATCACTGTTTCTGTCGTATCTGGAAGTGGATATTTCGAGCGTTTTCAAGCCTAAGGTGAGAAAGGAAATGTCTTCAAATAAGAACTAGACAGAAGCATTCTCAGAAACTTATTTGTGATGTGTGTCCTCAACTAACAGAGATGAACCTTTGTTTTGATACAGCAGTTTGGAAACACTCTTTTTGTAGAATCTACAAGAGGATATTTTGAGAGCATTGAAAATTTCGTTGGAAGCGGGAAAACCTTCATATAAAATCTAGACAGCAGCATTCTCAGAAACTTCTTTGTGATGTTTGCATTCAACTCATAGAGTTGAACATTCCCATTCATACAGCAGGTTTGAGACACTCTTTGTATAGCATGTGGAAATGGATATTTGGAGCGCTTTGAGGCCTATGGTGAAGAAGGAAATATCTTCCCAAAAAAACTAGACGAAAGCATTCTCGGAATCTTGGTTAGCCATGTGTGTACTCAACTAACAGAGTTGAACCTATCTTTTGACAGAGCAGTTTTGAAACACTCTTTTTGTGGAATCTGCAAGTGGATATTTGGATAGCTTCGAGGATTTCGTTGGAAACGGGAATATCCTCATTTAAAATCTAGACGGAAGCATTCTCAGAACCTGCTTTGTGATGTTTGCATTCAACTCACAGAGCTGAACATTCCCGTTCATAGAGCAGGTTTGAAACACTCTTTCTGTACTATCTGGAAGTGGACATTTCGAGCGCTTTCAGGCCTATGGTGAAAAAGGAAACATCTTCAAATAAAAACTAGACAGAAGCATTCTCAGAAACTTATTTGTGATGTGTGTCCTCAACTCACAGAGTTCAACCTTTGTTTTGATACAGCAGTTTGGAAACACTCTTTTTGTAGAATCTACAAATGGATATTTGGAGACCTTTGAAAATTTCGTTGGACACGGGAATATCTTCATATAAAATCTAGACAAAAGCATTCTCAGAATCTTCTTTGTGATGTTTGCATTCAACTCATAGAGTTGAACATTCCCTTTCATACAGCACGTTTGAAACACACTTTGTGGAGTATGTGGAAATGGACATTTCGAGCACTCTTAGGCCTAAGGTGAAAAGGGAAATATCTTCAAATAAAAACTAGTCAGCAGCATTCTCAGAAACCTCTTTGTGATGTGTGTACTCAACTAACAGAGTTGAACCTTCCTTTTCACAGAGCAGTTTGGAAACACTCTTTTTGTGGCATTTGCAAGTGGATATTTGGATAGCTTTGAGGATTTCGTTGGAAACGGGAATATTTTCATATAAAATCTAGACAGAAAGCATTCTCAGAATCTTCTTTGTGATGTATGCCCTCAATTCACAGAGTTGAACCTTTGTTTGGATACAGCATTTTGGAAACATTCCTTTTGCAGAATCTGCAAGTTGATATTTGGATAGCTTTGAGGATTTCGTTGGAAACGGGAATATCTACATATAAAATCTAGACAGAAGCATTCTCAGAAACCTCTTTGTAATGCTTGCATTCAACTCATAGGTTTCAACATTCCCTATCATAGAGCAGGTTTGAAACACTCTTTTTGTAGTATGTGGAAGTGGACATTTGGAGCGCTTTGAGGCCTACGGTGAAAAAGGAAATATCTTCCCATAAAAACTAGACAGAAGCATTCTCAGAAACTTGTTTGTGACGTGTGTATTCAACTAACAGAGTTGAACCTTTCTTTTTACAGAGCAGCTTTGAAACCCTGTTTCTGTGGAATCTGCAATTGGAAATTTCGATAGTTCTGAGGATTTCGTTGCAAACGGGATTACAAATAGAAAGTAGACAGCAGCATTCTCAGAAACTGCTTTGTGATGTTTGCATTCAAGTCACCTAGTTGAACATTCCCTTTCATAGAGCAGGTTTGAATCACTGTTTCTGTCGTATCTGGAAGTGGATATTTCGAGCGTTTTCAGGCCTAAGGTGAGAAAGGAAATGTCTTCAAATAAGAACTAGACAGAAGCATTCTCACAAACTTATTTGTGATGTGTGTCCTCAACTAACAGAGTTGAACCTTTCTTTTGACACAGCAGTTTGGAAACACTCTTTTTGTAGAATCTACAAGTGGATATTTTGAGAGCATTGAAAATTTCGTTGGAAACGGGAAAACCTTCATATAAAATCTAGACAGAAGCATTCTCAGAAACTTCTTTGTAATGTTTGCATTCAACTCATAGAGTTGAACATTCCCTTTCATACAGCAGGTTTGAAACACTCTTTTTGTAGTATGTGGAAGTGGACATTTGGAGCGCTTTGAGGCCTACGGTGAAAAAGGAAATATCTTCCCATAAAAACTAGACAGAAGCATTCTCAGAAACTTGTTTGTGACGTGTGTATTCAACTAACAGAGTTGAACCTTTCTTTTTACAGAGCAGCTTTGAAACCCTGTTTCTGTGGAATCTGCAATTGGAAATTTCGATAGTTCTGAGGATTTCGTTGGAAACGGGATTACAAATAGAAAGTAGACAGCAGCATTCTCAGAAACTGCTTTGTGATGTTTGCATTCAAGTCACATAGCTGAACATTCCCTTTCATAGAGCAGGTTTGAATCACTGTTTCTGTAGTATCTGGAAGTGGGTATTTCGAGCGCTTTCAGGCCTAAGGTGAGAAAGGAAATGTCTTCAAATAAGAACTAGACAGAAGCATTCTCAGAAACTTATTTGTGATGTGTGTCCTCAACTAACAGAGATGAACCTTTGTTTTGATACAGCAGTTTGGAAACACTCTTTTTGTAGAATCTACAAGAGGATATTTTGAGAGCATTGAAAATTTCGTTGGAAGCGGGAAAACCTTCATATAAAATCTCGACAGCAGCATTCTCAGAAACTTCTTTGTGATGTTTGCATTCAACTCATAGAGTTGAACATTCCCATTCATACAGCAGGTTTGAGACACTCTTTGTATAGCATGTGGAAATGGATATTTGGAGCGCTTTGAGGCCTATGGTGAAGAAGGAAATATCTTCCCAAAAAAACTAGACGAAAGCATTCTCGCAATCTTGTTTGCCATGTGTGTACTCAACTAACAGTAGTTGAACCTATCTTTTGACAGAGCAGTTTTGAAACACTCTTTTTGTGGAATCTGCAAGTGGATATTTGGATAGCTTCGAGGATTTCGTTGGAAACGGGAATATCCTCATTTAAAATCTAGACGGAAGCATTCTCAGAACCTGCTTTGTGATGTTTGCATTCAACTCACAGAGCTGAACATTCCCGTTCATAGAGCAGGTTTGAAACACTCTTTCTGTACTATCTGGAAGTGGACATTTCGAGCGCTTTCAGGCCTATGGTGAAAAAGGAAACATCTTCAAATAAAAACTAGACAGAAGCATTCTCAGAAACTTATTTGTGATGTGTGTCCTCAACTCACAGAGTTCAACCTTTGTTTTGATACAGCAGTTTGGAAACACTCTTTTTGTAGAATCTACAAATGGATATTTGGAGACCTTTGAAAATTTCGTTGGACACGGGAATATCTTCATATAAAATCTAGACAAAAGCATTCTCAGAATCTTCTTTGTGATGTTTGCATTCAACTCATAGAGTTGAACATTCCCTTTCACACAGCACGTTTGAAACACACTTTGTGGAGTATGTGGAAATGGACATTTCGAGCACTCTTAGGCCTAAGGTGAAAAGGGAAATATCTTCAAATAAAAACTAGTCAGCAGCATTCTCAGAAACCTCTTTGTGATGTGTGTACTCAACTAACAGAGTTGAACCTTCCTTTTCACAGAGCAGTTTGGAAACACTCTTTTTGTGGCATTTGCAAGTGGATATTTGGATAGCTTTGAGGATTTCGTTGGAAACGGGAATATTTTCATATAAAATCTAGACAGAAGCATTCTCAGAATCTTCTTTGTGATGTATGCCCTCAATTCACAGAGTTGAACCTTTGTTTGGATACAGCATTTTGGAAACATTCCTTTTGCAGAATCTGCAAGTTGATATTTGGATAGCTTTGAGGATTTCGTTGGAAACGGGAATATCTACATATAAAATCTAGACAGAAGCATTCTCAGAAACCTCTTTGTAATGCTTGCATTCAACTCATATGTTTCAACATTCCCTATCATAGAGCAGGTTTGAAACACTCTTTTTGTAGTATGTGGAAGTGGACATTTGGAGCGGTTTGAGGCCTACCGTGAAAAAGGAAATATCTTCCCATAAAAACTAGACAGAAGCATTCTCAGAAACTTGTTTGTGACGTGTGTATTCAACTAACAGAGTTGAACCTTTCTTTTTACAGAGCAGCTTTGAAACACGCTTTTTGTGGAATCTGCAATTGGAAATTTCGATAGTTCTGAGGATTTCGTTGGAAACGGGATTACAAATACAAAGTAGACAGCAGCATTCTCAGAAACTGCTTTGTGGATGTTTGCATTCAAGTCACCTAGTTGAACATTCCCTTTCATAGAGCAGGTTTGAATCACTGTTTCTGTCGTATCTGGAAGTGGATATTTCGAGCGTTTTCAGGCCTAAGGTGAGAAAGGAAATGTCTTCAAATAAGAACTAGACAGAAGCATTCTCAGAAACTTATTTGTGATGTGTGTCCTCAACTAACAGAGTTGAACCTTTCTTTTGACACAGCAGTTTGGAAACACTCTTTTTGTAGAATCTACAAGTGGATATTTTGAGAGCATTGAAAATTTCGTTGGAAACGGGAAAACCTTCATATAAAATCTAGACAGAAGCATTCTCAGAAACTTCTTTGTAATGTTTGCATTCAACTCATAGAGTTGAACATTCCCTTTCATACAGCAGGTTTGAAACACTCTTTTTGTAGTATGTGGACGTGGACATTTGGAGCGCTTTGAGGCCTACGGTGAAAAAGGAAGTATCTTCCCATAAAAACTAGACAGAAGCATTCTCAGAAACTTGTTTGTGACGTGTGTATTCAACTAACAGAGTTGAACCTTTCTTTTTACAGAGCAGCTTTGAAACCCTGTTTCTGTGGAATCTGCAATTGGAAATTTCGATAGTTCTGAGGATTTCGTTGGAAACGGGATTACAAATAGAAAGTAGACAGCAGCATTCTCAGAAACTGCTTTGTGATGTTAGCATTCAAGTCACCTAGTTGAACATTCCCTTTCATAGAGCAGGTTTGAATCACTGTTTCTGTCGTATCTGGAAGTGGGTATTTCGAGCGCTTTCAGGCCTAAGGTGAGAAAGGAAATGTCTTCAAATAAGAACTAGACAGAAGCATTCTCAGAAACTTATTTGTGATGTGTGTCCTCAACTAACAGAGATGAACCTTTGTTTTGATACAGCAGTTTGGAAACACTCTTTTTGTAGAATCTACAAGAGGATATTTTGAGAGCATTGAAAATTTCGTTGGAAGCGGGAAAACCTTCATATAAAATCTAGACAGCAGCATTCTCAGAAACTTCTTTGTGATGTTTGCATTCAACTCATAGAGTTGAACATTCCCATTCATACAGCAGGTTTGAGACACTCTTTGTATAGCATGTGGAAATGGATATTTGGAGCGCTTTGAGGCCTATGGTGAAGAAGGAAATATCTTCCCAAAAAAACTAGACGAAAGCATTCTCGGAATCTTGTTTGCCATGTGTGTACTCAGCTAACAGAGTTGAACCTATCTTTTGACAGAGCAGTTTTGAAATACTCTTTTTGTGGAATCTGCAAGTGGATATTTGGATAGCTTCGAGGATTTCGTTGGAAACGGGAATATCCTCATTTAAAATCTAGACGGAAGCATTCTCAGAACCTGCTTTGTGATGTTTGCATTCAACTCACGGAGCTGAACATTCCCGTTCATAGAGCAGGTTTGAAACACTCTTTCTGTACTATCTGGAAGTGGACATTTCGAGCGCTTTCAGGCCTATGGTGAAAAAGGAAACATCTTCAAATAAAAACTAGACAGAAGCATTCTCAGAAACTTATTTGTGATGTGTGTCCTCAACTCACAGAGTTCAACCTTTGTTTTGATACAGCAGTTTGGAAACACTCTTTTTGTAGAATCTACAAATGGATATTTGGAGACCTTTGAAAATTTCGTTGGACACGGGAATATCTTCATATAAAATCTAGACAAAAGCATTCTCAGAATCTTCTTTGTGATGTTTGCATTCAACACATAGAGTTGAACATTCCCTTTCATACAGCACGTTTGAAACACACTTTGTGGAGTATGCGGAAATGGACATTTCGAGCACTCTTAGGCCTAAGGTGAAAAGGGAAATATCTTCAAATAAAAACTAGTCAGCAGCATTCTCAGAAACCTCTTTGTGATGTGTGTACTCAACTAACAGAGTTGAACCTTCCTTTTCACAGAGCAGTTTGGAAACACTCTTTTTGTGGCATTTGCAAGTGGATATTTGGATAGCTTTGAGGATTTCGTTGGAAACGGGAATATTTTCATATAAAATCTAGACAGAAGCATTCTCAGAATCTTCTTTGTGATGTATGCCCTCAATTCACAGAGTTGAACCTTTGTTTGGATACAGCATTTTGGAAACATTCCTTTTGTAGAATCTGCAAGTTGATATTTGGATAGCTTTGAGGATTTCGTTGGAAACGGGAATATCTACATATCAAATCTAGACAGAAGCATTCTCAGAAACCTCTTTGTAATGCTTGCATTCAACTCATAGGTTTCAACATTCCCTATCATAGAGCAGGTTTGAAACACTCTTTTTGTAGTATGTGGAAGTGGACATTTGGAGCGCTTTGAGGCCTACGGTGAAAAAGGAAATATCTTCCCATAAAAACTAGACAGAAGCATTCTCAGAAACTTGTTTGTGACGTGTGTATTCAACTAACAGAGTTGAACCTTTCTTTTTACAGAGCAGCTTTGAAACATGCTTTTTGTGGAATCTGCAATTGGAAATTTCGATAGTTCTGAGGATTTCGTTGGAAACGGGATTACAAATAGAAAGTAGACAGCAGCATTCTCAGAAACTGCTTTGTGATGTTTGCATTCAAGTCACCTAGTTGAACATTCCCTTTCATAGAACAGGTTTGAATCACTGTTTCTGTAGTATCTGGAAGTGGGTATTTCGAGCGCTTTCAGGCCTAAGGTGAGAAAGGAAATGTCTTCAAATAAGAACTAGACAGAAGCATTCTCAGAAACTTATTTGTGATGTGTGTCCTCACCTAACAGAGATGAACCTTTGTTTTGATACAGCAGTTTGGAAACACTCTTTTTGTAGAATCTACAAGAGGATATTTTGAGAGCATTGAAAATTTCGTTGGAAGCGGGAAAACCTTCATATAAAATCTAGACAGCAGCATTCTCAGAAACTTCTTTGTGATGTTTGCATTCAACTCATAGAGTTGAACATTCCCATTCATACAGCAGGTTTGAGACACTCTTTGTATAGCATGTGGAAATGGATATTTGGAGCGCTTTGAGGCCTAT
The DNA here is from genome assembly GCF_000001405.40 of Homo sapiens. Classification (NCBI taxonomy): domain Eukaryota; kingdom Metazoa; phylum Chordata; class Mammalia; order Primates; family Hominidae; genus Homo; species Homo sapiens. Next base: position 19,525,695 of record NC_000015.10, read on the forward strand.
GGTGAAGAAGGAAATATCTTCCCAAAAAAACTAGACGAAAGCATTCTCGCAATCTTGTTTGCCATGTGTGTACTCAACTAACAGAGTTGAACCTATCTTTTGACAGAGCAGTTTTGAAACACTCTTTTTGTGGAATCTGCAAGTGGATATTTGGATAGCTTCGAGGATTTCGTTGGAAACGGGAATATCCTCATTTAAAATCTAGACGGAAGCATTCTCAGAACCTGCTTTGTGATGTTTGCATTCAACTCACAGAGCTGAACATTCCCGTTCATAGAGCAGGTTTGAAACACTCTTTCTGTACTATCTGGAAGTGGACATTTCGAGCGCTTTCAGGCCTATGGTGAAAAAGGAAACATCTTCAAATAAAAACTAGACAGAAGCATTCTCAGAAACTTATTTGTGATGTGTGTCCTCAACTCACAGAGTTCAACCTTTGTTTTGATACAGCAGTTTGGAAACACTCTTTTTGTAGAATCTACAAATGGATATTTGGGGACCTTTGAAAATTTCGTTGGACACGGGAATATCTTCATATAAAATCTAGACAAAAGCATTCTCAGAGTCTTCTTTGTGATGTTTGCATTCAACTCATAGAGTTGAACATTCCCTTTCATACAGCACGTTTGAAACACACTTTGTGGAGTATGTGGAAATGGACATTTCGAGCACTCTTAGGCCTAAGGTGAAAAGGGAAATATCTTCAAATAAAAACTAGTCAGCAGCATTCTCAGAAACCTCTTTGTGATGTGTGTACTCAACTAACAGAGTTGAACCTTCCTTTTCACAGAGCAGTTTGGAAACACTCTTTTTGTGGCATTTGCAAGTGGATATTTGGATAGCTTTGAGGATTTCGTTGGAAACGGGAATATTTTCATATAAAATCTAGACAGAAGCATTCTCAGAATCTTCTTTGTGATGTATTCCCTCAATTCACAGAGTTGAACCTTTGTTTGGATACAGCATTTTGGAAACATTCCTTTTGTAGAATCTGCAAGTTGATATTTGGATAGCTTTGAGGATTTCGTTGGAAACGGGAATATCTACATATAAAATCTAGACAGAAGCATTCTCAGAAACCTCTTTGTAATGCTTGCATTCAACTCATAGGTTTCAACATTCCCTATCATAGAGCAGGTTTGAAACACTCTTTTTGTAGTATGTGGAAGTGGACATTTGGAGCACTTTGAGGCCTACGGTGAAAAAGGAAATATCTTCCCATAAAAACTAGACAGAAGCATTCTCAGAAACTTGTTTGTGACGTGTGTATTCAACTAACAGAGTTGAACCTTTCTTTTTACAGAGCAGCTTTGAAACACGCTTTTTGTGGAATCTGCAATTGGAAATTTCGATAGTTCTGAGGATTTCGTTGGAAACGGGATTACAAATAGAAAGTAGACAGCAGCATTCTCAGAAACTGCTTTGTGATGTTTGCATTCAAGTCACCTAGTTGAACATTCCCTTTCATAGAGCAGGTTTGAATCCCTGTTTCTGTCGTATCTGGAAGTGGATATTTCGAGCGTTTTCAGGCCTAAGGTGAGAAAGGAAATGTCTTCAAATAAGAACTAGACAGAAGCATTCTCAGAAACTTATTTGTGATGTGTGTCCTCAACTAACAGAGATGAACCTTTGTTTTGACACAGCAGTTTAGAAACACTCTTTTTGTAGAATCTACAAGAGGATATTTTGAGAGCATTGAAAATTTCATTGGAAGCGGGAAAACCTTCATATAAAATCTAGACAGCAGCATTCTCAGAAACTTCTTTGTGATGTTTGCATTCAACTCATAGAGTTGAACATTCCCATTCATACAGCAGGTTTGAGACACTCTTTGTATAGTATGTGGAAATGGATATTTGGCGCGCTTTGAGGCCTATGGTGAAGAAGGGAATATCTTCCCAAAAAAACTAGACGAAAGCATTCTCGCAATCTTGTTTGCCATGTGTGTACTCAACTAACAGAGTTGAACCTATCTTTTGACAGAGCAGTTTTGAAACACTCTTTTTGTGGAATCTGCAAGTGGATATTTGGATAGCTTCGAGGATTTCGTTGGAAACGGGAATATCCTCATTTAAAATCTAGACGGAAGCATTCTCAGAACCTGCTTTGTGATGTTTGCATTCAACTCACAGAGCTGAACATTCCCGTTCATAGAGCAGGTTTGAAACACTCTTTCTGTACTATCTGGAAGTGGACATTTCGAGCGCTTTCAGGCCTATGGTGAAAAAGGAAACATCTTCAAATAAAAACTAGACAGAAGCATTCTCAGAAACTTATTTGTGATGTGTGTCCTCAACTCACAGAGTTCAACCTTTGTTTTGATACAGCAGTTTGGAAACACTCTTTTTGTAGAATCTACAAATGGATATTTGGAGACCTTTGAAAATTTCGTTGGACACGGGAATATCTTCATATAAAATCTAGACAAAAGCATTCTCAGAATCTTCTTTGTGATGTTTGCATTCAACTCATAGAGTTGAACATTCCCTTTCATACAGCACGTTTGAAACACACTTTGTGGAGTATGTGGAAATGGACATTTCGAGCACTCTTAGGCCTAAGGTGAAAAGGGAAATATCTTCAAATAAAAACTAGTCAGCAAGCATTCTCAGAAACCTCTTTGTGATGTGTGTACTCAACTAACAGAGTTGAACCTTCCTTTTCACAGAGCAGTTTGGAAACACTCTTTTTGTGGCATTTGCAAGCGGATATTTGGATAGCTTTGAGGATTTCGTTGGAAACGGGAATATTTTCATATAAAATTTAGACAGAAGCATTCTCAGAATCTTCTTTGTGATGTATGCCCTCAATTCACAGAGTTGAACCTTTGTTTGGATACAGCATTTTGGAAACATTCCTTTTGTAGAATCTGCAAGTTGATATTTGGATAGCTTTGAGGATTTCGTTGGAAACGGGAATATCTACATATAAAATCTAGACAGAAGCATTCTCAGAAACCTCTTTGTAATGCTTGCATTCAACTCATAGGTTTCAACATTCCCTATCATAGAGCAGGTTTGAAACACTCTTTTTGTAGTATGTGGAAGTGGACATTTGGAGCACTTTGAGGCCTACGGTGAAAAAGGAAATATCTTCCCATAAAAACTAGACAGAAGCATTCTCAGAAACTTGTTTGTGACGTGTGTATTCAACTAACAGAGTTGAACCTTTCTTTTTACAGAGCAGCTTTGAAACACGCTTTTTGTGGAATCTGCAATTGGAAATTTCGATAGTTCTGAGGATTTCGTTGGAAACGGGATTACAAATAGAAAGTAGACAGCAGCATTCTCAGAAACTGCTTTGTGATGTTTGCATTCAAGTCACATAGTTGAACATTCCCTTTCATAGAGCAGGTTTGAATCACTGTTTCTGTAGTATCTGGAAGTGGGTATTTCGAGCGCTTTCAGGCCTAAGGTGAGAAAGGAAATGTCTTCAAATAAGAACTAGACAGAAGCATTCTCAGAAACTTATTTGTGATGTGTGTCCTCAACTAACAGAGATGAACCTTTGTTTTGATACAGCAGTTTGGAAACACTCTTTTTGTAGAATCTACAAGAGGATATTTTGAGAGCATTGAAAATTTCGTTGGAAGCGGGAAAACCTTCATATAAAATCTAGACAGCAGCATTCTCAGAAACTTCTTTGTGATGTTTGCATTCAACTCATAGAGTTGAACATTCCCATTCATACAGCAGGTTTGAGACACTCTTTGTATAGCATGTGGAAATGGATATTTGGAGCGCTTTGAGGCCTATGGTGAAGAAGGAAATATCTTCCCAAAAAAACTAGACGAAAGCATTCTCGCAATCTTGTTTGCCATGTGTGTACTCAACTAACAGAGTTGAACCTATCTTTTGACAGAGCAGTTTTGAAACACTCTTTTTGTGGAATCTGCAAGTGGATATTTGGATAGCTTCGAGGATTTCGTTCGAAACGGGAATATCCTCATTTAAAATCTAGACGGAAGCATTCTCGGAACCTGCTTTGTGATGTTTGCATTCAACTCACAGAGCTGAACATTCCCGTTCATAGAGCAGGTTTGAAACACTCTTTCTGTACTATCTGGAAGTGGACATTTCGAGCGCTTTCAGGCCTATGGTGAAAAAGGAAACATCTTCAAATAAAAACTAGACAGAAGCATTCTCAGAAACTTATTTGTGATGTGTGTCCTCAACTCACAGAGTTCAACCTTTGTTTTGATACAGCAGTTTGGAAACACTCTTTTTGTAGAATCTACAAATGGATATTTGGAGACCTTTGAAAATTTCGTTGGACACGGGAATATCTTCATATAAAATCTAGACAAAAGCATTCTCAGAGTCTTCTTTGTGATGTTTGCATTCAACTGATAGAGTTGAACATTCCCTTTCATACAGCACGTTTGAAACACACTTTGTGGAGTATGTGGAAATGGACATTTCGAGCACTCTTAGGCCTAAGGTGAAAAGGGAAATATCTTCAAATAAAAACTAGTCAGCAGCATTCTCAGAAACCTCTTTGTGATGTGTGTACTCAACTAACAGAGTTGAACCTTCCTTTTCACAGAGCAGTTTGGAAACACTCTTTTTGTGGCATTTGCAAGTGGATATTTGGATAGCTTTGAGGATTTCGTTGGAAACGGGAATATTTTCATATAAAATCTAGACAGAAGCATTCTCAGAATCTTCTTTGTGATGTATGCCCTCAATTCACAGAGTTGAACCTTTGTTTGGATACAGCATTTTGGAAACATTCCTTTTGTAGAATCTGCAAGTTGATATTTGGATAGCTTTGAGGATTTCGTTGGAAACGGGAATATCTACATATAAAATCTAGACAGAAGCATTCTCAGAAACCTCTTTGTAATGCTTGCATTCAACTCATAGGTTTCAACATTCCCTATCATAGAGCAGGTTTGAAACACTCTTTTTGTAGTATGTGGAAGTGGACATTTGGAGCGCTTTGAGGCCTACGGTGAAAAAGGAAATATCTTCCCATAAAAACTAGACAGAAGCATTCTCAGAAACTTGTTTGTGACGTGTGTATTCAACTAACAGAGTTGAACCTTTCTTTTTACAGAGCAGCTTTGAAACACGCTTTTTGTGGAATCTGCAATTGGAAATTTCGATAGTTCTGAGGATTTCGTTGGAAACGGGATTACAAATAGAAAGTAGACAGCAGCATTCTCAGAAACTGCTTTGTGATGTTTGCATTCAAGTCACCTAGTTGAACATTCCCTTTCATAGAGCAGGTTTGAATCACTGTTTCTGTCGTATCTGGAAGTGGATATTTCGAGCGTTTTCAGGCCTAAGGTGAGAAAGGAAATGTCTTCAAATAAGAACTAGACAGAAGCATTCTCAGAAACTTATTTGTGATGTGTGTCCTCAACTAACAGAGTTGAACCTTTCTTTTGACACAGCAGTTTGGAAACACTCTTTTTGTAGAATCTACAAGTGGATATTTTGAGAGCATTGAAAATTTCGTTGGAAACGGGAAAACCTTCATATAAAATCTAGACAGAAGCATTCTCAGAAACTTCTTTGTAATGTTTGCATTCAACTCATAGAGTTGAACATTCCCTTTCATACAGCAGGTTTGAAACACTCTTTTTGTAGTATGTGGAAGTGGACATTTGGAGCGCTTTGAGGCCTACGGTGAAAAAGGAAATATCTTCCCATAAAAACTAGATAGAAGCATTCTCAGAAACTTGTTTGTGACGTGTGTATTCAACTAACAGAGTTGAACCTTTCTTTTTACAGAGCAGCTTTGAAACCCTGTTTCTGTGGAATCTGCAATTGGAAATTTCGATAGTTCTGAGGATTTCGTTGGAAACGGGATTACAAATAGAAAGTAGACAGCAGCATTCTCAGAAACTGCTTTGTGATGTTTGCATTCAAGTCACCTAGTTGAACATTCCCTTTCATAGAGCAGGTTTGAATCACTGTTCTCTGTAGTATCTGGAAGTGGATATTTCGAGCGCTTTCAGGCCTAAGGTGAGAAAGGAAATGTCTTCAAATAAGAACTAGACAGAAGCATTCTCAGAAACTTATTTGTGATGTGTGTCCTCAACTAACAGAGATGAACCTTTGTTTTGATACAGCAGTTTGGAAACACTCTTTTTGTAGAATCTACAAGAGGATATTTTGAGAGCATTGAAAATTTCGTTGGAAGCGGGAAAACCTTCATATAAAATCTAGACAGCAGCATTCTCAGAAACTTCTTTGTGATGTTTGCATTCAACTCATAGAGTTGAACATTCCCATTCATACAGCAGGTTTGAGACACTCTTTGTATAGCATGTGGAAATGGATATTTGGAGCGCTTTGAGGCCTATGGTGAAGAAGGAAATATCTTCCCAAAAAAACTAGACGAAAGCATTCTCGCAATCTTGTTTGCCATGTGTGTACTCAACTAACAGAGTTGAACCTATCTATCTTTTGACAGAGCAGTTTTGAAACACTCTTTCTGTGGAATCTGCAAGTGGATATTTGGATAGCTTCGAGGATTTCGTTGGAAACGGGAATATCCTCATTTAAAATCTAGACGGAAGCATTCTCAGAACCTGCTTTGTGATGTTTGCATTCAACTCACAGAGCTGAACATTCCCGTTCATAGAGCAGGTTTGAAACACTCTTTCTGTACTATCTGGAAGTGGACATTTCGAGCGCTTTCAGGCCTATGGTGAAAAAGGAAACATCTTCAAATAAAAACTAGACAGAAGCATTCTCAGAAACTTATTTGTGATGTGTGTCCTCAACTCACAGAGTTCAACCTTTGTTTTGATACAGCAGTTTGGAAACACTCTTTTTGTAGAATCTACAAATGGATATTTGGAGACCTTTGAAAATTTCGTTGGACACGGGAATATCTTCATATAAAATCTAGACAAAAGCATTCTCAGAATCTTCTTTGTGATGTTTGCATTCAACTCATAGAGTTGAACATTCCCTTTCATACAGCACGTTTGAAACACACTTTGTGGAGTATGTGGAAATGGACATTTCGAGCACTCTTAGGCCTAAGGTGAAAAGGGAAATATCTTCAAATAAAAACTAGTCAGCAGCATTCTCAGAAACCTCTTTGTGATGTGTGTACTCAACTAACAGAGTTGAACCTTCCTTTTCACAGAGCAGTTTGGAAACACTCTTTTTGTGGCATTTGCAAGTGGATATTTGGATAGCTTTGAGGATTTCGTTGGAAACGGGAATATTTTCATATAAAATCTAGACAGAAGCATTCTCAGAATCTTCTTTGTGATGTATGCCCTCAATTCACAGAGTTGAACCTTTGTTTGGATACAGCATTTTGGAAACATTCCTTTTGTAGAATCTGCAAGTTGATATTTGGATAGCTTTGAGGATTTCGTTGGAAACGGGAATATCTACATATAAAATCTAGACAGAAGCATTCTCAGAAACCTCTTTGTAATGCTTGCATTCAACTCATAGGTTTCAACATTCCCTATCATAGAGCAGGTTTGAAACACTCTTTTTGTAGTATGTGGAAGTGGACATTTGGAGCGCTTTGAGGCCTACCGTGAAAAAGGAAATATCTTCCCATAAAAACTAGACAGAAGCATTCTCAGAAACTTGTTTGTGACGTGTGTATTCAACTAACAGAGTTGAACCTTTCTTTTTACAGAGCAGCTTTGAAACACGCTTTTTGTGGAATCTGCAATTGGAAATTTCGATAGTTCTGAGGATTTCGTTGGAAACGGGATTACAAATAGAAAGTAGACAGCAGCATTCTCAGAAACTGCTTTGTGATGTTTGCATTCAAGTCACCTAGTTGAACATTCCCTTTCATAGAGCAGGTTTGAATCACAGTTTCTGTCGTATCTGGAAGTGGATATTTCGAGCGCTTTCAGGCCTAAGGTGAGAAAGGAAATGTCTTCAAATAAGAACTAGACAGAAGCATTCTCAGAAACTTATTTGTGATGTGTGTCCTCAACTAACAGAGATGAACCTTTGTTTTGATACAGCAGTTTGGAAACACTCTTTTTGTAGAATCTACAAGAGGATATTTTGAGAGCATTGAAAATTTCGTTGGAAGCGGGAAAACCTTCATATAAAATCTAGACAGCAGCATTCTCAGAAACTTCTTTGTGATGTTTGCATTCAACTCATAGAGTTGAACATTCCCATTCATACAGCAGGTTTGAGACACTCTTTGTATAGCATGTGGAAATGGATATTTGGAGCGCTTTGAGGCCTATGGTGAAGAAGGAAATATCTTCCCAAAAAAACTAGACGAAAGCATTCTCGGAATCTTGTTTGCCATGTGTGTACTCAACTAACAGAGTTGAACCTATCTTTTGAGAGAGCAGTTTTGAAACACTCTTTCTGTGGAATCTGCAAGTGGATATTTGGATAGCTTCGAGGATTTCGTTGGAAACGGGAATATCCTCATTTAAAATCTAGACGGAAGCATTCTCAGAACCTGCTTTGTGATGTTTGCATTCAACTCACAGAGCTGAACATTCCCGTTCATAGAGCAGGTTTGAAACACTCTTTCTGTACTATCTGGAAGTGGACATTTCGAGCGCTTTCAGGCCTATGGTGAAAAAGGAAACATCTTCAAATAAAAACTAGACAGAAGCATTCTCAGAAACTTATTTGTGATGTGTGTCCTCAACTCACAGAGTTCAACCTTTGTTTTGATACAGCAGTTTGGAAACACTCTTTTTGTAGAATCTACAAATGGATATTTGGAGACCTTTGAAAATTTCGTTGGACACGGGAATATCTTCATATAAAATCTAGACAAAAGCATTCTCAGAATCTTCTTTGTGATGTTTGCATTCAACTCATAGATTTGAACATTCCCTTTCATACAGCACGTTTGAAACACACTTTGTGGAGTATGTGGAAATGGACATTTCGAGCACTCTTAGGCCTAAGGTGAAAAGGGAAATATCTTCAAATAAAAACTAGTCAGCAGCGTTCTCAGAAACCTCTTTGTGATGTGTGTACTCAACTAACAGAGTTGAACCTTCCTTTTCACAGAGCAGTTTGGAAACACTCTTTTTGTGGCATTTGCAAGTGGATATTTGGATAGCTTTGAGGATTTCGTTGGAAACGGGAATATTTTCATATAAAATCTAGACAGAAGCATTCTCAGAATCTTCTTTGTGATGTATGCCCTCAATTCACAGAGTTGAACCTTTGTTTGGATACAGCATTTTGGAAACATTCCTTTTGTAGAATCTGCAAGTTGATATTTGGATAGCTTTGAGGATTTCGTTGGAAACGGGAATATCTACATATAAAATCTAGACAGAAGCATTCTCAGAAACCTCTTTGTAATGCTTGCATTCAACTCATAGGTTTCAACATTCCCTATCATAGAGCAGGTTTGAAACACTCTTTTTGTAGTATGTGGAAGTGGACATTTGGAGCGCTTTGAGGCCTACGGTGAAAAAGGAAATATCTTCCCATAAAAACTAGACAGAAGCATTCTCAGAAACTTGTTTGTGACGTGTGTATTCAACTAACAGAGTTGAATCTTTCTTTTTACAGAGCAGCTTTGAAACACGCTTTTTGTGGAATCTGCAATTGGAAATTTCGATAGTTCTGAGGATTTCGTTGGAAACGGGATTACAAATAGAAAGTAGACAGCAGCATTCTCAGAAACTTATTTGTGATGTGTGTCCTCAACTAACAGAGTTGAACCTTTCTTTTGACACAGCAGTTTGGAAACACTCTTTTTGTAGAATCTACAAGTGGATATTTTGAGAGCATTGAAAATTTCGTTGGAAACGGGAAAACCTTCATATAAAATCTAGACAGAAGCATTCTCAGAAACTTCTTTGTAATGTTTGCATTCAACTCATAGAGTTGAACATTCCCATTCATACAGCAGGTTTGAAACACTCTTTTTGTAGTATGTGGACGTGGACATTTGGAGCGCTTTGAGGCCTACGGTGAAAAAGGAAATATCTTCCCATAAAAACTAGACAGAAGCATTCTCAGAAACTTGTTTGTGACGTGTGTATTCAACTAACAGAGTTGAACCTTTCTTTTTACAGAGCAGCTTTGAAACCCTGTTTCTGTGGAATCTGCAATTGGAAATTTCGATAGTTCTGAGGATTTCGTTGGAAACGGGATTACAAATAGAAAGTAGACAGCAGCATTCTCAGAAACTGCTTTGTGATGTTTGCATTCAAGTCACCTAGTTGAACATTCCCTTTCATAGAGCAGGTTTGAATCACTGTTTCTGTAGTATCTGGAAGTGGGTATTTCGAGCGCTTTCAGGCCTAAGGTGAGAAAGGAAATGTCTTCAAACAAGAACTAGACAGAAGCATTCTCAGAAACTTATTTCGTGATGTGTGTCCTCAACTAACAGAGATGAACCTTTGTTTTGATACAGCAGTTTGGAAACACTCTTTTTGTAGAATCTACAAGAGGATATTTTGAGAGCATTGAAAATTTCGTTGGAAGCGGGAAAACCTTCATATAAATTCTAGACAGCAGCATTCTCAGAAACTTCTTTGTGATGTTTGCATTCAACTCATAGAGTTGAACATTCCCATTCATACAGCAGGTTTGAGACACTCTTTGTATAGCATGTGGAAATGGATATTTGGAGCGCTTTGAGGCCTATGGTGAAGAAGGAAATATCTTCCCAAAAAAACTAGACGAAAGCATTCTCGGAATCTTGTTTGCCATGTGTGTACTCAACTAACAGAGTTGAACCTATCTTTTGACAGAGCAGTTTTGAAACACTCTTTTTGTGGAATCTGCAAGTGGATATTTGGATAGCTTCGAGGATTTCGTTGGAAACGGGAATATCCTCATTTAAAATCTAGACGGAAGCATTCTCAGAACCTGCTTTGTGATGTTTGCATTCAACTCACAGAGCTGAACATTCCCGTTCATAGAGCAGGTTTGAAACACTCTTTCTGTACTATCTGGAAGTGGACATTTCGAGCGCTTTCAGGCCTATGGTGAAAAAGGAAACATCTTCAAATAAAAACTAGACAGAAGCATTCTCAGAAACTTATTTGTGATGTGTGTCCTCAACTCACAGAGTTCAACCTTTGTTTTGATACAGCAGTTTGGAAACACTCTTTTTGTAGAATCTACAAATGGATATTTGGAGACCTTTGAAAATTTCGTTGGACACGGGAATATCTTCATATAAAATCTAGACAAAAGCATTCTCAGAATCTTCTTTGTGATGTTTGCATTCAACTCATAGAGTTGAACATTCCCTTTCATACAGCACGTTTGAAACACACTTTGTGGAGTATGTGGAAATGGACATTTCGAGCACTCTTAGGCCTAAGGTGAAAAGGGAAATATCTTCAAATAAAAACTAGTCAGCAGCATTCTCAGAAACCTCTTTGTGATGTGTGTACTCAACTAACAGAGTTGAACCTTCCTTTTCACAGAGCAGTTTGGAAACACTCTTTTTGTGGCATTTGCAAGTGGATATTTGGATAGCTTTGAGGATTTCGTTGGAAACGGGAATATTTTCATATAAAATCTAGACAGAAGCATTCTCAGAATCTTCTTTGTGATGTATGCCCTCAATTCACAGAGTTGAACCTTTGTTTGGATACAGCATTTTGGAAACATTCCTTTTGCAGAATCTGCAAGCTGATATTTGGATAGCTTTGAGGATTTCGTTGGAAACGGGAATATCTACATATAAAATCTAGACAGAAGCATTCTCAGAAACCTCTTTGTAATGCTTGCATTCAACTCATAGGTTTCAACATTCCCTATCATAGAGCAGGTTTGAAACACTCTTTTTGTAGTATGTGGAAGTGGACATTTGGAGCGCTTTGAGGCCTACGGTGAAAAAGGAAATATCTTCCCATAAAAACTAGACAGAAGCATTCTCAGAAACTTGTTTGTGACGTGTGTATTCAACTAACAGAGTTGAACCTTTCTTTTTACAGAGCAGCTTTGAAACACGCTTTTTGTGGAATCTGCAATTGGAAATTTCGATAGTTCTGAGGATTTCGTTGGAAACGGGATTACAAATAGAAAGTAGACAGCAGCATTCTCAGAAACTTATTTGTGATGTGTGTCCTCAACTAACAGAGTTGAACCTTTCTTTTGACACAGCAGTTTGGAAACACTCTTTTTGTAGAATCTACAAGTGGATATTTTGAGAGCATTGAAAATTTCATTGGAAACGGGAAAACTTTCATATAAAATCTAGACAGAAGCATTCTCAGAAACTTCTTTGTAATGTTTGCATTCAACTCATAGAGTTGAACATTCCCTTTCATACAGCAGGTTTGAAACACTCTTTTTGTAGTATGTGGAAGTGGACATTTGGAGCGCTTTGAGGCCTATGGTGAAAAAGGAAATATCTTCCCATAAAAACTAGACAGAAGCATTCTCAGAAACTTGTTTGTGACGTGTGTATTCAACTAACAGAGTTGAACCTTTCTTTTTACAGAGCAGCTTTGAAACCCTGTTTCTGTGGAATCTGCAATTGGAAATTTCGATAGTTCTGAGGATTTCGTTGGAAACGGGATTACAAATAGAAAGTAGACAGCAGCATTCTCAGAAACTGCTTTGTGATGTTTGCATTCAAGTCACCTAGTTGAACATTCCCTTTCATAGAGCAGGTTTGAATCACAGTTTCTGTCGTATCTGGAAGTGGATATTTCGAGCGTTTTCAGGCCTAAGGTGAGAAAGGAAATGTCTTCAAATAAGAACTAGACAGAAGCATTCTCAGAAACTTATTTGTGATGTGTGTCCTCAACTAACAGAGATGAACCTTTGTTTTGATACAGCAGTTTGGAAACACTCTTTTTGTAGAATCTACAAGAGGATATTTTGAGAGCATTGAAAATTTCGTTGGAAGCGGGAAAACCCTTCATATAAAATCTAGACAGCAGCATTCTCAGAAACTTCTTTGTGATGTTTGCATTCAACTCATAGAGTTGAACATTCCCATTCATACAGCAGGTTTGAGACACTCTTTGTATAGCATGTGGAAATGGATATTTGGAGCGCTTTGAGGCCTATGGTGAAGAAGGAAATATCTTCCCAAAAAAACTAGACGAAAGCATTCTCGCAATCTTGTTTGCCATGTGTGTACTCAACTAACAGAGTTGAACCTATCTTTTGACAGAGCAGTTTTGAAACACTCTTTTTGTGGAATCTGCAAGTGGATATTTGGATAGCTTCGAGGATTTCGTTGGAAACGGGAATATCCTCATTTAAAATCTAGACGGAAGCATTCTCGGAACCTGCTTTGTGATGTTTGCATTCAACTCACAGAGCTGAACATTCCCGTTCATAGAGCAGGTTTGAAACACTCTTTCTGTACTATCTGGAAGTGGACATTTCGAGCGCTTTCAGGCCTATGGTGAAAAAGGAAACATCTTCAAATAAAAACTAGACAGAAGCATTCTCAGAAACTTATTTGTGATGTGTGTCCTCAACTCACAGAGTTCAACCTTTGTTTTGATACAGCAGTTTGGAAACACTCTTTTTGTAGAATCTACAAATGGATATTTGGAGACCTTTGAAAATTTCGTTGGACACGGGAATATCTTCATATAAAATCTAGACAAAAGCATTCTCAGAATCTTCTTTGTGATGTTTGCATTCAACTCATAGAGTTGAACATTCCCTTTCATACAGCACGTTTGAAACACACTTTGTGGAGTATGTGGAAATGGACATTTCGAGCACTCTTAGGCCTAAGGTGAAAAGGGAAATATCTTCAAATAAAAACTAGTCAGCAGCATTCTCAGAAACCTCTTTGTGATGTGTGTACTCAACTAACAGAGTTGAACCTTCCTTTTCACAGAGCAGTTTGGAAACACTCTTTTTGTGGCATTTGCAAGTGGATATTTGGATAGCTTTGAGGATTTCGTTGGAAACGGGAATATTTTCATATAAAATCTAGACAGAAGCATTCTCAGAATCTTCTTTGTGATGTATGCCCTCAATTCACAGAGTTGAACCTTTGTTTGGATACAGCATTTTGGAAACATTCCTTTTGTAGAATCTGCAAGTTGATATTTGGATAGCTTTGAGGATTTCGTTGGAAACGGGAATATCTACATATAAAATCTAGACAGAAGCATTCTCAGAAACCTCTTTGTAATGCTTGCATTCAACTCATAGGTTTCAACATTCCCTATCATAGAGCAGGTTTGAAACACTCTTTTTGTAGTATGTGGAAGTGGACATTTGGAGCGCTTTGAGGCCTACGGTGAAAAAGGAAATATCTTCCCATAAAAACTAGACAGAAGCATTCTCAGAAACTTGTTTGTGACGTGTGTATTCAACTAACAGAGTTGAACCTTTCTTTTTACAGAGCAGCTTTGAAACACGCTTTTTGTGGAATCTGCAATTGGAAATTTCGATAGTTCTGAGGATTTCGTTGGAAACGGGATTACAAATAGAATGTAGACAGCAGCATTCTCAGAAACTTATTTGTGATGTGTGTCCTCAACTAACAGAGTTGAACCTTTCTTTTGACACAGCAGTTTGGAAACACTCTTTTTGTAGAATCTACAAGTGGATATTTTGAGAGCATTGAAAATTTCGTTGGAAACGGGAAAACCTTCATATAAAATCTAGACAGAAGCATTCTCAGAAACTTCTTTGTAATGTTTGCATTCAACTCATAGAGTTGACCATTCCCTTTCATACAGCAGGTTTGAAACACTCTTTTTGTAGTATGTGGAAGTGGACATTTGGAGCGCTTTGAGGCCTACGGTGAAAAAGGAAATATCTTCCCATAAAAACTAGACAGAAGCATTCTCAGAAACTTGTTTGTGACGTGTGTATTCAACTAACAGAGTTGAACCTTTCTTTTTACAGAGCAGCTTTGAAACCCTGTTTCTGTGGAATCTGCAATTGGAAATTTCGATAGTTCTGAGGATTTCGTTGGAAACGGGATTACAAATAGAAAGTAGACAGCAGCATTCTCAGAAACTGCTTTGTGATGTTTGCATTCAAGTCACCTAGTTGAACATTCCCTTTCATAGAGCAGGTTTGAATCACAGTTTCTGTCGTATCTGGAAGTGGATATTTCGAGCGTTTTCAGGCCTAAGGTGAGAAAGGAAATGTCTTCAAATAAGAACTAGACAGAAGCATTCTCAGAAACTTATTTGTGATGTGTGTCCTCAACTAACAGAGATGAACCTTTGTTTTGATACAGCAGTTTGGAAACACTCTTTTTGTAGAATCTACAAGAGGATATTTTGAGAGCATTGAAAATTTCGTTGGAAGCGGGAAAACCTTCATATAAAATCTAGACAGCAGCATTCTCAGAAACTTCTTTGTGATGTTTGCATTCAACTCATAGAGTTGAACATTCCCATTCATACAGCAGGTTTGAGACACTCTTTGTATAGCATGTGGAAATGGATATTTGGAGCGCTTTGAGGCCTATGGTGAAGAAGGAAATATCTTCCCAAAAAAACTAGACGAAAGCATTCTCGGAATCTTGTTTGCCATGTGTGTACTCAACTAACAGAGTTGAACCTATCCTTTGACAAAGCAGTTTTGAAACACTCTTTTTGTGGAATCTGCAAGTGGATATTTGGATAGCTTCGAGGATTTCGTTGGAAACGGGAATATCCTCATTTAAAATCTAGACGGAAGCATTCTCAGAACCTGCTTTGTGATGTTTGCATTCAACTCACAGAGCTGAACATTCCCGTTCATAGAGCAGGTTTGAAACACTCTTTCTGTACTATCTGGAAGTGGACATTTCGAGCGCTTTCAGGCCTATGGTGAAAAAGGAAACATCTTCAAATAAAAACTAGACAGAAGCATTCTCAGAAACTTATTTGTGATGTGTGTCCTCAACTCACAGAGTTCAACCTTTGTTTTGATACAGCAGTTTGGAAACAATCTTTATTTGGAGACCTTTGAAAATTTCGTTGGACACGGGAATATCTTCATATAAAATCTAGACAAAAGCATTCTCAGAATCTTCTTTGTGATGTTTGCATTCAACTCATAGAGTTGAACATTCCCTTTCATACAGCACGTTTGAAACACACTTTGTGGAGTATGTGGAAATGGACATTTCGAGCACTCTTAGGCCTAAGGTGAAAAGGGAAATATCTTCAAATAAAAACTAGTCAGCAGCATTCTCAGAAACCTCTTTGTGATGTGTGTACTCAACTAACAGAGTTGAACCTTCCTTTTCACAGAGCAGTTTGGAAACACACTTTTTGTGGCATTTGCAAGTGGATATTTGGATAGCTTTGAGGATTTCGTTGGAAACGGGAATATTTTCATATAAAATCTAGACAGAAGCATTCTCAGAATCTTCTTTGTGATGTATGCCCTCAATTCACAGAGTTGAACCTTTGTTTGGATACAGCATTTTGGAAACATTCCTTTTGTAGAATCTGCAAGTTGATATTTGGATAGCTTTGAGGATTTCGTTGGAAACGGGAATATCTACATATAAAATCTAGACAGAAGCATTCTCAGAAACCTCTTTGTAATGCTTGCATTCAACTCATAGGTTTCAACATTCCCTATCATAGAGCAGGTTTGAAACACTCTTTTTGTAGTATGTGGAAGTGGACATTTGGAGCGCTTTGAGGCCTACGGTGAAAAAGGAAATATCTTCCCATAAAAACTAGACAGAAGCATTCTCAGAAACTTGTTTGTGACGTGTGTATTCAACAAACAGAGTTGAACCTTTCTTTTTACAGAGCAGCTTTGAAACACGCTTTTTGTGGAATCTGCAATTGGAAATTTCGATAGTTCTGAGGATTTCGTTGGAAACGGGATTACAAATAGAAAGTAGACAGCAGCATTCTCAGAAACTTATTTGTGATGTGTGTCCTCAACTAACAGAGTTGAACCTTTCTTTTGACACAGCAGTTTGGAAACACTCTTTTTGTAGAATCTACAAGTGGATATTTTGAGAGCATTGAAAATTTCGTTGGAAACGGGAAAACCTTCATATAAAATCTAGACAGAAGTATTCTCAGAAACTTCTTTTTAATGTTTGCATTCAACTCATAGAGTTGAACATTCCCTTTCATGCAGCAGGTTTGAAACACTCTTTTTGTAGTATGTGGAAGTGGACATTTGGAGTGCTTTGAGGCCTACGGTGAAAAAGGAAATATCTTCCCATAAAAACTAGACAGAAGCATTCTCAGAAACTTGTTTGTGACGTGTGTATTCAACTAACAGAGTTGAACCTTTCTTTTTACAGAGCAGCTTTGAAACCCTGTTTCTGTGGAATCTGCAATTGGAAATTTCGATAGTTCTGAGGATTTCGTTGGAAACGGGATTACAAATAGAAAGTAGACAGCAGCATTCTCAGAAACTGCTTTGTGATGTTTGCATTCAACTCACAGAGCTGAACATTCACTTTCATAGAGCAGGTATGAATCACTGTTTCTGTAGTATCTGGAAGTGGATATTTCGAGTGCTTTCAGGCCTAAGGTGAGAAAGGAAATGTCTTCAAATAAGAACTAGACAGAAACATTCTCAGAAACTTATTTGTGATGTGTGTCCTGAACTAACAGAGATGAACCTTTGTTTTGATACAGCAGTTTGGAAACACTCTTTTTGTAGAATCTACAAGAGGATATTTTGAGAGCATTGAAAATTTCGTTGGAAGCGGGAAAACCTTCATATAAAATCTAGACAGCAGCATTCTCAGAAACTTCTTTGTGATGTTTGCATTCAACTCATAGAGTTGAACATTCCCATTCATACAGCAGGTTTGAGACACTCTTTGTATAGCATGTGGAAATGGATATTTGGAGCGCTTTGAGGCCTATGGTGAAGAAGGAAATATCTTCCCAAAAAAACTAGACGAAAGCATTCTCGGAATCTTGTTTGCCATGTGTGTACTCAACTAACAGAGTTGAACCTATCTTTTGACAGAGCAGTTTTGAAACACTCTTTTTGTGGAATCTGCAAGTGGATATTTGGATAGCTTCGAGGATTTCGTTGGAAACGGGAATATCCTCATTTAAAATCTAGACGGAAGCATTCTCAGAACCTGCTTTGTGATGTTTGCATTCAACTCACAGAGCTGAACATTCCCGTTCATAGAGCAGGTTTGAAACACTCTTTCTGTACTATCTGGAAGTGGACATTTCGAGCGCTTTCAGGCCTATGGTGAAAAAGGAAACATCTTCAAATAAAAACTAGACAGAAGCATTCTCAGAAACTTATTTGTGATGTGTGTCCTCAACTCACAGAGTTCAACCTTTGTTTTGATACAGCAGTTTGGAAACACTCTTTTTGTAGAATCTACAAATGGATATTTGGAGACCTTTGAAAATTTCGTTGGACACGGGAATATCTTCATATAAAATCTAGACAAAAGCATTCTCAGAATCTTCTTTGTGATGTTTGCATTCAACTCATAGAGTTGAACATTCCCTTTCATACAGCACATTTGAAACACACTTTGTGGAGTATGTGGAAATGGACATTTCGAGCACTCTTAGGCCTAAGGTGAAAAGGGAAATATCTTCAAATAAAAACTAGTCAGCAGCATTCTCAGAAACCTCTTTGTGATGTGTGTACTCAACTAACAGAGTTGAACCTTCCTTTTCACAGAGCAGTTTGGAAACACTCTTTTTGTGGCATTTGCAAGTGGATATTTGGATAGCTTTGAGGATTTCGTTGGAAACGGGAATATTTTCATATAAAATCTAGACAGAAGCATTCTCAGAATCTTCTTTGTGATGTATGCCCTCAATTCACAGAGTTGAACCTTTGTTTGGATACAGCATTTTGGAAACATTCCTTTTGTAGAATCTGCAAGTTGATATTTGGATAGCTTTGAGGATTTCGTTGGAAACGGGAATATCTACATATAAAATCTAGACAGAAGCATTCTCAGAAACCTCTTTGTAATGCTTGCATTCAACTCATAGGTTTCAACATTCCCTATCATAGAGCAGGTTTGAAACACTCTTTTTGTAGTATGTGGAAGTGGACATTTGGAGCGCTTTGAGGCCTACGGTGAAAAAGGAAATATCTTCCCATAAAAACTAGACAGAAGCATTCTCAGAAACTTGTTTGTGACGTGTGTATTCAACTAACAGAGTTGAACCTTTCTTTTTACAGAGCAGCTTTGAAACACGCTTTTTGTGGAATCTGCAATTGGAAATTTCGATTGTTCTGAGGATTTCGTTGGAAACGGGATTACAAATAGAAAGTAGACAGCAGCATTCTCAGAAACTGCTTTGTGATGTTTGCATTCAAGTCACCTAGTTGAACATTCCCTTTCATAGAGCAGGTTTGAATCACTGTTTCTGTCGTATCTGGAAGTGGATATTTCGAGCGTTTTCAGGCCTAAGGTGAGAAAGGAAATGTCTTCAAATAAGAACTAGACAGAAGCATTCTCAGAAACTTATTTGTGATGTGTGTCCTCAACTAACAGAGTTGAACCTTTCTTTTGACACAGCAGTTTGGAAACACTCTTTTTGTAGAATCTACAAGTGGATATTTTGAGAGCATTGAAAATTTCGTTGGAAACGGGAAAACCTTCATATAAAATCTAGACAGAAGCATTCTCAGAAACTTCTTTGTAATGTTTGCATTCAACTCATAGAGTTGAACATTCCCTTTCATACAGCAGGTTTGAAACACTCTTTTTGTAGTATGTGGACGTGGACATTTGGAGCGCTTTGAGGCCTACGGTGAAAAAGGAAATATCTTCCCATAAAAACTAGACAGAAGCATTCTCAGAAACTTGTTTGTGACGTGTGTATTCAACTAACAGAGTTGAACCTTTCTTTTTACAGAGCAGCTTTGAAACCCTGTTTCTGTGGAATCTGCAATTGGAAATTTCGATAGTTCTGAGGATTTCGTTGGAAACGGGATTACAAATAGAAAGTAGACAGCAGCATTCTCAGAAACTGCTTTGTGATGTTTGCATTCAAGTCACCTAGTTGAACATTCCCTTTCATAGAGCAGGTTTGAATCACTGTTTCTGTAGTATCTGGAAGTGGGTATTTCGAGCGCTTTCAGGCCTAAGGTGAGAAAGGAAATGTCTTCAAATAAGAACTAGACAGAAGCATTCTCAGAAACTTATTTGTGATGTGTGTCCTCAACTAACAGAGATGAACCTTTGTTTTGATACAGCAGTTTGGAAACACTCTTTTTGTAGAATCTACAAGAGGATATTTTGAGAGCATTGAAAATTTCGTTGGAAGCGGGAAAACCTTCATATAAAATCTAGACAGCAGCATTCTCAGAAACTTCTTTGTGATGTTTGCATTCAACTCATAGAGTTGAACTTTCCCATTCATACAGCAGGTTTGAGACACTCTTTGTATAGCATGCGGAAATGGATATTTGGAGCGCTTTGAGGACTATGGTGAAGAAGGAAATATCTTCCCAAAAAAACTAGACGAAAGCATTCTCGCAATCTTGTTTGCCATGTGTGTACTCAACTAACAGAGTTGAACCTATCTTTTGACAGAGCAGTTTTGAAACACTCTTTTTGTGGAATCTGCAAGTGGATATTTGGATAGCTTCGAGGATTTCGTTGGAAACGGGAATATCCTCATTTAAAATCTAGACGGAAGCATTCTCAGAACCTGCTTTGTGATGTTTGCATTCAACTCACAGAGCTGAACATTCCCGTTCATAGAGCAGGTTTGAAACACTCTTTCTGTACTATCTGGAAGTGGACATTTCGAGCGCTTTCAGGCCTATGGTGAAAAAGGAAACATCTTCAAATAAAAACTAGACAGAAGCATTCTCAGAAACTTATTTGTGATGTGTGTCCTCAACTCACAGAGTTCAACCTTTGTTTTGATACAGCAGTTTGGAAACACTCTTTTTGTAGAATCTACAAATGGATATTTGGAGACCTTTGAAAATTTCGTTGGACACGGGAATATCTTCATATAAAATCTAGACAAAAGCATTCTCAGAATCTTCTTTGTGATGTTTGCATTCAACTCATAGAGTTGAACATTCCCTTTCATACAGCACGTTTGAAACACACTTTGTGGAGTATGTGGAAATGGACATTTCGAGCACTCTTAGGCCTAAGGTGAAAAGGGAAATATCTTCAAATAAAAACTAGTCAGCAGCATTCTCAGAAACCTCTTTGTGATGTGTGTACTCAACTAACAGAGTTGAACCTTCCTTTTCACAGAGCAGTTTGGAAACACTCTTTTTGTAGAATCTACAAGTGGATATTTTGAGAGCATTGAAAATTTCGTTGGAAACGGGAAAACCTTCATATAAAATCTAGACAGAAGCATTCTCAGAAACTTCTTTGTAATGTTTGCATTCGACTCATAGAGTTGAACATTCCCTTTCATACAGCAGGTTTGAAACACTCTTTTTGTAGTATGTGGAAGTGGACATTTGGAGCGCTTTGAGGCCTACGGTGAAAAAGGAAATATCTTCCCATAAAAACTAGACAGAAGCATTCTCAGAAACTTGTTTGTGACGTGTGTATTCAACTAACAGAGTTGAACCTTTCTTTTTACAGAGCAGCTTTGAAACCCTGTTTCTGTGGAATCTGCAATTGGAAATTTCGATAGTTCTGAGGATTTCGTTGGAAACGGGATTACAAATAGAAAGTAGACAGCAGCATTCTCAGAAACTGCTTTGTGATGTTTGCATTCAAGTCACCTAGTTGAACATTCCCTTTCATAGAACAGGTTTGAATCACTGTTTCTGTAGTATCTGGAAGTGGGTATTTCGAGCGCTTTCAGGCCTAAGGTGAGAAAGGAAATGTCTTCAAATAAGAACTAGACAGAAGCATTCTCAGAAACTTATTTGTGATGTGTGTCCTCAACTAACAGAGATGAACCTTTGTTTTGATACAGCAGTTTGGAAACACTCTTTTTGTAGAATCTACAAGAGGATATTTTGAGAGCATTGAAAATTTCGTTGGAAGCGGGAAAACCTTCATATAAAATCTAGACAGCAGCATTCTCAGAAACTTCTTTGTGATGTTTGCATTCAACTCATAGAGTTGAACATTCCCATTCATACAGCAGGTTTGAGACACTCTTTGTATAGCATGTGGAAATGGATATTTGGAGCGCTTTGAGGCCTATGGTGAAGAAGGAAATATCTTCCCAAAAAAACTAGACGAAAGCATTCTCGGAATCTTGTTTGCCATGTGTGTACTCAACTAACAGAGTTGAACCTATCTTTTTAAAGAGCAGTTTTGAAACACTCTTTTTGTGGAATCTGCAAGTGGATATTTGGATAGCTACGAGGATTTCGTTGGAAACGGGAATATCCTCATTTAAAATCTAGACGGAAGCATTCTCAGAACCTGCTGTGTGATGTTTGCATTCAACTCACAGAGCTGAACATTCCCGTTCATAGAGCAGGTTTGAAACACTCTTTCTGTACTATCTGGAAGTGGACATTTCGAGCGCTTTCAGGCCTATGGTGAAAAAGGAAACATCTTCAAATAAAAACTAGACAGAAGCATTCTCAGAAACTTATTTGTGATGTGTGTCCTCAACTCACAGAGTTCAACCTTTGTTTTGATACAGCAGTTTGGAAACACTCTTTTTGTAGAATCTACAAATGGATATTTGGAGACCTTTGAAAATTTCGTTGGACACGGGAATATCTTCATATAAAATCTAGACAAAAGCATTCTCAGAATCTTCTTTGTGATGTTTGCATTCAACTCATAGAGTTGAACATTCCCTTTCATACAGCACGTTTGAAACACACTTTGTGGAGTATGTGGAAATGGACATTTCGAGCACTCTTAGGCCTAAGGTGAAAAGGGAAATATCTTCAAATAAAAACTAGTCAGCAGCATTCTCAGAAACCTCTTTGTGATGTGTGTACTCAACTAACAGAGTTGAACCTTCCTTTTCACAGAGCACTTTGGAAACACTCTTTTTGTGGCATTTGCAAGTGGATATTTGGATAGCTTTGAGGATTTCGTTGGAAACGGGAATATTTTCATATAAAATCTAGACAGAAGCATTCTCAGAATCTTCTTTGTGATGTATGCCCTCAATTCACAGAGTTGAACCTTTGTTTGGATACAGCATTTTGGAAACATTCCTTTTGCAGAATCTGCAAGCTGATATTTGGATAGCTTTGAGGATTTCGTTGGAAACGGGAATATCTACATATAAAATCTAGACAGAAGCATTCTCAGAAACCTCTTTGTAATGCTTGCATTCAACTCATAGGTTTCAACATTCCCTATCATAGAGCAGGTTTGAAACACTCTTTTTGTAGTATGTGGAAGTGGACATTTGGAGCGCTTTGAGGCCTACGGTGAAAAAGGAAATATCTTCCCATAAAAACTAGACAGAAGCATTCTCAGAAACTTGTTTGTGACGTGTGTATTCAACTAACAGAGTTGAACCTTTCTTTTTACAGAGCAGCTTTGAAACACGCTTTTTGTGGAATCTGCAATTGGAAATTTCGATAGTTCTGAGGATTTCGTTGGAAACGGGATTACAAATAGAAAGTAGACAGCAGCATTCTCAGAAACTTATTTGTGATGTGTGTCCTCAACTAACAGAGTTGAACCTTTCTTTTGACACAGCAGTTTGGAAACACTCTTTTTGTAGAATCTACAAGTGGATATTTTGAGAGCATTGAAAATTTCGTTGGAAACGGGAAAACCTTCATATAAAATCTAGACAGAAGCATTCTCAGAAACTTCTTTGTAATGTTTGCATTCAACTCATAGAGTTGAACATTCCCATTCATACAGCAGGTTTGAAACACTCTTTTTGTAGTATGTGGAAGTGGACATTTGGAGCGCTTTGAGGCCTACGGTGAAAAAGGAAATATCTTCCCATAAAAACTAGACAGAAGCATTCTCAGAAACTTGTTTGTGACGTGTGTATTCAACTAACAGAGTTGAACCTTTCTTTTTACAGAGCAGCTTTGAAACACGCTTTTTGTGGAATCTGCAATTGGAAATTTCGATAGTTCTGAGGATTTCGTTGGAAACGGGATTACAAATAGAAAGTAGACAGCAGCATTCTCAGAAACTGCTTTGTGATGTTTGCATTCAAGTCACCTAGTTGAACATTCCCTTTCATAGAGCAGGTTTGAATCACAGTTTCTGTCGTATCTGGAAGTGGATATTTCGAGCGTTTTCAGGCCTAAGGTGAGAAAGGAAATGTCTTCAAATAAGAACTAGACAGAAGCATTCTCAGAAACTTATTTGTGATGTGTGTCCTCAACTAACAGAGATGAACCTTTGTTTTGATACAGCAGTTTGGAAACACTCTTTTTGTAGAATCTACAAGAGGATATTTTGAGAGCATTGAAAATTTCGTTGGAAGCGGGAAAACCTTCATATAAAATCTAGACAGCAGCATTCTCAGAAACTTCTTTGTGATGTTTGCATTCAACTCATAGAGTTGAACATTCCCATTCATACAGCAGGTTTGAGACACTCTTTGTATAGCATGTGGAAATGGATATTTGGAGCGCTTTGAGGCCTATGGTGAAGAAGGAAATATCTTCCCAAAAAAACTAGACGAAAGCATTCTCGGAATCTTGTTTGCCATGTGTGTACTCAACTAACAGAGTTGAACCTATCTTTTGACAGAGCAGTTTTGAAACGCTCTTTTTGTGGAATCTGCAAGTGGATATTTGGATAGCTTCGAGGATTTCGTTGGAAACGGGAATATCCTCATTTAAAATCTAGACGGAAGCATTCTCAGAACCTGCTTTGTGATGTTTGCATTCAACTCACAGAGCTGAACATTCCCGTTCATAGAGCAGGTTTGAAACACTCTTTCTGTACTATCTGGAAGTGGACATTTCGAGCGCTTTCAGGCCTATGGTGAAAAAGGAAACATCTTCAAATAAAAACTAGACAGAAGCATTCTCAGAAACTTATTTGTGATGTGTGTCCTCAACTCACAGAGTTCAACCTTTGTTTTGATACAGCAGTTTGGAAACACTCTTTTTGTAGAATCTACAAATGGATATTTGGAGACCTTTGAAAATTTCGTTGGACACGGGAATATCTTCATATAAAATCTAGACAAAAGCATTCTCAGAATCTTCTTTGTGATGTTTGCATTCAACTCATAGAGTTGAACATTCCCTTTCATACAGCACGTTTGAAACACACTTTGTGGAGTATGTGGAAATGGACATTTCGAGCACTCTTAGGCCTAAGGTGAAAAGGGAAATATCTTCAAATAAAAACTAGTCAGCAGCATTCTCAGAAACCTCTTTGTGATGTGTGTACTCAACTAACAGAGTTGAACCTTCTTTTTCACAGAGCAGTTTGGAAACACTCTTTTTGTGGCATTTGCAAGTGGATATTTGGATAGCTTTGAGGATTTCGTTGGAAACGGGAATATTTTCATATAAAATCTAGACAGAAGCATTCTCAGAATCTTCTTTGTGATGTATGCCCTCAATTCACAGAGTTGAACCTTTGTTTGGATACAGCATTTTGGAAACATTCCTTTTGTAGAATCTGCAAGTTGATATTTGGATAGCTTTGAGGATTTCGTTGGAAACGGGAATATCTACATATAAAATCTAGACAGAAGCATTCTCAGAAACCTCTTTGTAATGCTTGCATTCAACTCATAGGTTTCAACATTCCCTATCATAGAGCAGGTTTGAAACACTCTTTTTGTAGTATGTGGAAGTGGACATTTGGAGCGCTTTGAGGCCTACCGTGAAAAAGGAAATATCTTCCCATAAAAACTAGACAGAAGCATTCTCAGAAACTTGTTTGTGACGTGTGTATTCAACTAACAGAGTTGAACCTTTCTTTTTACAGAGCAGCTTTGAAACACGCTTTTTGTGGAATCTGCAATTGGAAATTTCGATAGTTCTGAGGATTTCGTTGGAAACGGGATTACAAATACAAAGTAGACAGCAGCATTCTCAGAAACTTATTTGTGATGTGTGTCCTCAACTAACAGAGTTGAACCTTTCTTTTGACACAGCAGTTTGGAAACACTCTTTTTGTAGAATCTACAAGTGGATATTTTGAGAGCATTGAAAATTTCCTTGGAAACGGGAAAACCTTCATATAAAATCTAGACAGAAGCATTCTCAGAAACTTCTTTGTAATGTTTGCATTCAACTCATAGAGTTGAACATTCCCTTTCATACAGCAGGTTTGAAACACTCTTTTTGTAGTATGTGGAAGTGGACATTTGGAGCGCTTTGAGGCCTACGGTGAAAAAGGAAATATCTTCCCATAAAAACTAGACAGAAGCATTCTCAGAAACTTGTTTGTGACGTGTGTATTCAACTAACAGAGTTGAACCTTTCTTTTTACAGAGCAGCTTTGAAACCCTGTTTCTGTGGAATCTGCAATTGGAAATTTCGATAGTTCTGAGGATTTCGTTGGAAACGGGATTACAAATAGGAAAGTAGACAGCAGCATTCTCAGTAAACTGCTTTGTGATGTTTGCATTCAAGTCACCTAGTTGAACATTCCCTTTCATAGAGCAGGTTTGAATCACTGTTTCTGTCGTATCTGGAAGTGGGTATTTCGAGCGCTTTCAGGCCTAAGGTGAGAAAGGAAATGTCTTCAAATAAGAACTAGACAGAAGCATTCTCAGAAACTTATTTGTGATGTGTGTCCTCAACTAACAGAGATGAACCTTTGTTTTGATACAGCAGTTTGGAAACACTCTTTTTGTAGAATCTACAAGAGGATATTTTGAGAGCATTGAAAATTTCGTTGGAAGCGGGAAAACCTTCATATAAAATCTAGACAGCAGCATTCTCAGAAACTTCTTTGTGATGTTTGCATTCAACTCATAGAGTTGAACATTCCCATTCATACAGCAGGTTTGAGACACTCTTTGTATAGCATGTGG
Source organism: Homo sapiens (assembly GCF_000001405.40). Taxonomy (NCBI): domain Eukaryota; kingdom Metazoa; phylum Chordata; class Mammalia; order Primates; family Hominidae; genus Homo; species Homo sapiens. Next base: position 19,552,420 of record NC_000015.10, read on the forward strand.
AAATGGATATTTGGAGCGCTTTGAGGCCTATGGTGAAGAAGGAAATATCTTCCCAAAAAAACTAGACGAAAGCATTCTCGCAATCTTGTTTGCCATGTGTGTACTCAACTAACAGAGTTGAACCTATCTTTTGACAGAGCAGTTTTGAAACACTCTTTTTGTGGAATCTGCAAGTGGATATTTGGATAGCTTCGAGGATTTCGTTGGAAACGGGAATATCCTCATTTAAAATCTAGACGGAAGCATTCTCAGAACCTGCTTTGTGATGTTTGCATTCAACTCACAGAGCTGAACATTCCCGTTCATAGAGCAGGTTTGAAACACTCTTTCTGTACTATCTGGAAGTGGACATTTCGAGCGCTTTCAGGCCTATGGTGAAAAAGGAAACATCTTCAAATAAAAACTAGACAGGAAGCATTCTCAGAAACTTATTTGTGATGTGTGTCCTCAACTCACAGAGTTCAACCTTTGTTTTGATACAGCAGTTTGGAAACACTCTTTTTGTAGAATCTACAAATGGATATTTGGAGACCTTTGAAAATTTCGTTGGACACGGGAATATCTTCATATAAAATCTAGACAAAAGCATTCTCAGAATCTTCTTTGTGATGTTTGCATTCAACTCATAGAGTTGAACATTCCCTTTCATACAGCACGTTTGAAACACACTTTGTGGAGTATGTGGAAATGGACATTTCGAGCACTCTTAGGCCTAAGGTGAAAAGGGAAATATCTTCAAATAAAAACTAGTCAGCAGCATTCTCAGAAACCTCTTTGTGATGTGTGTACTCAACTAACAGAGTTGAACCTTCCTTTTCACAGAGCAGTTTCGAAACACTCTTTTTGTGGCATTTGCAAGTGGATATTTGGATAGCTTTGAGGATTTCGTTGGAAACGGGAATATTTTCATATAAAATCTAGACAGAAGCATTCTCAGAATCTTCTTTGTGATGTATGCCCTCAATTCACAGAGTTGAACCTTTGTTTGGATACAGCATTTTGGAAACATTCCTTTTGTAGAATCTGCAAGTTGATATTTGGATAGCTTTGAGGATTTCGTTGGAAACGGGAATATCTACATATAAAATCTAGACAGAAGCATTCTCAGAAACCTCTTTGTAATGCTTGCATTCAACTCATAGGTTTCAACATTCCCTATCATAGAGCAGGTTTGAAACACTCTTTTTGTAGTATGTGGAAGTGGACATTTTGAGCGCTTTGAGGCCTACCGTGAAAAAGGAAATATCTTCCCATAAAAACTAGACAGAAGCATTCTCAGAAACTTGTTTGTGACGTGTGTATTCAACTAACAGAGTTGAACCTTTCTTTTTACAGAGCAGCTTTGAAACACGCTTTTTGTGGAATCTGCAATTGGAAATTTCGATAGTTCTGAGGATTTCGTTGGAAACGGGATTACAAATAGAAAGTAGACAGCAGCATTCTCAGAAACTTATTTGTGATGTGTGTCCTCAACTAACAGAGTTGAACCTTTCTTTTGACACAGCAGTTTGGAAACACTCTTTTTGTAGAATCTACAAGTGGATATTTTGAGAGCATTGAAAATTTCGTTGGAAACGGGAAAACCTTCATATAAAATCTAGACAGATGCATTCTCAGAAACTTCTTTGTAATGTTTGCATTCAACTCATAGAGTTGAACATTCCCTTTCATACAGCAGGTTTGAAACACTCTTTTTGTAGTATGTGGAAGTGGACATTTGGAGCGCTTTGAGGCCTACGGTGAAAAAGGAAATATCTTCCCATAAAAACTAGACAGAAGCATTCTCAGAAACTTGTTTGTGACGTGTGTATTCAACTAACAGAGTTGAACCTTTCTTTTTACAGAGCAGCTTTGAAACCCTGTTTCTGTGGAATCTGCAATTGGAAATTTCGATAGTTCTGAGGATTTCGTTGGAAACGGGATTACAAATAGAAAGTAGACAGCAGCATTCTCAGAAACTGCTTTGTGATGTTTGCATTCAAGTCACCTAGTTGAACATTCCCTTTCATAGAGCAGGTTTGAATCACAGTTTCTGTCGTATCTGAAAGTGGATATTTCGAGCATTTTCAGGCCTAAGGTGAGAAAGGAAATGTCTTCAAATAAGAACTAGACAGAAGCATTCTCAGAAACTTATTTGTGATGTATGTCCTCAACTAACAGAGATGAACCTTTGTTTTGATACAGCAGTTTGGAAACACTCTTTTTGTAGAATCTACAAGAGGATATTTTGAGAGCATTGAAAATTTCGTTGGAAGCGGGAAAACCTTCATATAAAATCTAGACAGCAGCATTCTCAGAAACTTCTTTGTGATGTTTGCATTCAACTCATAGAGTTGAACATTCCCATTCATACAGCAGGTTTGAGACACTCTTTGTATAGCATGTGGAAATGGATATTTGGAGCGCTTTGAGGCCTATGGTGAAGAAGGAAATATCTTCCCCAAAAAACTAGACGAAAGCATTCTCGGAATCTTGTTTGCCATGTGTGTACTCAACTAACAGAGTTGAACCTATCTTTTGACAGAGCAGTTTTGAAACACTCTTTTTGTGGAATCTGCAAGTGGATATTTGGATAGCTTCGAGGATTTCGTTGGAAACGGGAATATCCTCATTTAAAACCTAGACGGAAGCATTCTCAGAACCTGCTTTGTGATGTTTGCATTCAACTCACAGAGCTGAACATTCCCGTTCATAGAGCAGGTTTGAAACACTCTTTCTGTACTATCTGGAAGTGGACATTTCGAGCGCTTTCAGGCCTATGGTGAAAAAGGAAACATCTTCAAATAAAAACTAGACAGAAGCATTCTCAGAAACTTATTTGTGATGTGTGTCCTCAACTCACAGAGTTCAACCTTTGTTTTGATACAGCAGTTTGGAAACACTCTTTTTGTAGAATCTACAAATGGATATTTGGAGACCTTTGAAAATTTCGTTGGACACGGGAATATCTTCATATAAAATCTAGACAAAAGCATTCTCAGAATCTTCTTTGTGATGTTTGCATTCAACTCATAGAGTTGAACATTCCCTTTCATACAGCACGTTTGAAACACACTTTGTGGAGTATGTGGAAATGGACATTTCGAGCACTCTTAGGCCTAAGGTGAAAAGGGAAATATCTTCAAATAAAAACTAGTCAGCAGCATTCTCAGAAACCTCTTTGTGATGTGTGTACTCAACTAACAGAGTTGAACCTTCCTTTTCACAGAGCAGTTTGGAAACACTCTTTTTGTGGCATTTGCAAGTGGATATTTGGATAGCTTTGAGGATTTCGTTGGAAACGGGAATATTTTCATATAAAATGCTAGACAGAAGCATTCTCAGAATCTTCTTTGTGATGTATGCCCTCAATTCACAGAGTTGAACCTTTGTTTGGATACAGCATTTTGGAAACATTCCTTTTGCAGAATCTGCAAGCTGATATTTGGATAGCTTTGAGGATTTCGTTGGAAACGGGAATATCTACATATAAAATCTAGACAGAAGCATTCTCAGAAACCTCTTTGTAATGCTTGCATTCAACTCATAGGTTTCAACATTCCCTATCATAGAGCAGGTTTGAAACACTCTTTTTGTAGTATGTGGAAGTGGACATTTGGAGCGCTTTGAGGCCTACGGTGAAAAAGGAAATATCTTCCCATAAAAACTAGACAGAAGCATTCTCAGAAACTTGTTTGTGACGTGTGTATTCAACTAACAGAGTTGAACCTTTCTTTTTACAGAGCAGCTTTGAAACACGCTTTTTGTGGAATCTGCAATTGGAAATTTCGATAGTTCTGAGGATTTCGTTGGAAACGGGATTACAAATAGAAAGTAGACAGCAGCATTCTCAGAAACTTATTTGTGATGTGTGTCCTCAACTAACAGAGTTGAACCTTTCTTTTGACACAGCAGTTTGGAAACACTCTTTTTGTAGAATCTACAAGTGGATATTTTGAGAGCATTGAAAATTTCGTTGGAAACGGGAAAACCTTCATATAAAATCTAGACAGAAGCATTCTCAGAAACTTCTTTGTAATGTTTGCATTCGACTCATAGAGTTGAACATTCCCTTTCATACAGCAGGTTTGAAACACTCTTTTTGTAGTATGTGGAAGTGGACATTTGGAGCGCTTTGAGGCCTACGGTGAAAAAGGAAATATCTTCCCATAAAAACTAGACAGAAGCATTCTCAGAAACTTGTTTGTGACGTGTGTATTCAACTAACAGAGTTGAACCTTTCTTTTTACAGAGCAGCTTTGAAACCCTGTTTCTGTGGAATCTGCAATTGGAAATTTCGATAGTTCTGAGGATTTCGTTGGAAACGGGATTACAAATAGAAAGTAGACAGCAGCATTCTCAGAAACTGCTTTGTGATGTTTGCATTCAAGTCACCTAGTGGAACATTCCCTTTCATAGAGCAGGTTTGAATCACTGTTTCTGTAGTATCTGGAAGTGGGTATTTCGAGCGCTTTCAGGCCTAAGGTGAGAAAGGAAATGTCTTCAAATAAGAACTAGACAGAAGCATTCTCAGAAACTTATTTGTGATGTGTGTCCTCAACTAACAGAGATGAACCTTTGTTTTGATACAGCAGTTTGGAAACACTCTTTTTGTAGAATCTACAAGAGGATATTTTGAGAGCATTGAAAATTTCGTTGGAAGCGGGAAAACCTTCATATAAAATCTAGACAGCAGCATTCTCAGAAACTTCTTTGTGATGTTTGCATTCAACTCATAGAGTTGAACATTCCCATTCATACAGCAGGTTTGAGACACTCTTTGTATAGCATGTGGAAATGGATATTTGGAGCGCTTTGAGGCCTATGGTGAAGAAGGAAATATCTTCCCAAAAAAACTAGACGAAAGCATTCTCGGAATCTTGTTTGCCATGTGTGTACTCAACTAACAGAGTTGAACCTATCTTTTGAGAGAGCAGTTTTGAAACACTCTTTTTGTGGAATCTGCAAGTGGATATTTGGATAGCTTCGAGGATTTCGTTGGAAACGGGAATATCCTCATATAAAATCTAGACGGAAGCATTCTCAGAACCTGCTTTGTGATGTTTGCATTCAACTCACAGAGCTGAACATTCCCGTTCATAGAGCAGGTTTGAAACACTCTTTCTGTACTATCTGGAAGTGGACATTTCGAGCGCTTTCAGGCCTATGGTGAAAAAGGAAACATCTTCAAATAAAAACTAGACAGAAGCATTCTCAGAAACTTATTTGTGATGTGTGTCCTCAACTCACAGAGTTCAACCTTTGTTTTGATACAGCAGTTTGGAAACACTCTTTTTGTAGAATCTACAAATGGATATTTGGAGAACTTTGAAAATTTCGTTGGACACGGGAATATCTTCATATAAAATCTAGACAAAAGCATTCTCAGAATCTTCTTTGTGATGTTTGCATTCAACTCATAGAGTTGAACATTCCCTTTCATACAGCACGTTTGAAACACACTTTGTGGAGTATGTGGAAATGGACATTTCGAGCACTCTTAGGCCTAAGGTGAAAAGGGAAATATCTTCAAATAAAAACTAGTCAGCAGCATTCTCAGAAACCTCTTTGTGATGTGTGTACTCAACTAACAGAGTTGAACCTTCCTTTTCACAGAGCAGTTTGGAAACACTCTTTTTGTGGCATTTGCAAGTGGATATTTGGATAGCTTTGAGGATTTCATTGGAAACGGGAATATTTTCATATAAAATCTAGACAGAAGCATTCTCAGAATCTTCTTTGTGATGTATGCCCTCAATTCACAGAGTTGAACCTTTGTTTGGATACAGCATTTTGGAAACATTCCTTTTGTAGAATCTGCAAGTTCATATTTGGATAGCTTTGAGGATTTCGTTGGAAACGGGAATATCTACATATAAAATCTAGACAGAAGCATTCTCAGAAACCTCTTTGTAATGCTTGCATTCAACTCATAGGTTTCAACATTCCCTATCATAGAGCAGGTTTGAAACACTCTTTTTGTAGTATGTGGAAGTGGACATTTGGAGCGCTTTGAGGCCTACGGTGAAAAAGGAAATATCTTCCCATAAAAACTAGACAGAAGCATTCTCAGAAACTTGTTTGTGACGTGTGTATTCAACTAACAGAGTTGAACCTTTCTTTTTACAGAGCAGCTTTGAAACACGCTTTTTGTGGAATCTGCAATTGGAAATTTCGATAGTTCTGAGGATTTCATTGGAAACGGGATTACAAATAGAAAGTAGACAGCAGCATTCTCAGAAACTGCTTTGTGATGTTTGCATTCAAGTCACCTAGTTGAACATTCCCTTTCATAGAGCAGGTTTGAATCACTGTTTCTGTCGTATCTGGAAGTGGATATTTCGAGCGTTTTCAGGCCTAAGGTGAGAAAGGAAATGTCTTCAAATAAGAACTAGACAGAAGCATTCTCAGAAACTTATTTGTGATGTGTGTCCTCAACTAACAGAGTTGAACCTTTCTTTTGACACAGCAGTTTGGAAACACTCTTTTTGTAGAATCTACAAGTGGATATTTTGAGAGCATTGAAAATTTCGTTGGAAACGGGAAAACCTTCATATAAAATCTAGACAGAAGCATTCTCAGAAACTTCTTTGTAATGTTTGCATTCAACTCATAGAGTTGAACATTCCCTTTCATACAGCAGGTTTGAAACACTCTTTTTGTAGTATGTGGACGTGGACATTTGGAGCGCTTTGAGGCCTACGGTGAAAAAGGAAATATCTTCCCATAAAAACTAGACAGAAGCATTCTCAGAAACTTGTTTGTGACGTGTGTATTCAACTAACAGAGTTGAACCTTTCTTTTTACAGAGCAGCTTTGAAACACGCTTTTTGTGGAATCTGCAATTGGAAATTTCGATAGTTCTGAGGATTTCGTTGGAAACGGGATTACAAATAGAAAGTAGACAGCAGCATTCTCAGAAACTGCTTTGTGATGTTTGCATTCAAGTCACCTAGTTGAACATTCCCTTTCATAGAGCAGGTTTGAATCACAGTTTCTGTCGTATCTGGAAGTGGATATTTCGAGCGCTTTCAAGCCTAAGGTGAGAAAGGAAATGTCTTCAAATAAGAACTAGACAGAAGCATTCTCAGAAACTTATTTGTGATGTGTGTCCTCAACTAACAGAGATGAACCTTTGTTTTGATACAGCAGTTTGGAAACACTCTTTTTGTAGAATCTACAAGAGGATATTTTGAGAGCATTGAAAATTTCGTTGGAAGCGGGAAAACCTTCATATAAAATCTAGACAGCAGCATTCTCAGAAACTTCTTTGTGATGTTTGCATTCAACTCATAGAGTTGAACATTCCCATTCATACAGCAGGTTTGAGACACTCTTTGTATAGCATGTGGAAATGGATATTTGGAGCGCTTTGAGGCCTATGGTGAAGAAGGAAATATCTTCCCAAAAAAACTAGACGAAAGCATTCTCGGAATCTTGTTTGCCATGTGTGTACTCAACTAACAGAGTTGAACCTATCTTTTGACAGAGCAGTTTTGAAACACTGTTTTTGTGGAATCTGCAAGTGGATATTTGGATAGCTTCGAGGATTTCGTTGGAAACGGGAATATCCTCATTTAAAATCTAGACGGAAGCATTCTCGGAACCTGCTTTGTGATGTTTGCATTCAACTCACAGAGCTGAACATTCCCGTTCATAGAGCAGGTTTGAAACACTCTTTCTGTACTATCTGGAAGGGGACATTTCGAGCGCTTTCAGGCCTATGGTGAAAAAGGAAACATCTTCAAATAAAAACTAGACAGAAGCATTCTCAGAAACTTACTTGTGATGTGTGTCCTCAACTCACAGAGTTCAACCTTTGTTTTGATACAGCAGTTTGGAAACACTCTTTTTGTAGAATCTACAAATGGATATTTGGAGACCTTTGAAAATTTCGTTGGACACGGGAATATCTTCATATAAAATCTAGACAAAAGCATTCTCAGAATCTTCTTTGTGATGTTTGCATTCAACTCATAGAGTTGAACATTCCCTTTCATACAGCACGTTTGAAACACACTTTGTGGAGTATGTGGAAATGGACATTTCGAGCACTCTTAGGCCTAAGGTGAAAAGGGAAATATCTTCAAATAAAAACTAGTCAGCAGCATTCTCAGACACCTCTTTGTGATGTGTGTACTCAACTAACAGAGTTGAACCTTCCTTTTCACAGAGCAGTTTGGAAACACTCTTTTTGTGGCATTTGCAAGTGGATATTTGGATAGCTTTGAGGATTTCGTTGGAAACGGGAATATTTTCATATAAAATCTAGACAGAAGCATTCTCAGAATCTTCTTTGTTATGTATGCCCTCAATTCACAGAGTTGAACCTTTGTTTGGATACAGCATTTTGGAAACATTCCTTTTGTAGAATCTGCAAGTTGATATTTGGATAGCTTTGAGGATTTCGGTTGGAAACGGGAATATCTACATATAAAATCTAGACAGAAGCATTCTCAGAAACTTGTTTGTGACGTGTGTATTCAACTAACAGAGTTGAAACTTTCTTCTTACAGAGCAGCTTTGAAACACTCTTTTGGTGGAATCTGCAATTGGAAATTTCGATAGTTCTGAGGATTTCGTTGGAAACGGGATTACAAATAGAAAGTAGACAGCAGCATTCTCAGAAACTGCTTTGTGATGTTTGTATTCAAGTCACCTAGTTGAACATTCCCTTTCATAGAGGAGGTTTGAATCACTGTTTCTGTAGTATCTGGAAGTGGATATTGCGAGCGCTTTCAGGCCTAAGGTGAGAAAGGTAATGTCTTTAAATCCGAACTAGACAGAAGCATTCTCAGAAACTTATTTGTGATGTGTGTCCTCAACTGACAGAGTTGAACCTTTGTTTTGATACAGCAGTTTGGAAACACTCTTTCTGGAGAATCTACAAGTGGATATTTTGAGAGCATTGAAAATTTTGTTGGAAGCGGGAAAACCTTCATATAAAATCTAGACAGAAGCATTCTCCGAAACTTCATTGTGTTGTTTGCATTCAACTCATGGAGTTGAACATTCCCTTTGATACAGCAGGTTTGAAACACTCTTTGTGTAGTATGTTGAAATGGACTTTTCGAGCGCTTTGAAGCCTATGGTGAAAAAAGAAATATCTTCCCATAAAATGTAGACAGAAGCTTTCTCAGAAACTTCTTTGTGATGTGTGTACTCAAGTAACAGAGTTGAACCTTCCTCGTGACAGAGCAGTTTTGAAACACTCTTTTTTTAGAATCTACAAGTGGATATTTGGATAGATTTGAGGATTACAATGGAAAAGGCAATATCTTCACATAAAATCTAGACAGAAGCACTCAGAGAAGCTTCTTTGTGATGAATGCATTCATCACACAGAGTTGAAACTTTGTTTTGATTTAGCAGTTTGAGACAATCTTTCCGTAGAATCTTGAAGTGAATATTTGGAGGGCTTGGAGTTCTGTTTTAGAGAAGGAGATATCTTCATCAAAAACTACACAGCAGCATTCTCAGAAACTTCTTTGTGATGTTTGCATTCAACTCATAGAGTTGAACATTCCCATTCATACAGCAGGTTTGAGACACTCTTTGTATAGCATGTGGAAATGGATATTTGGAGCGCTTTGAGGCCTATGGTGAAGAAGGAAATATCTTCCCAAAAAAACTAGACGAAAGCATTCTCGGAATCTTGTTTGCCATGTGTGTACTCAACTAACAGAGTTGAACCGATCTTTTGACAGAGCAGTTTTGAAACACTCTTTTTGTGGAATCTTCAAGTGGATGTTTGGATAGCTTCGAGGATTTCGTTGGAAACGGGAATATCCTCATTTAAAATCTAGACGGAAGCATTCTCAGAACCTGCTTTGTGATGTTTGCATTCAACTCACAGAGCTGAACATTCCCGTTCATAGAGCAGGTTTGAAACACTCTTTCTGTACTATCTGGAAGTGGACATTTCGAGCGCTTTCAGGCCTATGGTGAAAAAGGAAACATCTTCAAATAAAAACTAGACAGAAGCATTCTCAGAAACTTATTTGTGATGTGTGTCCTCAACTCACAGAGTTCAACCTTTGTTTTGATACAGCAGTTTGGAAACACTCTTTTTGTAGAATCTACAAATGGATATTTGGAGACCTTTGAAAATTTCGTTGGACACGGGAATATCTTCATATAAAATCTAGACAAAAGCATTCTCAGAATCTTCTTTGTGATGTTTGCATTCAACTCATAGAGTTGAACATTCCCTTTCATACAGCACGTTTGAAACACACTTTGTGGAGTATGTGGAAATGGACATTTCGAGCACTCTTAGGCCTAAGGTGAAAAGGGAAATATCTTCAAATAAAAACTAGTCAGCAGCATTCTCAGAAACCTCTTTGTGATGTGTGTACTCAACTAACAGAGTTGAACCTTCCTTTTCACAGAGCAGTTTGGAAACACTCTTTTTGAGGCATTTGCAAGTGGATATTTGGATAGCTTTGAGGATTTCGTTGGAAACGGGAATATTTTCATATAAAATCTAGACAGAAGCATTCTCAGAATCTTCTTTGTGATGTATGCCCTCAATTCACAGAGTTGAACCTTTGTTTGGATACAGCATTTTGGAAACATTCCTTTTGTAGAATCTGCAAGTTGATATTTGGATAGCTTTGAGGATTTCGTTGGAAACGGGAATATCTACATATAAAATCTAGACAGAAGCATTCTCTCGAAACCTCTTTGTAATGTTTGCATTCAACTCATAGGTTTCAACATTCCCTATCATAGAGCAGGTTTGATACACTCTTTTTGTAGTATGTGGAAGTGGACATTTGGAGCGCTTTGAGGCCTACGGTGAAAAAGGAAATATCTTCCCATAAAAACTAGACAGAAGCATTCTCAGAAACTTGTTTCTGACGTGTATTCAACTAACAGAGTTGAACCTTTCTTTTTACAGAGCAGCTTTGAAACACTCTTTTTGTGGAATCTGCAATTGGAAATTTCGATAGTTCTGAGGATTTCGTTGGAAACGGGATTACAAATAGAAAGTCGACAGCAGCATTCTCAGAAACTGCTTTGTGATGTTTGCATTCAAGTCACATAGTTGAACATTCCCTTTCATAGAGCAGGTTTGAATCACTGTCTCTGTAGTATCTGGAAGTGGATATTTCGAGCGCTTTCAGGCCTAAGGTGAGAAAGGAAATGTCTTCAAATAAGAAGTAGACAGAAGCATTCTCAGAAACTTATTTGTGATGTGTGTCCTCAACTAACAGAGTTGAATCTTTGTTTTGATACAGCAGTTTGGAAACACTCTTTTTGTAGAATCTACAAGTGGATATTTTGAGAGCATTGAAAATTTCGTTGGAAACGGGAAAACCTTCATATAAATTCTAGACAGAAGCATTCTAAGAAACTACTTTGTAATGTTTGCATTCAACTCATAGAGTTGCACATTCCGGTTCATACAGCAGGTTTGAAACACTCTTTTTGTAGTATGTGGAAATGGACAGTTGGAGCCCTTTGAGGCCTACGGTGAAAAAGGAAATATCTTCCCATAAAAACTAGACAGAAGCATTCTCAGAAACTTGTTTGTGACGTGTGTATTCAACTAACAGAGTTGAACCTTTCTTTTTACAGGGCAGCTTTGAAACACTCTTTTTGTGGAATCTGCAATTGAAAATTTCGATAGTTCTGAGGATTTCGTTGGAAACGGGATTACAAATAGAAAGTAGACAGCAGCATTCTGAGAAACTGCTTTGTGATGTTTGCATTCAAGTCCCCTAGTTGAACATTCCCTTTCATAGAGCAGGTTTGAATCACTATTTCTGTACTATCTGGAAGTGGATATTTCGAGCGCTTTCAGGCCTAAGGTGAGAAAGGAAACGTCTTCAAATAAGAACTAGACAGAAGAATTCTCAGAAACTTATTTGTGATGTGTGTCTTCAACTAACAGAGTTGAACATTTGTTTTGATACAGCAGTTTGGAAACACTCTTTTTGTAGAATCTACAAGTGGATATTTTGAGAGCATTGAAAATTTCGTTGGAAACGGGAATACCTTCATATAAAATCTAGACAGAAGCATTCTCAGTAAACTTCTTTGTAATGTTTGCATTCAACTCATAGAGTTGAACATTCCCTTTCATACAGCAGGTTTGAAACACTCTTTTTGTAGTATGTGGAAGTGGACACTTGGAGCGCTTTGAGGCCTACGGTGAAAAAGGAAATATCTTCCCATAAAAACTAGACAGAAGCATTCTCAGAAACTTGTTTGTGACGTGTGTATTCAACTAACAGAGTTGAACCTTTCTTTTTACAGAGCAGCTTTGAAACCCTGTTTCTGTGGAATCTGCAATTGGAAATTTCGATAGTTCTGAGGATTTCGTTGGAAACGGGATTACAAATAGAAAGTAGACAGCAGCATTCTCAGAAACTGCTTTGTGATGTTTGCATTCAAGTCACCTAGTAGAACATTCCCTTTCATAGAGCAGGTTTGAATCACTGTTTCTGTCGTATCTGGAAGTGGATATTTCGAGCGTTTTCAGGCCTAAGGTGAGAAAGGAAATGTCTTCAAATAAGAACTAGACAGAAGCATTCTCAGAAACTTATTTGTGATGTGTGTCCTCAACTAACAGAGTTGAACCTTTCTTTTGACACAGCAGTTTGGAAACACTCTTTTTGTAGAATCTACAAGTGGATATTTTGAGAGCATTGAAAATTTCGTTGGAAACGGGAAAACCTTCATATAAAATCTAGACAGAAGCATTCTCAGAAACTTCTTTGCAATGTTTGCATTCAACTCATAGAGTTGAACATTCCCTTTCATACAGCAGGTTTGAAACACTCTTTTTGTAGTATGTGGAAGTGGACATTTGGAGCGCTTTGAGGCCTACGGTGAAAAAGGAAATATCTTCCCATAAAAACTAGACAGAAGCATTCTCAGAAACTTGTTTGTGACGTGTGTATTCAACTAACAGAGTTGAACCTTTCTTTTTACAGAGCAGCTTTGAAACCCTGTTTCTGTGGAATCTGCAATTGGAAATTTCGATAGTTCTGAGGATTTCGTTGCAAACGGGATTACAAATAGAAAGTAGACAGCAGCATTCTCAGAAACTGCTTTGTGATGTTTGCATTCAAGTCACCTAGTTGAACATTCCCTTTCATAGAGCAGGTTTGAATCACTGTTTCTGTCGTATCTGGAAGTGGATATTTCGAGCGTTTTCAGGCCTAAGGTGAGAAAGGAAATGTCTTCAAATAAGAACTAGACAGAAGCATTCTCAGAAACTTATTTGTGATGTGTGTCCTCAACTAACAGAGTTGAACCTTTCTTTTGACACAGCAGTTTGGAAACACTCTTTTTGTAGAATCTACAAGTGGATATTTTGAGAGCATTGAAAATTTCGTTGGAAACGGGAAAACCTTCATATAAAATCTAGACAGAAGCATTCTCAGAAACTTCTTTGTAATGTTTGCATTCAACTCATAGAGTTGAACATTCCCTTTCATACAGCAGGTTTGAAACACTCTTTTTGTAGTATGTGGAAGTGGACATTTGGAGCGCTTTGAGGCCTACGGTGAAAAAGGAAATATCTTCCCATAAAAACTAGACAGAAGCATTCTCAGAAACTTGTTTGTGACGTGTGTATTCAACTAACAGAGTTGAACCTTTCTTTTTACAGAGCAGCTTTGAAACCCTGTTTCTGTGGAATCTGCAATTGGAAATTTCGATAGTTCTGAGGATTTCGTTGGAAACGGGATTACAAATAGAAAGTAGACAGCAAGCATTCTCAGAAACTGCTTTGTGATGTTTGCATTCAAGTCACCTAGTTGAACATTCCCTTTCATAGAGCAGGTTTGAATCACTGTTTCTGTCGTATCTGGAAGTGGATATTTCGAGCGTTTTCAGGCCTAAGGTGAGAAAGGAAATGTCTTCAAATAAGAACTAGACAGAAGCATTCTCAGAAACTTATTTGTGATGTGTGTCCTCAACTAACAGAGTTGAACCTTTCTTTTGACACAGCAGTTTGGAAACACTCTTTTTGTAGAATCTACAAGTGGATATTTTGAGAGCATTGAAAATTTCGTTGGAAACGGGAAAACCTTCATATAAAATCTAGAACAGAAGCATTCTCAGAAACTTCTTTGTAATGTTTGCATTCAACTCATAGAGTTGAACATTCCCTTTCATACAGCAGGTTTGAAACACTCTTTTTGTAGTATGTGGAAGTGGACATTTGGAGCGCTTTGAGGCCTACGGTGAAAAAGGAAATATCTTCCCATAAAAACTAGACAGAAGCATTCTCAGAAACTTGTTTGTGACGTGTGTATTCAACTAACAGAGTTGAACCTTTCTTTTTACAGAGCAGCTTTGAAACACGCTTTTTGTGGAATCTGCAATTGGAAATTTCGATAGTTCTGAGGATTTCGTTGGAAACGGGATTACAAATACAAAGTAGACAGCAGCATTCTCAGAAACTTATTTGTGATGTGTGTCCTCAACTAACAGAGTTGAACCTTTCTTTTGACACAGCAGTTTGGAAACACTCTTTTTGTAGAATCTACAAGTGGATATTTTGAGAGCATTGAAAATTTCGTTGGAAACGGGAAAACCTTCATATAAAATCTAGACAGAAGCATTCTCAGAAACTTCTTTGTAATGTTTGCATTCAACTCATAGAGTTGAACATTCCCTTTCATACAGCAGGTTTGAAACACTCTTTTTGTAGTATGTGGAAGTGGACATTTGGAGTGCTTTGAGGCCTACGGTGAAAAAGGAAATATCTTCCCATAAAAACTAGACAGAAGCAATCTCAGAAACTTGTTTGTGACGTGTGTATTCAACTAACAGAGTTGAACCTTTCTTTTTACAGAGCAGCTTTGAAACACGCTTTTTGTGGAATCTGCAATTGGAAATTTCGATAGTTCTGAGGATTTCGTTGGAAACGGGATTACAAATAGAAAGTAGACAGCAGCATTCTCAGAAACTTATTTGTGATGTGTGTCCTCAACTAACAGAGTTGAACCTTTCTTTTGACACAGCAGTTTGGAAACACTCTTTTTGTAGAATCTACAAGTGGATATTTTGAGAGCATTGAAAATTTCGTTGGAAACGGGAAAACCTTCATATAAAATCTAGACAGAAGCATTCTCAGAAACTTCTTTGTAATGTTTGCATTCGACTCATAGAGTTGAACATTCCCTTTCATACAGCAGGTTTGAAACACTCTTTTTGTAGTATGTGGAAGTGGACATTTGGAGCGCTTTGAGGCCTACGGTGAAAAAGGAAATATCTTCCCATAAAAACTAGACAGAAGCATTCTCAGAAACTTGTTTGTGACGTGTGTATTCAACTAACAGAGTTGAACCTTTCTTTTTACAGAGCAGCTTTGAAACCCTGTTTCTGTGGAATCTGCAATTGGAAATTTCGATAGTTCTGAGGATTTCGTTGGAAACGGGATTACAAATAGAAAGTAGACAGCAGCATTCTCAGAAACTGCTTTGTGATGTTTGCATTCAAGTCACATAGTTGAACATTCCCTTTCATAGAGCAGGTTTGAATCACTGTTTCTGTAGTATCTGGAAGTGGGTATTTCGAGCGCTTTCAGGCCTAAGGTGAGAAAGGAAATGTCTTCAAATAAGAACTAGACAGAAGCATTCTCAGAAACTTATTTGTGATGTGTGTCCTCAACTAACAGAGATAAACCTTTGTTTTGATACAGCAGTTTGGAAACACTCTTTTTGTAGAATCTACAAGAGGATATTTTGAGAGCGTTGAAAATTTCGTTGGAAGCGGGAAAACCTTCATATAAAATCTAGACAGCAGCATTCTCAGAAACTTCTTTGTGATGTTTGCATTCAACTCATAGAGTTGAACGTTCCCTTTCATACAGCAGTTTTGAGACACTCTTTGTATAGTATGTGGAAATGGATATTTGGAGCGCTTTGAGGCCTATGGTGAAGAAGGAAATATCTTCCCAAAAAAACTAGACGAAAGCATTCTCGGAATCTTGTTTGCCATGTGTGTACTCAACTAACAGAGTTGAACCTATCTTTTGACAGAGCAGTTTTGAAACACTCTTTTTGTGGAATCTGCAAGTGGATATTTGGATAGCTTCGAGGATTTCGTTGGAAACGGGAATATCCTCATTTAAAATCTAGACGGAAGCATTCTCAGAACCTGCTTTGTGATGTTTGCATTCAACTCACAGAGCTGAACATTCCCGTTCATAGAGCAGGTTTGAAACACTCTTTCTGTACTATCTGGAAGTGGACATTTCGAGCGCTTTCAGGCCTATGGTGAAAAAGGAAATATCTTCAAATAAAAACTAGACAGAAGCATTCTCAGAAACTTATTTGTGATGTGTGTCCTCAACTCACAGAGTTCAACCTTTGTTTTGATACAGCAGTTTGGAAACACTCTTTTTGTAGAATCTACAAATGGATATTTGGAGACCATTGAAAATTTCGTTGGACACGGGAATATCTTCATATAAAATCTAGACAAAAGCATTCTCAGAATCTTCTTTGTGATGTTTGCATTCAACTCATAGAGTTGAACATTCCCTTTCATACAGCACGTTTGGAACACACTTTGTGGAGTATGTGGAAATGGACATTTCGAGCACTCTTAGGCCTAAGGTGAAAAGGGAAATATCTTCAAATAAAAACTAGCCAGCAGCATTCTCAGAAACCTCTTTGTGATGTGTGTACTCAACTAACAGAGTTGAACCTTCCTTTTCACAGAGCAGTTTGGAAACACTCTTTTTGTGGCATTTGCAAGTGGATATTTGGATAGCTTTTGAGGATTTCGTTGGAAACGGGAATATTTTCATATAAAATCTAGACAGAAGCATTCTCAGAATCTTCTTTGTGATGTATGCCCTCAATTCACAGAGTTGAACCTTTGTTTGGATACAGCATTTTGGAAACATTCCTTTTGTAGAATCTGCAAGTTGATATTTGGATAGCTTTGAGGATTTCGTTGGAAACGGGAATATCTACATATAAAATCTAGACAGAAGCATTCTCAGAAACCTCTTTGTAATGCTTGCATTCAACTCATAGGTTTCAACATTCCCTATCATAGAGCAGGTTTGAAACACTCTTTTTGTAGTATGTGGAAGTGGACATTTGGAGCGCTTTGAGGCCTACGGTGAAAAAGGAAATATCTTCCCATAAAAACTAGACAGAAGCATTCTCAGAAACTTGTTTGTGACGTGTGTATTCAACTAACAGAGTTGAACCTTTCTTTTTACAGAGCAGCTTTGAAACACGCTTTTTGTGGAATCTGCAATTGGAAATTTTGATAGTTCTGAGGATTTCGTTGGAAACGGGATTACAAATAGAAAGTAGACAGCAGCATTCTCAGAAACTTATTTGTGATGTGTGTCCTCAACTAACAGAGTTGAACTTTTCTTTTGACACAGCAGTTTGGAAACACTCTTTTTGTAGAATCTACAGGTGGATATTTTGAGAGCATTGAAAATTTCGTTGGAAACGGGAAAACCTTCATATAAAATCTAGACAGAAGCATTCTCAGAAACTTCTTTGTAATGTTTGCATTCAACTCATAGAGTTGAACATTCCCTTTCATACAGCAGGTTTGAAACACTCTTTTTGTAGTATGTGGAAGTGGACATTTGGAGCGCTTTGAGGCCTACGGTGAAAAAGGAAATATCTTCCCATAAAAACTAGACAGAACCATTCTCAGAAACTTGTTTGTGACGTGTGTATTCAACTAACAGAGTTGAACCTTTCTTTTTACAGAGCAGCTTTGAAACACTCTTTTTGTGGAATCTGCAATTGGAAATTTCGATAGTTCTGAGGATTTCGTTGGAAACGGGATTACAAATAGAAAGTAGACAGCAGCATTCTCAGAATCTGCTTTGTGATGTTTGCATTCAAGTCACCTAGTTGAACATTCCCTTTCATAGAGCAGGTTTGAATCACTGTTTCTGTAGTACCTGGAAGTGGGTATTTCGATCGCTTTCAGGCCTAAGGTGAGAAAGGAAATGTCTTCAAATCAGAACTAGACAGAAGCATTCTCAGAAACTTATTTGTGATGTGTGTCCTCAACTAACAGAGATGAACCTTTGTTTTGATACAGCAGTTTGGAAACACTCTTTTTGTAGAATCTACAAGAGGATATTTTGAGAGCATTGAAAATTTCGTTGGAAGCGGGAAAACCTTCATATAAAATCTAGACAGCAGCATTCTCAGAAACTTCTTTGTGATGTTTGCATTCAACTCATAGAGTTGAACATTCCCATTCATACAGCAGGTTTGAGACACTCTTTGTATAGCATGTGGAAATGGATATTTGGAGCGCTTTGAGGCCTATGGTGAAGAAGGAAATATCTTCCCAAAAAAACTAGACGAAAGCATTCTCGGAATCTTGTTTGCCATGTGTGTACTCAACTAACCGAGTTGAACCTATCTTTTGAGAGAGCAGTTTTGAAACACTCTTTCTGTGGAATCTGCAAGTGGATATTTGGATAGCTTCGAGGATTTCGTTGGAAACGGGAATATCCTCATTTAAAATCTAGACGGAAGCATTCTCAGAACCTGCTTTGTGATGTTTGCATTCAACTCACGGAGCTGAACATTCCCGTTCATAGAGCAGGTTTGAAACACTCTTTCTGTACTATCTGGAAGTGGACATTTCGAGCGCTTTCAGGCCTATGGTGAAAAAGGAAACATCTTCAAATAAAAACTAGACAGAAGCATTCTCAGAAACTTATTTGTGATGTGTGTCCTCAACTCACAGAGTTCAACCTTTGTTTTGATACAGCAGTTTGGAAACACTCTTTTTGTAGAATCTACAAATGGATATTTGGAGACCTTTGAAAATTTCGTTGGACACGGGAATATCTTCATATAAAATCTAGACAAAAGCATTCTCAGAATCTTCTTTGTGATGTTTGCATTCAACTCATAGAGTTGAACATTCCCTTTCATACAGCACGTTTGAAACACACTTTGTGGAGTATGTGGAAATGGACATTTCGAGCACTCTTAGGCCTAAGGTGAAAAGGGAAATATCTTCAAATAAAAACTAGTCAGCAGCATTCTCAGAAACCTCTTTGTGATGTGTGTACTCAACTAACAGAGTTGAACCTTCCTTTTCACAGAGCAGTTTGGAAACACTCTTTTTGTGGCATTTGCAAGTGGATATTTGGATAGCTTTGAGGATTTCGTTGGAAACGGCAATATTTTCATATAAAATCTAGACAGAAGCATTCTCAGAATCTTCTTTGTGATGTATGCCCTCAATTCACAGAGTTGAACCTTTGTTTGGATACAGCATTTTGGAAACATTCCTTTTGTAGAATCTGCAAGTTGATATTTGGATAGCTTTGAGGATTTCGTTGGAAACGGGAATATCTACATATAAAATCTAGACAGAAGCATTCTCAGAAACCTCTTTGTAATGCTTGCATTCAACTCATAGGTTTCAACATTCCCTATCATAGAGCAGGTTTGAAACACTCTTTTTGTAGTATGTGGAAGTGGACATTTGGAGCGCTTTGAGGCCTACCGTGAAAAAGGAAATATCTTCCCATAAAAACTAGACAGAAAGCATTCTCAGAAACTTGTTTGTGACGTGTGTATTCAACTAACAGAGTTGAACCTTTCTTTTTACAGAGCAGCTTTGAAACACGCTTTTTGTGGAATCTGCAATTGGAAATTTTGATAGTTCTGAGGATTTCGTTGGAAACGGGATTACAAATAGAAAGTAGACAGCAGCATTCTCAGAAACTGCTTTGTGATGTTTGCATTCAAGTCACCTAGTTGAACATTCCCTTTCATAGAGCAGGTGTGAATCCCTGTTTCTGTCGTATCTGGAAGTGGATATTTCGAGCGTTTTCAGGCCTAAGGTGAGAAAGGAAATGTCTTCAAATAAGAACTAGACAGAAGCATTCTCAGAAACTTATTTGTGATGTGTGTCCTCAACTAACAGAGATGAAACTTTGTTTTGACACAGCAGTTTAGAAACACTCTTTTTGTAGAATCTACAAGAGGATATTTTGAGAGCATTGAAAATTTCATTGGAAGCGGGAAAACCTTCATATAAAATCTAGACAGCAGCATTCTCAGAAACTTCTTTGTGATGTTTGCATTCAACTCATAGAGTTGAACATTCCCATTCATACAGCAGGTTTGAGACACTCTTTGTATAGTATGTGGAAATGGATATTTGGAGCGCTTTGAGGCCTATGGTGAAGAAGGAAATATCTTCCCAAAAAAACTAGACGAAAAGCATTCTCGCAATCTTGTTTGCCATGTGTGTACTCAACTAACAGAGTTGAACCTATCTTTTGACAGAGCAGTTTTGAAACACTCTTTTTGTGGAATCTGCAAATGGATATTTGGATAGCTTCGAGGATTTCCTTGGAAACGGGAATATCCTCATATAAAATCTAGACGGAGCATTCTCAGAACCTGCTTTGTGATGTTTGCATTCAACTCACAGAGCTGAACATTCCTGTTCATAGAGCAGGTTTGAAACACTCTTTCTGTACTATCTGGAAGTGGACATTTCGAGCGCTTTCAGGCCTATGGTGAAAAAGGAAATATCTTCAAATAAAAACTAGACAGAAGCATTCTCAGAAACTTATTTGTGATGTGTGTCCTCAACTCACAGAGTTCAACCTTTGTTTTGATACAGCAGTTTGGAAACACTCTTTTTGTAGAATCTACAAATGGATATTTGGAGACCTTTGAAAATTTCGTTGGACACGGGAATATCTTCATATAAAATCTAGACAAAAGCATTCTCAGAATCTTCTTTGTGATGTTTGCATTCAACTCATAGAGTTGAACATTCCCTTTCATACAGCACGTTTGAAACACACTTTGTGGAGTATGTGGAAATGGACATTTCGAGCACTCTTAGGCCTAAGGTGAAAAGGGAAATATCTTCAAATAAAAACTAGTCAGCAGCATTCTCAGAAACCTCTTTGTGATGTGTGTACTCAACTAACAGAGTTGAACCTTCCTTTTCACAGAGCAGTTTGGAAACACTCTTTTTGTGGCATTTGCAAGTGGATATTTGGATAGCTTTGAGGATTTCGTTGGAAACGGGAATATTTTCATATAAAATCTAGACAGAAGCATTCTCAGAATCTTCTTTGTGATGTATGCCCTCAATTCACAGAGTTGAACCTTTGTTTGGATACAGCATTTTGGAAACATTCCTTTTGTAGAATCTGCAAGTTGATATTTGGATAGCTTTGAGGATTTCGTTGGAAACGGGAATATCTACATATAAAATCTAGACAGAAGCATTCTCAGAAACCTCTTTGTAATGCTTGCATTCAACTCATAGGTTTCAACATTCCCTATCATAGAGCAGGTTTGAAACACTCTTTTTGTAGTATGTGGAAGTGGACATTTGGAGCGCTTTGAGGCCTACCGTGAAAAAGGAAATATCTTCCCATAAAAACTAGACAGAAGCATTCTCAGAAACTTGTTTGTGACGTGTGTATTCAACTAACAGAGTTGAACCTTTCTTTTTACAGAGCAGCTTTGAAACACGCTTTTTGTGGAATCTGCAATTGGAAATTTCGATAGTTCTGAGGATTTCGTTGGAAACGGGATTACAAATAGAAAGTAGACAGCAGCATTCTCAGAAACTTATTTGTGATGTGTGTCCTCAACTAACAGAGTTGAACCTTTCTTTTGACACAGCAGTTTGGAAACACTCTTTTTGTAGAATCTACAAGTGGATATTTTGAGAGCATTGAAAATTTCGTTGGAAACGGGAAAACCTTCATATAAAATCTAGACAGAAGCATTCTCAGAAACTTCTTTGTGATGTTTGCATTCAACTCATAGAGTTGAACATTCCCATTCATACAGCAGGTTTGAGACACTCTTTGTATAGCATGTGGAAATGGATATTTGGAGCGCTTTGAGGCCTATGGTGAAGAAGGAAATATCTTCCCAAAAAAACTAGACGAAAGCATTCTCGGAATCTTGTTTGCCATGTGTGTACTCAACTAACCGAGTTGAACCTATCTTTTGAGAGAGCAGTTTTGAAACACTCTTTCTGTGGAATCTGCAAGTGGATATTTGGATAGCTTCGAGGATTTCCTTGGAAACGGGAATATCCTCATTTAAAATCTAGACGGAAGCATTCTCAGAACCTGCTTTGTGATGTTTGCATTCAACTCACGGAGCTGAACATTCCCGTTCATAGAGCAGGTTTGAAACACTCTTTCTGTACTCTCTGGAAGTGGACATTTTGAGCGCTTTCAGGCCTATGGTGAAAAAGGAAACATCTTCAAATAAAAACTAGACAGAAGCATTCTCAGAAACTTATTTGTGATGTGTGTCCTCAACTCACAGAGTTCAACCTTTGTTTTGATACAGCAGTTTGGAAACACTCTTTTTGTAGAATCTACAAATGGATATTTGGAGACCTTTGAAAATTTCGTTGGACACGGGAATATCTTCATATAAAATCTAGACAAAAGCATTCTCAGAATCTTCTTTGTGATGTTTGCATTCAACTCATAGAGTTGAACATTCCCTTTCATACAGCACGTTTGAAACACACTTTGTGGAGTATGTGGAAATGGACATTTCGAGCACTCTTAGGCCTAAGGTGAAAAGGGAAATATCTTCAAATAAAAACTAGTCAGCAGCATTCTCAGAAACCTCTTTGTGATGTGTGTACTCAACTAACAGAGTTGAACCTTCCTTTTCACAGAGCAGTTTGGAAACACTCTTTTTGTGGCATTTGCAAGTGGATATTTGGATAGCTTTGAGGATTTCGTTGGAAACGGGAATATTTTCATATAAAATCTAGACAGAAGCATTCTCAGAATCTTCTTTGTGATGTATGCCCTCAATTCACAGAGTTGAACCTTTGTTTGGATACAGCATTTTGGAAACATTCCTTTTGTAGAATCTGCAAGTTGATATTTGGATAGCTTTGAGGATTTCGTTGGAAACGGGAATATCTACATATAAAATCTAGACAGAAGCATTCTCAAAAACCTCTTTGTAATGCTTGCATTCAACTCATAGGTTTCAACATTCCCTATCATAGAGCAGGTTTGAAACACTCTTTTTGTAGTATGTGGAAGTGGACATTTGGAGCGCTTTGAGGCCTACGGTGAAAAAGGAAATATCTTCCCATAAAAACTAGACAGAAGCATTCTCAGAAACTTGTTTGTGACGTGTGTATTCAACTAACAGAGTTGAACCTTTCTTTTTACAGAGCAGCTTTGAAACACGCTTTTTGTGGAATCTGCAATTGGAAATTTCGATAGTTCTGAGGATTTCGTTGGAAACGGGATTACAAATAGAAAGTAGACAGCAGCATTCTCAGAAACTTATTTGTGATGTGTGTCCTCAACTAACAGAGTTGAACCTTTCTTTTGACACAGCAGTTTGGAAACACTCTTTTTGTAGAATCTACAAGTGGATATTTTGAGAGCATTGAAAATTTCGTTGGAAACGGGAAAACCTTCATATAAAATCTAGACAGAAGCATTCTCAGAAACTTCTTTGTAATGTTTGCATTCAACTCATAGAGTTGAACATTCCCTTTCATACAGCAGGTTTGAAACACTCTTTTTGTAGTATGTGGACGTGGACATTTGGAGCGCTTTGAGGCCTACGGTGAAAAAGGAAATATCTTCCCATAAAAACTAGACAGAAGCATTCTCAGAAACTTGTTTGTGACGTGTGTATTCAACTAACAGAGTTGAACCTTTGTTTTTACAGAGCAGCTTTGAAACACGCTTTTTGTGGAATCTGCAATTGGAAATTTCGATAGTTCTGAGGATTTCGTTGGAAACGGGATTACAAATAGAAAGTAGACAGCAGCATTCTCAGAAACTGCTTTGTGATGTTTGCATTCAAGTCACCTAGTTGAACACTCCCTTTCATAGAGCAGGTTTGAATCACAGTTTCTGTCGTATCTGGAAGTGGATATTTCGAGCGCTTTCAGGCCTAAGGTGAGAAAGGAAATGTCTTCAAATAAGAACTAGACAGAAGCATTCTCAGAAACTTATTTGTGATGTGTGTCCTCAACTAACAGAGATGAACCTTTGTTTTGATACAGCAGTTTGGAAACACTCTTTTTGTAGAATCTACAAGAGGATATTTTGAGAGCATTGAAAATTTCGTTGGAAGCGGGAAAACCTTCATATAAAATCTAGACAGCAGCATTCTCAGAAACTTCTTTGTGATGTTTGCATTCAACTCATAGAGTTGAACATTCCCATTCATACAGCAGGTTTGAGACACTCTTTGTATAGCATGTGGAAATGGATATTTGGAGCGCTTTGAGGCCTATGGTGAAGAAGGAAATATCTTCCCAAAAAAACTAGACGAAACCATTCTCGCAATCTTGTTTGCCATGTGTGTACTCAACTAACAGAGTTGAACCTATCTTTTGACAGAGCAGTTTTGAAACACTCTTTTTGTGGAATCTGCAAGTGGATATTTGGATAGCTTCGAGGATTTCGTTGGAAACGGGAATATCCTCATTTAAAATCTAGACGGAAGCATTCTCGGAACCTGCTTTGTGATGTTTGCATTCAACTCACAGAGCTGAACATTCCCGTTCATAGAGCAGGTTTGAAACACTCTTTCTGTACTATCTGGAAGTGGACATTTCGAGCGCTTTCAGGCCTATGGTGAAAAAGGAAACATCTTCAAATAAAAACTAGACAGAAGCATTCTCAGAAACTTATTTGTGATGTGTGTCCTCAACTCACAGAGTTCAACCTTTGTTTTGATACAGCAGTTTGGAAACACTCTTTTTGTAGAATCTACAAATGGATATTTGGAGACCTTTGAAAATTTCGTTGGACACGGGAATATCTTCATATAAAATCTAGACAAAAGCATTCTCAGAATCTTCTTTGTGATGTTTGCATTCAACTCATAGAGTTGAACATTCCCTTTCATACAGCACGTTTGAAACACACTTTGTGGAGTATGTGGAAATGGACATTTCGAGCACTCTTAGGCCTAAGGTGAAAAGGGAAATATCTTCAAATAAAAACTAGTCAGCAGCATTCTCAGAAACCTCTTTGTGATGTGTGTACTCAACTAACAGAGTTGAACCTTCCTTTTCACAGAGCAGTTGGGAAACACTCTTTTTGTGGCATTTGCAAGTGGATATTTGGATAGCTTTGAGGATTTCGTTGGAAACGGGAATATTTTCATATAAAATCTAGACAGAAGCATTCTCAGAATCTTCTTTGTGATGTATGCCCTCAATTCACAGAGTTGAACCTTTGTTTGGATACAGCATTTTGGAAACATTCCTTTTGCAGAATCTGCAAGTTGATATTTGGATAGCTTTGAGGATTTCGTTGGAAACGGGAATATCTACATATAAAATCTAGACAGAAGCATTCTCAGAAACCTCTTTGTAATGCTTGCATTCAACTCATAGGTTTCAACATTCCCTATCATAGAGCAGGTTTGAAACACTCTTTTTGTAGTATGTGGAAGTGGACATTTGGAGCGCTTTGAGGCCTACCGTGATAAAGGAAATATCTTCCCATAAAAACTAGACAGAAGCATTCTCAGAAACTTGTTTGTGACGTGTGTATTCAACTAACAGAGTTGAACCTTTCTTTTTACAGAGCAGCTTTGAAACACGCTTTTTGTGGAATCTGCAATTGGAAATTTCGATAGTTCTGAGGATTTCGTTGGAAACGGGATTACAAATAGAAAGTAGACAGCAGCATTCTCAGAAACTTATTTGTGATGTGTGTCCTCAACTAACAGAGTTGAACCTTTCTTTTGACACAGCAGTTTGGAAACACTCTTTTTGTAGAATCTACAAGTGGATATTTTGAGAGCATTGAAAATTTCGTTGGAAACGGGAAAACCTTCATATAAAATCTAGACAGAAGCATTCTCAGAAACTTCTTTGTAATGTTTGCATTCAACTCATAGAGTTGAACATTCCCTTTCATACAGCAGGTTTGAAACACTCTTTTTGTAGTATGTGGAAGTGGACATTTGGAGCGCTTTGAGGCCTACGGTGAAAAAGGAAGTATCTTCCCATAAAAACTAGACAGAAGCATTCTCAGAAACTTGTTTGTGACGTGTGTATTCAACTAACAGAGTTGAACCTTTCTTTTTACAGAGCAGCTTTGAAACCCTGTTTCTGTGGAATCTGCAATTGGAAATTTCGATAGTTCTGAGGATTTCGTTGGAAACGGGATTACAAATAGAAAGTAGACAGCAGCATTCTCAGAAACTGCTTTGTGATGTTTGCATTCAAGTCACATAGCTGAACATTCCCTTTCATAGAGCAGGTTTGAATCACTGTTTCTGTAGTATCTGGAAGTGGGTATTTCGAGCGCTTTCAGGCCTAAGGTGAGAAAGGAAATGTCTTCAAATAAGAACTAGACAGAAGCATTCTCAGAAACTTATTTGTGATGTGTGTCCTCAACTAACAGAGATGAACCTTTGTTTTGATACAGCAGTTTGGAAACACTCTTTTTGTAGAATCTACAAGAGGATATTTTGAGAGCATTGAAAATTTCGTTGGAAGCGGGAAAACCTTCATATAAAATCTAGACAGCAGCATTCTCAGAAACTTCTTTGTGATGTTTGCATTCAACTCATAGAGTTGAACATTCCCATTCATACAGCAGGTTTGAGACACTCTTTGTATAGCATGTGGAAATGGATATTTGGAGCGTTTTGAGGCCTATGGTGAAGAAGGAAATATCTTCCCAAAAAAACTAGACGAAAGCATTCTCGGAATCTTGTTTGCCATGTGTGTACTCAACTAACAGAGTTGAACCTATCTTTTGACAGAGCAGTTTTGAAACACTCTTTTTGTGGAATCTGCAAGTGGATATTTGGATAGCTTCGAGGATTTCGTTGGAAACGGGAATATCCTCATTTAAAATCTAGACGGAAGCATTCTCAGAACCTGCTTTGTGATGTTTGCATTCAACTCACAGAGCTGAACATTCCCGTTCATAGAGCAGGTTTGAAACACTCTTTCTGTACTATCTGGAAGTGGACATTTCGAGCACTTTCAGGCCTATGGTGAAAAAGGAAACATCTTCAAATAAAAACTAGACAGAAGCATTCTCAGAAACTTATTTGTGATGTGTGTCCTCAACTCACAGAGTTCAACCTTTGTTTTGATACAGCAGTTTGGAAACACTCTTTTTGTAGAATCTACAAATGGATATTTGGAGACCTTTGAAAATTTCGTTGGACACGGGAATATCTTCATATAAAATCTAGACAAAAGCATTCTCAGAATCTTCTTTGTGATGTTTGCATTCAACTCATAGAGTTGAACATTCCCTTTCATACAGCACGTTTGAAACACACTTTGTGGAGTATGTGGAAATGGACATTTCGAGCACTCTTAGGCCTAAGGTGAAAAGGGAAATATCTTCAAATAAAAACTAGTCAGCAGCATTCTCAGAAACCTCTTTGTGATGTGTGTACTCAACTAACAGAGTTGAACCTTCCTTTTCACAGAGCAGTTTGGAAACACTCTTTTTGTGGCATTTGCAAGTGGATATTTGGATAGCTTTGAGGATTTCGTTGGAAACGGGAATATTTTCATATAAAATCTAGACAGAAGCATTCTCAGAATCTTCTTTGTGATGTATGCCCTCAATTCACAGAGTTGAACCTTTGTTTGGATACAGCATTTTGGAAACATTCCTTTTGTAGAATCTGCAAGTTGATATTTGGATAGCTTTGAGGATTTCGTTGGAAACGGGAATATCTACATATAAAATCTAGACAGAAGCATTCTCAGAAACCTCTTTGTAATGCTTGCATTCAACTCATAGGTTTCAACATTCCCTATCATAGAGCAGGTTTGAAACACTCTTTTTGTAGTATGTGGAAGTGGACATTTGGAGCGCTTTGAGGCCTACGGTGAAAAAGGAAATATCTTCCCATAAAAACTAGACAGAAGCATTCTCAGAAACTTGTTTGTGACGTGTGTATTCAACTAACAGAGTTGAACCTTTCTTTTTACAGAGCAGCTTTGAAACCCTGTTTCTGTGGAATCTGCAATTGGAAATTTTGATAGTTCTGAGGATTTCGTTGGAAACGGGATTACAAATAGAAAGTAGACAGCAGCATTCTCAGAAACTGCTTTGTGATGTTTGCATTCAAGTCACATAGTTGAACATTCCCTTTCATAGAGCAGGTTTGAATCACTGTTTCTGTAGTATCTGGAAGTGGGTATTTCGAGCGCTTTCAGGCCTAAGGTGAGAAAGGAAATGTCTTCAAATAAGAACTAGACAGAAGCATTCTCAGAAACTTATTTGTGATGTGTGTCCTCACCTAACAGAGATGAACCTTTGTTTTGATACAGCAGTTTGGAAACACTCTTTTTGTAGAATCTACAAGAGGATATTTTGAGAGCATTGAAAATTTCGTTGGAAGCGGGAAAACCTTCATATAAAATCTAGACAGCAGCATTCTCAGAAACTTCTTTGTGATGTTTGCATTCAACTCATAGAGTTGAACATTCCCATTCATACAGCAGGTTTGAGACACTCTTTGTATAGCATGTGGAAATGGATATTTGGAGCGCTTTGAGGCCTATGGTGAAGAAGGAAATATCTTCCCAAAAAAACTAGACGAAAGCATTCTCGCAATCTTGTTTGCCATGTGTGTACTCAACTAACAGAGTTGAACCTATCTTTTGACAGAGCAGTTTTGAAACACTCTTTTTGTGGAATCTGCAAGTGGATATTTGGATAGCTTCGAGGATTTCGTTGGAAACGGGAATATCCTCATTTAAAATCTAGACGGAAGCATTCTCAGAACCTGCTTTGTGATGTTTGCATTCAACTCACAGAGCTGAACATTCCCGTTCATAGAGCAGGTTTGAAACACTCTTTCTGTACTATCTGGAAGTGGACATTTCGAGCGCTTTCAGGCCTATGGTGAAAAAGGAAACATCTTCAAATAAAAACTAGACAGAAGCATTCTCAGAAACTTATTTGTGATGTGTGTCCTCAACTCACAGAGTTCAACCTTTGTTTTGATACAGCAGTTTGGAAACACTCTTTTTGTAGAATCTACAAATGGATATTTGGAGACCTTTGAAAATTTCGTTGGACACGGGAATATCTTCATATAAAATCTAGACAAAAGCATTCTCAGAATCTTCTTTGTGATGTTTGCATTCAACTCATAGAGTTGAACGTTCCCTTTCATACAGCACGTTTGAAACACACTTTGTGGAGTATGTGGAAATGGACATTTCGAGCACTCTTAGGCCTAAGGTGAAAAGGGAAATATCTTCAAATAAAAACTAGTCAGCAGCATTCTCAGAAACCTCTTTGTGATGTGTGTACTCAACTAACAGAGTTGAACCTTCCTTTTCACAGAGCAGTTTGGAAACACTCTTTTTGTGGCATTTGCAAGTGGATATTTGGATAGCTTTGAGGATTTCGTTGGAAACGGGAATATTTTCATATAAAATCTAGACAGAAGCATTCTCAGAATCTTCTTTGTGATGTATGCCCTCAATTCACAGAGTTGAACCTTTGTTTGGATACAGCATTTTGGAAACATTCCTTTTGCAGAATCTGCAAGCTGATATTTGGATAGCTTTGAGGATTTCGTTGGAAACGGGAATATCTACATATAAAATCTAGACAGAAGCATTCTCAGAAACCTCTTTGTAATGCTTGCATTCAACTCATAGGTTTCAACATTCCCTATCATAGAGCAGGTTTGAAACACTCTTTTTGTAGTATGTGGAAGTGGACATTTGGAGCGCTTTGAGGCCTAC
This sequence comes from Homo sapiens, assembly GCF_000001405.40. NCBI lineage: Eukaryota > Metazoa > Chordata > Mammalia > Primates > Hominidae > Homo > Homo sapiens. The sequence continues at coordinate 19,582,114 of NC_000015.10, forward strand.
GGTGAAAAAGGAAATATCTTCCCATAAAAACTAGACAGAAGCATTCTCAGAAACTTGTCTGTGACGTGTGTATTCAACTAACAGAGTTGAACCTTTCTTTTTACAGAGCAGCTTTGAAACACGCTTTTTGTGGAATCTGCAATTGGAAATTTCGATAGTTCTGAGGATTTCTTTGGAAACGGGATTACAAATAGAAAGTAGACAGCAGCATTCTCAGAAACTGCTTTGTGATGTTTGCATTCAAGTCACCTAGTTGAACATTCCCTTTCATAGAGCAGGTTTGAATCACTGTTTCTGTCGTATCTGGAAGTGGATATTTCGAGCGTTTTCAGGCCTAAGGTGAGAAAGGAAATGTCTTCAAATAAGAACTAGACAGAAGCATTCTCAGAAACTTATTTGTGATGTGTGTCCTCAACTAACAGAGTTGAACATTTCTTTTGACACAGCAGTTTGGAAACACTCTTTTTGTAGAATCTACAAGAGGATATTTTGAGAGCATTGAAAATTTAGTTGGAAACGGGAAAACCTTCATATAAAATCTAGACAGAAGCATTCTCAGAAACTTCTTTGTAATGTTTGCATTCGACTCATAGAGTTGAACATTCCCTTTCATACAGCAGGTTTGAAACACTCTTTTTGTAGTATGTGGAAGTGGACATTTGGAGCGCTTTGAGGCCTACGGTGAAAAAGGAAATATCTTCCCATAAAAACTAGACAGAAGCATTCTCAGAAACTTGTTTGTGACGTGTGTATTCAACTAACAGAGTTGAACCTTTCTTTTTACAGAGCAGCTTTGAAACCCTGTTTCTGTGGAATCTGCAATTGGAAATTTCGATAGTTCTGAGGATTTCGTTGGAAACGGGATTACAAATAGAAAGTAGACAGCAGCATTCTCAGAAACTGCTTTGTGATGTTTGCATTCAAGTCACATAGTTGAACATTCCCTTTCATAGAGCAGGTTTGAATCACTGTTTCTGTAGTATCTGGAAGTGGGAATTTCGAGCGCTTTCAGGCCTAAGGTGAGAAAGGAAATGTCTTCAAATAAGAACTAGACAGAAGCATTCTCAGAAACTTATTTGTGATGTGTGTCCTCAACTAACAGAGATGAACCTTTGTTTTGATACAGCAGTTTGGAAACACTCTTTTTGTAGAATCTACAAGAGGATATTTTGAGAGCATTGAAAATTTCGTTGGAAGCGGGAAAACCTTCATATAAAATCTAGACAGCAGCATTCTCAGAAACTTCTTTGTGATGTTTGCATTCAACTCATAGAGTTGAACATTCCCATTCATACAGCAGGTTTGAGACACTCTTTGTATAGCATGTGGAAATGGATATTTGGAGCGCTTTGAGGCCTATGGTGAAGAAGGAAATATCTTCCCTAAAAAACTAGACGAAAGCATTCTCGGAATCTTGTTTGCCATGTGTGTACTCAACTAACAGAGTTGAACCTATCTTTTGACAGAGCAGTTTTGAAACACTCTTTTTGTGGAATCTGCAAGTGGATATTTGGATAGCTTCGAGGATTTCGTTGGAAACGGGAATATCCTCATTTAAAATCTAGACGGAAGCATTCTCAGAACCTGCTGTGTGATGTTTGCATTCAACTCACAGAGCTGAACATTCCCGTTCATAGAGCAGGTTTGAAACACTCTTTCTGTACTATCTGGAAGTGGACATTTCGAGCGCTTTCAGGCCTATGGTGAAAAAGGAAACATCTTCAAATAAAAACTAGACAGAAGCATTCTCAGAAACTTATTTGTGATGTGTGTCCTCAACTCACAGAGTTCAACCTTTGTTTTGATACAGCAGTTTGGAAACACTCTTTTTGTAGAATCTACAAATGGATATTTGGAGACCTTTGAAAATTTCGTTGGACACGGGAATATCTTCATATAAAATCTAGACAAAAGCATTCTCAGAATCTTCTTTGTGATGTTTGCATTCAACTCATAGAGTTGAACATTCCCTTTCATACAGCAAGTTTGAAACACACTTTGTGGAGTATGTGGAAATGGACATTTCGAGCACTCTTAGGCCTAAGGTGAAAAGGGAAATATCTTCAAATAAAAACTAGTCAGCAGCATTCTCAGAAACCTCTTTGTGATGTGTGTACTCAACTAACAGAGTTGAACCTTCCTTTTCACAGAGCAGTTTGGAAACACTCTTTTTGTGGCATTTGCAAGTGGATATTTGGATAGCTTTGAGGATTTCGTTGGAAACGGGAATATTTTCATATAAAATCTAGACAGAAGCATTCTCAGAATCTTCTTTGTGATGTATGCCCTCAATTCACAGAGTTGAACCTTTGTTTGGATACAGCATTTTGGAAACATTCCTTTTGCAGAATCTGCAAGCTGATATTTGGATAGCTTTGAGGATTTCGTTGGAAACGGGAATATCTACATATAAAATCTAGACAGAAGCATTCTCAGAAACCTCTTTGTAATGCTTGCATTCAACTCATAGGTTTCAACATTCCCTATCATAGAGCAGGTTTGAAACACTCTTTTTGTAGTATGTGGAAGTGGACATTTGGAGCGCTTTGAGGCCTACGGTGAAAAAGGAAATATCTTCCCATAAAAACTAGACAGAAGCATTCTCAGAAACTTGTTTGTGACGTGTGTATTCAACTAACAGAGATGAACCTTTCTTTTTACAGAGCAGCTTTGAAACACGCTTTTTGTGGAATCTGCAATTGGAAATTTCGATAGTTCTGAGGATTTCGTTGGAAACGGGATTACAAATAGAAAGTAGACAGCAGCATTCTCAGAAACTTATTTGTGATGTGTGTCCTCAACTAACAGAGTTGAACCTTTCTTTTGACACAGCAGTTTGGAAACACTCTTTTTGTAGAATCTACAAGTGGATATTTTGAGAGCATTGAAAATTTCGTTGGAAACGGGAAAACCTTCATATAAAATCTAGACAGAAGCATTCTCAGAAACTTCTTTGTAATGTTTGCATTCAACTCATAGAGTTGAACATTCCCTTTCATACAGCAGGTTTGAAACACTCTTTTTGTAGTATGTGGACGTGGACATTTGGAGCGCTTTGAGGCCTACGGTGAAAAAGGAAATATCTTCCCATAAAAACTAGACAGAAGCATTCTCAGAAACTTGTTTGTGACGTGTGTATTCAACTAACAGAGTTGAACCTTTCTTTTTACAGAGCAGCTTTGAAACCCTGTTTCTGTGGAATCTGCAATTGGAAATTTCGATAGTTCTGAGGATTTCGTTGGAAACGGGATTACAAATAGAAAGTAGACAGCAGCATTCTCAGAAACTGCTTTGTGATGTTTGCATTCAAGTCACCTAGTTGAACATTCCCTTTCATAGAGCAGGTTTGAATCACTGTTTCTGTAGTATCTGGAAGTGGGTATTTCGAGCGCTTTCAGGCCTAAGGTGAGAAAGGAAATGTCTTCAAATAAGAACTAGACAGAAGCATTCTCAGAAACTTATTTGTGATGTGTGTCCTCAACTAACAGAGATGAACCTTTGTTTTGATACAGCAGTTTGGAAACACTCTTTTTGTAGAATCTACAAGAGGATATTTTGAGAGCATTGAAAATTTCGTTGGAAGCGGGAAAACCTTCATATAAACTCTAGACAGCAGCATTCTCAGAAACTTCTTTGTGATGTTTGCATTCAACTCATAGAGTTGAACATTCCCATTCATACAGCAGGTTTGAGACACTCTTTGTATAGCATGTGGAAATGGATATTTGGAGCGCTTTGAGGCCTATGGTGAAGAAGGAAATATCTTCCCAAAAAAACTAGACGAAAGCATTCTCGCAATCTTGTTTGCCATGTGTGTACTCAACTAACAGAGTTGAACCTATCTTTTGACAGAGCAGTTTTGAAACACTCTTTTTGTGGAATCTGCAAGTGGATATTTGGATAGCTTCGAGGATTTCGTTGGAAACGGGAATATCCTCATTTAAAATCTAGACGGAAGCATTCTCAGAACCTGCTTTGTGATGTTTGCATTCAACTCACAGAGCTGAACATTCCCGTTCATAGAGCAGGTTTGAAACACTCTTTCTGTACTATCTGGAAGTGGACATTTCGAGCGCTTTCAGGCCTATGGTGAAAAAGGAAACATCTTCAAATAAAAACTAGACAGAAGCATTCTCAGAAACTTATTTGTGATGTGTGTCCTCAACTCACAGAGTTCAACCTTTGTTTTGATACAGCAGTTTGGAAACACTCTTTTTGTAGAATCTACAAATGGATATTTGGAGACCTTTGAAAATTTCGTTGGACACGGGAATATCTTCATATAAAATCTAGACAAAAGCATTCTCAGAATCTTCTTTGTGATGTTTGCATTCAACTCATAGAGTTGAACATTCCCTTTCATACAGCACGTTTGAAACACACTTTGTGGAGTATGTGGAAATGGACATTTCGAGCACTCTTAGGCCTAAGGTGAAAAGGGAAATATCTTCAAATAAAAACTAGTCAGCAGCATTCTCAGAAACCTCTTTGTGATGTGTGTACTCAACTAACAGAGTTGAACCTTCCTTTTCACAGAGCAGTTTGGAAACACTCTTTTTGTGGCATTTGCAAGTGGATATTTGGATAGCTTTGAGGATTTCGTTGGAAACGGGAATATTTTCATATAAAATCTAGACAGAAGCATTCTCAGAATCTTCTTTGTGATGTATGCCCTCAATTCACAGAGTTGAACCTTTGTTTGGATACAGCATTTTGGAAACATTCCTTTTGCAGAATCTGCAAGCTGATATTTGGATAGCTTTGAGGATTTCGTTGGAAACGGGAATATCTACATATAAAATCTAGACAGAAGCATTCTCAGAAACCTCTTTGTAATGCTTGCATTCAACTCATAGGTTTCAACATTCCCTATCATAGAGCAGGTTTGAAACACTCTTTTTGTAGTATGTGGAAGTGGACATTTGGAGCGCTTTGAGGCCTACGGTGAAAAAGGAAATATCTTCCCATAAAAACTAGACAGAAGCATTCTCAGAAACTTGTTTGTGACGTGTGTATTCAACTAACAGAGTTGAACCTTTCTTATTACAGAGCAGCTTTGAAACACGCTTTTTGTGGAATCTGCAATTGGAAATTTCGATAGTTCTGAGGATTTCGTTGGAAACGGGATTACAAATAGAAAGTAGACAGCAGCATTCTCAGAAACTGCTTTGTGATGTTTGCATTCAAGTCACCTAGTTGAACATTCCCTTTCATAGAGCAGGTTTGAATCACAGTTTCTGTCGTATCTGGAAGTGGATATTTCGAGCGTTTTCAGGCCTAAGGTGAGAAAGGAAATGTCTTCAAATAAGAACTAGACAGAAGCATTCTCAGAAACTTATTTGTGATGTGTGTCCTCAACTAACAGAGATGAACCTTTGTTTTGATACAGCAGTTTGGAAACACTCTTTTTGTAGAATCTACAAGAGGATATTTTGAGAACATTGAAAATTTCGTTGGAAGCGGGAAAACCTTCATATAAAATCTAGACAGCAGCATTCTCAGAAACTTCTTTGTGATGTTTGCATTCAACTCATAGAGTTGAACATTCCCATTCATACAGCAGGTTTGAGACACTCTTTGTATAGCATGTGGAAATGGATATTTGGAGCGCTTTGAGGCCTATGGTGAAGAAGGAAATATCTTCCCAAAAAAACTAGACGAAAGCATTCTCGGAATCTTGTTTGCCATGTGTGTACTCAACTAACAGAGTTGAACCTATCTTTTGACAGAGCAGTTTTGAAACACTCTTTTTGTGGAATCTGCAAGTGGATATTTGGATAGCTTCGAGGATTTCGTTGGAAACGGGAATATCCTCATTTAAAATCTAGACGGAAGCATTCTCAGAACCTGCTTTGTGATGTTTGCATTCAACTCACAGAGCTGAACATTTCCGTTCATAGAGCAGGTTTGAAACACTCTTTCTGTACTATCTGGAAGTGGACATTTCGAGCGCTTTCAGGCCTATGGTGAAAAAGGAAACATCTTCAAATAAAAACTAGACAGAAGCATTCTCAGAAACTTATTTGTGATGTGTGTCCTCAACTCACAGAGTTCAACCTTTGTTTTGATACAGCAGTTTGGAAACACTCTTTTTGTAGAATCTACAAATGGATATTTGGAGACCTTTGAAAATTTCGTTGGACACGGGAATATCTTCATATAAAATCTAGACAAAAGCATTCTCAGAATCTTCTTTGTGATGTTTGCATTCAACTCATAGAGTTGAACATTCCCTTTCATACAGCACGTTTGAAACACACTTTGTGGAGTATGTGGAAATGGACATTTCGAGCACTCTTAGGCCTAAGGTGAAAAGGGAAATATCTTCAAATAAAAACTAGTCAGCAGCATTCTCAGAAACCTCTTTGTGATGTGTGTACTCAACTAACAGAGTTGAACCTTCCTTTTCACAGAGCAGTTTGGAAACACTCTTTTTGTGGCATTTGCAAGTGGATATTTGGATAGCTTTGAGGATTTCGTTGGAAACGGGAATATTTTCATATAAAATCTAGACAGAAGCATTCTCAGAATCTTCTTTGTGATGTATGCCCTCAATTCACAGAGTTGAACCTTTGTTTGGATACAGCATTTTGGAAACATTCCTTTTGCAGAATCTGCAAGTTGATATTTGGATAGCTTTGAGGATTTCGTTGGAAACGGGAATATCTACATATAAAATCTAGACAGAAGCATTCTCAGAAACCTCTTTGTAATGCTTGCATTCAACTCATAGGTTTCAACATTCCCTATCATAGAGCAGGTTTGAAACACTCTTTTTGTAGTATGTGGAAGTGGACATTTGGAGCGCTTTGAGGCCTACGGTGAAAAAGGAAATATCTTCCCATAAAAACTAGACAGAAGCATTCTCAGAAACTTGTTTGTGACGTGTGTATTCAACTAACAGAGTTGAACCTTTCTTTTTACAGAGCAGCTTTGAAACACGCTTTTTGTGGAATCTGCAATTGGAAATTTCGATAGTTGCTGAGGATTTCGTTGGAAACGGGATTACAAATAGAAAGTAGACAGCAGCATTCTCAGAAACTTATTTGTGATGTGTGTCCTCAACTAACAGAGTTGAACCTTTCTTTTGACACAGCAGTTTGGAAACACTCTTTTTGTAGAATCTACAAGTGGATATTTTGAGAGCATTGAAAATTTCCTTGGAAACGGGAAAACCTTCATATAGAATCTAGACAGAAGCATTCTCAGCAAACTTCTTTGTAATGTTTGCATTCAACTCATAGAGTTGAACATTCCCTTTCATACAGCAGGTTTGAAACACTCTTTTTGTAGTATGTGGACGTGGACATTTGGAGCGCTTTGAGGCCTACGGTGAAAAAGGAAATATCTTCCCATAAAAACTAGACAGAAGCATTCTCAGAAACTTGTTTGTGACGTGTGTATTCAACTAACAGAGTTGAACCTTTCTTTTTACAGAGCAGCTTTGAAACCCTGTTTCTGTGGAATCTGCAATTGGAAATTTCGATAGTTCTGAGGATTTCGTTGGAAACGGGATTACAAATAGAAAGTAGACAGCAGCATTCTCAGAAACTGCTTTGTGATGTTTGCATTCAAGTCACCTAGTTGAACATTCCCTTTCATAGAGCAGGTTTGAATCACTGTTTCTGTAGTATCTGGAATTGGGTATTTCGAGCGCTTTCAGGCCTAAGGTGAGAAAGGAAATGTCTTCAAATAAGAACTAGACAGAAGCATTCTCAGAAACTTATTTGTGATGTGTGTCCTCAACTAACAGAGATGAACCTTTGTTTTGATACAGCAGTTTGGAAACACTCTTTTTGTAGAATCTACAAGAGGATATTTTGAGAGCATTGAAAATTTCGTTGGAAGCGGGAAAACCTTCATATAAAATCTAGACAGCAGCATTCTCAGAAACTTCTTTGTGATGTTTGCATTCAACTCATAGAGTTGAACATTCCCATTCATACAGCAGGTTTGAGACACTCTTTGTATAGCATGTGGAAATGGATATTTGGAGCGCTTTGAGGCCTATGGTGAAGAAGGAAATATCTTCCCAAAAAAACTAGACGAAAGCATTCTCGGAATCTTGTTTGCCATGTGTGTACTCAACTAACAGAGTTGAACCTATCTTTTGACAGAGCAGTTTTGAAACACTCTTTTTGTGGAATCTGCAAGTGGATATTTGGATAGCTTCGAGGATTTCGTTGGAAACGGGAATATCCTCATTTAAAACCTAGACGGAAGCATTCTCAGAACCTGCTTTGTGATGTTTGCATTCAACTCACAGAGCTGAACATTCCCGTTCATAGAGCAGGTTTGAAACACTCTTTCTGTACTATCTGGAAGTGGACATTTCGAGCGCTTTCAGGCCTATGGTGAAAAAGGAAACATCTTCAAATAAAAACTAGACAGAAGCATTCTCAGAAACTTATTTGTGATGTGTGTCCTCAACTCACAGAGTTCAACCTTTGTTTTGATACAGCAGTTTGGAAACACTCTTTTTGTAGAATCTACAAATGGATATTTGGAGACCTTTGAAAATTTCGTTGGACACGGGAATATCTTCATATAAAATCTAGACAAAAGCATTCTCAGGAATCTTCTTTGTGATGTTTGCATTCAACTCATAGAGTTGAACATTCCCTTTCATACAGCACGTTTGAAACACACTTTGTGGAGTATGTGGAAATGGACATTTCGAGCACTCTTAGGCCTAAGGTGAAAAGGGAAATATCTTCAAATAAAAACTAGTCAGCAGCATTCTCAGAAACCTCTTTGTGATGTGTGTACTCAACTAACAGAGTTGAACCTTCCTTTTCACAGAGCAGTTTGGAAACACTCTTTTTGTGGCATTTGCAAGTGGATATTTGGATAGCTTTGAGGATTTCGTTGGAAACGGGAATATTTTCATATAAAATCTAGACAGAAGCATTCTCAGAATCTTCTTTGTGATGTATGCCCTCAATTCACAGAGTTGAACCTTTGTTTGGATACAGCATTTTGGAAACATTCCTTTTGTAGAATCTGCAAGTTGATATTTGGATAGCTTTGAGGATTTCGTTGGAAACGGGAATATCTACATATAAAATCTAGACAGAAGCATTCTCAGAAACCTCTTTGTAATGCTTGCATTCAACTCATAGGTTTCAACATTCCCTATCATAGAGCAGGTTTGAAACACTCTTTTTGTAGTATGTGGAAGTGGACATTTGGAGCGCTTTGAGGCCTACGGTGAAAAAGGAAATATCTTCCCATAAAAACTAGACAGAAGCATTCTCAGAAACTTGTTTGTGACGTGTGTATTCAACTAACAGAGTTGAACCTTTCTTTTTACAGAGCAGCTTTGAAACACGCTTTTTGTGGAATCTGCAATTGGAAATTTCGATAGTTCTGAGGATTTCGTTGGAAACGGGATTACAAATAGAAAGTAGACAGCAGCATTCTCAGAAACTTATTTGTGATGTGTGTCCTCAACTAACAGTAGTTGAACCTTTCTTTTGACACAGCAGTTTGGAAACACTCTTTTTGTAGAATCTACAAGTGGATATTTTCAGAGCATTGAAAATTTCGTTGGAAACGGGAAAATCTTCATATAAAATCTAGACAGAAGCATTCTCAGAAACTTCTTTGTAATGTTTGCATTCAACTCATAGAGTTGAACATTCCCTTTCATACAGCAGGTTTGAAACACTCTTTTTGTAGTATGTGGAAGTGGACATTTGGAGCGCTTTGAGGCCTACGGTGAAAAAGGAAATATCTTCCCATAAAAACTAGACAGAAGCATTCTCAGAAACTTGTTTGTGACGTGTGTATTCAACTAACAGAGTTGAACCTTTCTTTTTACAGAGCAGCTTTGAAACCCTGTTTCTGTGGAATCTGCAATTGGAAATTTCGATAGTTCTGAGGATTTCGTTGGAAACGGGATTACAAATACAAAGTAGACAGCAGCATTCTCAGAAACTGCTTTGTGATGTTTGCATTCAAGTCACATAGTTGAACATTCCCTTTCATAGAGCAGGTTTGAATCACTGTTTCTGTAGTATCTGGAAGTGGGTATTTCGAGCGCTTTCAGGCCTAAGGTGAGAAAGGAAATGTCTTCAAATAAGAACTAGACAGAAGCATTCTCAGAAACTTATTTGTGATGTGTGTCCTCAACTAACAGAGATGAACCTTTGTTTTGATACAGCAGTTTGGAAACACTCCTTTTGTAGAATCTACAAGAGGATATTTTGAGAGCATTGAAAATTTCGTTGGAAGCGGGAAAACCTTCATATAAAATCTAGACAGCAGCATTCTCAGAAACTTCTTTGTGATGTTTGCATTCAACTCATAGAGTTGAACATTCCCATTCATACAGCAGGTTTGAGACACTCTTTGTATAGCATGTGGAAATGGATATTTGGAGCGCTTTGAGGCCTTTGGTGAAGAAGGAAATATCTTCCCAAAAAAACTAGACGAAAGCATTCTCGGAATCTTGTTTGCCATGTGTGTACTCAACTAACAGAGTTGAACCTATCTTTTGACAGAGCAGTTTTGAAACACTCTTTTTGTGGAATCTGCAAGTGGATATTTGGATAGCTTCGAGGATTTCGTTGGAAACGGGAATATCCTCATTTAAAATCTAGACGGAAACATTCTCAGAACCTGCTTTGTGATGTTTGCATTCAACTCACAGAGCTGAACATTCCCGTTCATAGAGCAGGTTTGAAACACTCTTTCTGTACTATCTGGAAGTGGACATTTTGAGCGCTTTCAGGCCTATGGTGAAAAAGGAAACATCTTCAAATAAAAACTAGACAGAAGCATTCTCAGAAACTTATTTGTGATGTGTGTCCTCAACTCACAGAGTTCAACCTTTGTTTTGATACAGCAGTTTGGAAACACTCTTTTTGTAGAATCTACAAATGGATATTTGGAGACCTTTGAAAATTTCGTTGGACACGGGAATATCTTCATATAAAATCTAGACAAAACCATTCTCAGAATCTTCTTTGTGATGTTTGCATTCAACTCATAGAGTTGAACATTCCCTTTCATACAGCACGTTTGAAACACACTTTGTGGAGTATGTGGAAATGGACATTTCGAGCACTCTTAGGCCTAAGGTGAAAAGGGAAATATCTTCAAATAAAAACTAGTCAGCAGCATTCTCAGAAACCTCTTTGTGATGTGTGTACTCAACTAACAGAGTTGAACCTTCCTTTTCACAGAGCAGTTTGGAAACACTCTTTTTGTGGCATTTGCAAGTGGATATTTGGATAGCTTTGAGGATTTCGTTGGAAACGGGAATATTTTCATATAAAATCTAGACAGAAGCATTCTCAGAATCTTCTTTGTGATGTATGCCCTCAATTCACAGAGTTGAACCTTTGTTTGGATACAGCATTTTGGAAACATTCCTTTTGTAGAATCTGCAAGTTGATATTTGGATAGCTTTGAGGATTTCGTTGGAAACGGGAATATCTACATATAAAATCTAGACAGAAGCATTCTCAGAAACCTCTTTGTAATGCTTGCATTCAACTCATAGGTTTCAACATGCCCTATCATAGAGCAGGTTTGAAACACTCTTTTTGTAGTATGTGGAAGTGGACATTTGGAGCGCTTTGAGGCCTACGGTGAAAAAGGAAATATCTTCCCATAAAAACTAGACAGAAGCATTCTCAGAAACTTGTTTGTGACGTGTGTATTCAACTAACAGAGTTGAACCTTTCTTTTTACAGAGCAGCTTTGAAACACGCTTTTTGTGGAATCTGCAATTGGAAATTTCGATAGTTCTGAGGATTTCGTTGGAAACGGGATTACAAATAGAAAGTAGACAGCAGCATTCTCAGAAACTTATTTGTGATGTGTGTCCTCAACTAACAGAGTTGAACCTTTCTTTTGACACAGCAGTTTGGAAACACTCTTTTTGTAGAATCTACAAGTGGATATTTTGAGAGCATTGAAAATTTCGTTGGAAACGGGAAAACCTTCATATAAAATCTAGACAGAAGCATTCTCAGAAACTTCTTTGTAATGTTTGCATTCAACTCATAGAGTTGAACATTCCCTTTCATACACCAGGTTTGAAACACTCTTTTTGTAGTATGTGGAAGTTTACATTTGGAGTGCTTTGAGGCCTACGGTGAAAATGGAAATATCTTCCCATAAAAACTAGACAGAAGCATTCTCAGAAACCTGTTTGTGACGTGTGTATTCAACTAACAGAGTTGAACCTTTCTTTTTACAGAGCAGCTTTGAAACCCTGTTTTTGTGGAATCTGCAATTGGAAATTTCGGTAGTTCTGAGTATTTCGTTGGAAACGGTATTACAAATAGAAAGTAGACAGCAGCATTCTCAGAAACTGCTTTGTGATGTTTGCATTCAAGTCACATAGTTGAACATTTCCTTTGATAGAGCAGGTTTGAATCACTGTCTGTGTAGTATCTGGAAGTGGGTGTTTCGAGCGCTTTCAGGCCTAAGATGAGAAAGGAAATGTCTTCAAATAAGAACTAGACAGAAGCATTCTCAGAAACTTATTTGTGATGTGTGTCCTCAACTAACAGAGTTGAACCTTTGTTTTGATACAGCAGTTTGGAAGCACTCTTTTTGTAGAATCTACAAGTGGATATTTTGAGAGCATTGAAAATTTCGTTGGAAGCGGGAAAACCTTCATATAAAATCTAGACAGTAGCATTCTCAGAAACTTCTTTGTGATGTTTGCATTCAACTCATAGAGTTGAACATTCCCATTCATACAGCAGGTTTGAGACACTCTTTGTATAGCATGTGGAAATGGATATTTGGAGCGCTTTGAGGCCTATGGTGAAGAAGGAAATATCTTCCCAAAAAAACTAGACGAAAGCATTCTCGGAATCTTGTTTGCCATGTGTGTACTCAACTAACAGAGTTGAACCTATCTTTTGACAGAGCAGTTTTGAAACACTCTTTTTGTGGAATCTGCAAGTGGATATTTGGATAGCTTCGAGGATTTCGTTGGAAACGGGAATATCCTCATTTAAAATCTAGACGGAAGCATTCTCAGAACCTGCTTTGTGATGTTTGCATTCAACTCACAGGAGGCTGAACATTCCCGTTCATAGAGCAGGTTTGAAACACTCTTTCTGTACTATCTGGAAGTGGACATTTCGAGCGCTTTCAGGCCTATGGTGGAAAAGGAAACATCTTCAAATAAAAACTAGACAGAAGCATTCTCAGAAACTTATTTGTGATGTGTGTCCTCAACTCACAGAGTTCAACCTTTGTTTTGATACAGCAGTTTGGAAACACTCTTTTTGTAGAATCTACAAATGGATATTTGGAGACCTTTGAAAATTTCGTTGGACACGGGAATATCTTCATATAAAATCTAGACAAAAGCATTCTCAGAATCTTCTTTGTGATGTTTGCATTCAACTCATAGAGTTGAACATTCCCTTTCATACAGCACGTTTGAAACACACTTTGTGGAGTATGTGGAAATGGACATTTCGAGCACTCTTAGGCCTAAGGTGAAAAGGGAAATATCTTCAAATAAAAACTAGTCAGCAGCATTCTCAGAAACCTCTTTGTGATGTGTGTACTCAACTAACAGAGTTGAACCTTCCTTTTCACAGAGCAGTTTGGAAACACTCTTTTTGTGGCATTTGCAAGTGGATATTTGGATAGCTTTGAGGATTTCGTTGGAAACGGGAATATTTTCATATAAAATCTAGACAGAAGCATTCTCAGAATCTTCTTTGTGATGTATGCCCTCAATTCACAGAGTTGAACCTTTGTTTGGATACAGCATTTTGGAAACATTCCTTTTGTAGAATCTGCAAGTTGATATTTGGATAGCTTTGAGGATTTCGTTGGAAACGGGAATATCTACATATAAAATCTAGACAGAAGCATTCTCAGAAACCTCTTTGTAATGCTTGCATTCAACTCATAGGTTTCAACATTCCCTATCATAGAGCAGGTTTGAAACACTCTTTTTGTAGTATGTGGAAGTGGACATTTGGAGCGCTTTGAGGCCTACGGTGAAAAAGGAAATATCTTCCCATAAAAACTAGACAGAAGCATTCTCAGAAACTTGTTTGTGACGTGTGTATTCAACTAACAGAGTTGAACCTTTCTTTTTACAGAGCAGCTTTGAAACACGCTTTTTGTGGAATCTGCAATTGGAAATTTCGATAGTTCTGAGGATTTCGTTGGAAACGGGATTACAAATAGAAAGTAGACAGCAGCATTCTCAGAAACTTATTTGTGATGTGTGTCCTCAACTAACAGAGTTGAACCTTTCTTTTGACACAGCAGTTTGGAAACACTCTTTTTGTAGAATCTACAAGTGGATATTTTGAGAGCATTGAAAATTTCGTTGGAAACGGGAAAACCTTCATATAAAATCTAGACAGAAGCATTCTCAGAAACTTCTTTGTAATGTTTGCATTCAACTCATAGAGTTGAACATTCCCTTTCATACAGCAGGTTTGAAACACTCTTTTTGTAGTATGTGGACGTGGACATTTGGAGCGCTTTGAGGCCTACGGTGAAAAAGGAAATATCTTCCCATAAAAACTAGACAGAAGCAATCTCAGAAACTTGTTTGTGACGTGTGTATTCAACTAACAGAGTTGAACCTTTCTTTTTACAGAGCAGCTTTGAAACACGCTTTTTGTGGAATCTGCAATTGGAAATTTCGATAGTTCTGAGGATTTCGTTGGAAACGGGATTACAAATAGAAAGTAGACAGCAGCATTCTCAGAAACTGCTTTGTGATGTTTGCATTCAAGTCACCTAGTTGAACATTCCCTTTCATAGAGCAGGTTTGAATCACAGTTTCTGTCGTATCTGGAAGTGGGTATTTCGAGCGCTTTCAGGCCTAAGGTGAGAAAGGAAATGTCTTCAAATAAGAACTAGACAGAAGCATTCTCAGAAACTTATTTGTGATGTGTGTCCTCAACTAACAGAGATGAACCTTTGTTTTGATACAGCAGTTTGGAAACACTCTTTTTGTAGAATCTACAAGAGGATATTTTGAGAGCATTGAAAATTTCGTTGGAAGCGGGAAAACCTTCATATAAAATCTAGACAGCAGCATTCTCAGAAACTTCTTTGTGATGTTTGCATTCAACTCATAGAGTTGAACATTCCCATTCATACAGCAGGTTTGAGACACTCTTTGTATAGCATGTGGAAATGGATATTTGGAGCGCTTTGAGGCCTATGGTGAAGAAGGAAATATCTTCCCAAAAAAACTAGACGAAAGCATTCTCGGAATCTTGTTTGCCATGTGTGTACTCAACTAACAGAGTTGAACCTATCTTTTGACAGAGCAGTTTTGAAACACTCTTTTTGTGGAATCTGCAAGTGGATATTTGGATAGCTTCGAGGATTTCGTTGGAAACGGGAATATCCTCATTTAAAATCTAGACGGAAGCATTCTCAGAACCTGCTTTGTGATGTTTGCATTCAACTCACAGAGCTGAACATTCCCGTTCATAGAGCAGGTTTGAAACACTCTTTCTGTACTATCTGGAAGTGGACATTTCGAGCGCTTTCAGGCCTATGGTGAAAAAGGAAACATCTTCAAATAAAAACTAGACAGAAGCATTCTCAGAAACTTATTTGTGATGTGTGTCCTCAACTCACAGAGTTCAACCTTTGTTTTGATACAGCAGTTTGGAAACACTCTTTTTGTAGAATCTACAAATGGATATTTGGAGACCTTTGAAAATTTCGTTGGACACGGGAATATCTTCATATAAAATCTAGACAAAAGCATTCTCAGAGTCTTCTTTGTGATGTTTGCATTCAACTCATAGAGTTGAACATTCCCTTTCATACAGCACGTTTGAAACACACTTTGTGGAGTATGTGGAAATGGACATTTCGAGCACTCTTAGGCCTAAGGTGAAAAGGGAAATATCTTCAAATAAAAACTAGTCAGCAGCATTCTCAGAAACCTCTTTGTGATGTGTGTACTCAACTAACAGAGTTGAACCTTCCTTTTCACAGAGCAGTTTGGAAACACTCTTTTTGTGGCAGTTGCAAGTGGATATTTGGATAGCTTTGAGGATTTCGTTGGAAACGGGAATATTTTCATATAAAATCTAGACAGAAGCATTCTCAGAATCTTCTTTGTGATGTATGCCCTCAATTCACAGAGTTGAACCTTTGTTTGGATACAGCATTTTGGAAACATTCCTTTTGTAGAATCTGCAAGTTGATATTTGGATAGTTTGAGGATTTCGTTGGAAACGGGAATATCTACATATAAAATCTAGACAGAAGCATTCTCAGAAACCTCTTTGTAATGCTTGCATTCAACTCATAGGTTTCAACATTCCCTATCATAGAGCAGGTTTGAAACACTCTTTTTGTAGTATGTGGAAGTGGACATTTGGAGCGCTTTGAGGCCTACGGTGAAAAAGGAAATATCTTCCCATAAAAACTAGACAGAAGCATTCTCAGAAACTTGTTTGTGACGTGTGTATTCAACTAACAGAGTTGAACCTTTCTTTTTACAGAGCAGCTTTGAAACACGCTTTTTGTGGAATCTGCAATTGGAAATTTCGATAGTTCTGAGGATTTCGTTGGAAACGGGATTACAAATAGAAAGTAGACAGCAGCATTCTCAGAAACTTATTTGTGATGTGTGTCCTCAACTAACAGAGTTGAACCTTTCTTTTGACACAGCAGTTTGGAAACACTCTTTTTGTAGAATCTACAAGTGGATATTTTGAGAGCATTGAAAATTTCGTTGGAAACGGGAAAACCTTCATATAAAATCTAGACAGAAGCATTCTCAGAAACTTCTTTGTAATGTTTGCATTCAACTCATAGAGTTGAACATTCCCTTTCATACAGCAGGTTTGAAACACTCTTTTTGTAGTATGTGGAAGTGGACATTTGGAGCGCTTTCAGGCCTACGGTGAAAAAGGAAATATCTTCCCATAAAAACTAGACAGAAGCATTCTCAGAAACTTCTTTGTGACGTGTGTATTCAACTAACAGAGTTGAACCTTTCTTTTTACAGAGCAGCTTTGAAACCCTGTTTCTGTGGAATCTGCAATTGGAAATTTCGATAGTTCTGAGGATTTCGTTGGAAACGGGATTACAAATAGAAAGTAGACAGCAGCATTCTCAGAAACTGCTTTGTGATGTTTGCATTCAAGTCACATAGTTGAACATTCCCTTTCATAGAGCAGGTTTGAATCACTGTTTCTGTAGTATCTGGAAGTGGGTATTTCGAGCGCTTTCAGGCCTAAGGTGAGAAAGGAAATGTCTTCAAATAAGAACTAGACAGAAGCATTCTCAGAAACTTATTTGTGATGTGTGTCCTCAACTAACAGAGATGAACCTTTGTTTTGATACAGCAGTTTGGAAACACTCTTTTTGTAGAATCTACAAGAGGATATTTTGAGAGCATTGAAAATTTCGTTGGAAGCGGGAAAACCTTCATATAAAATCTAGACAGCAGCATTCTCAGAAACTTCTTTGTGATGTTTGCATTCAACTCATAGAGTTGAACATTCCCATTCATACAGCAGGTTTGAGACACTCTTTGTATAGCATGTGGAAATGGATATTTGGAGCGCTTTGAGGCCTATGGTGAAGAAGGAAATATCTTCCCAAAAAAACTAGACGAAGCATTCTCGGAATCTTGTTTGCCATGTGTGTACTCAACTAACAGAGTTGAACCTATCTTTTGACAGAGCAGTTTTGAAACACTCTTTTTGTGGAATCTGCAAGTGGATATTTGGATAGCTTCGAGGATTTCGTTGGAAACGGGAATATCCTCATTTAAAATCTAGACGGAAGCATTCTCAGAACCTGCTTTGTGATGTTTGCATTCAACTCACAGAGCTGAACATTCCCGTTCATAGAGCAGGTTTGAAACACTCTTTCTGTACTATCTGGAAGTGGACATTTCGAGCGCTTTCAGGCCTATGGTGAAAAAGGAAACATCTTCAAATAAAAACTAGACAGAAGCATTCTCAGAAACTTATTTGTGATGTGTGTCCTCAACTCACAGAGTTCAACCTTTGTTTTGATACAGCAGTTTGGAAACACTCTTTTTGTAGAATCTACAAATGGATATTTGGAGACCTTTGAAAATTTCGTTGGACACGGGAATATCTTCATATAAAATCTAGACAAAAGCATTCTCAGAATCTTCTTTGTGATGTTTGCATTCAACTCATAGAGTTGAACATTCCCTTTCATACAGCACGTTTGAAACACACTTTGTGGAGTATGTGGAAATGGACATTTCGAGCACTCTTAGGCCTAAGGTGAAAAGGGAAATATCTTCAAATAAAAACTAGTCAGCAGCATTCTCAGCAAACCTCTTTGTGATGTGTGTACTCAACTAACAGAGTTGAACCTTCCTTTTCACAGAGCAGTTTGGAAACACTCTTTTTGTGGCATTTGCAAGTGGATATTTGGATAGCTTTGAGGATTTCGTTGGAAACGGGAATATTTTCATATAAAATCTAGACAGAAGCATTCTCAGAATCTTCTTTGTGATGTATGCCCTCAATTCACAGAGTTGAACCTTTGTTTGGATACAGCATTTTGGAAACATTCCTTTTGTAGAATCTGCAAGTTGATATTTGGATAGCTTTGAGGATTTCGTTGGAAACGGGAATATCTACATATAAAATCTAGACAGAAGCATTCTCAGAAACCTCTTTGTAATGCTTGCATTCAACTCATAGGTTTCAACATTCCCTATCATAGAGCAGGTTTGAAACACTCTTTTTGTAGTATGTGGAAGTGGACATTTGGAGCGCTTTGAGGCCTACGGTGAAAAAGGAAATATCTTCCCATAAAAACTAGACAGAAGCATTCTCAGAAACTTGTTTCTGACGTGTATTCAACTAAAAGAGTTGAACCTTTCTTTTTACAGAGCAGCTTTGAAACACACTTTTGTGGAATCTGCAATTGGAAATTTCGATAGTTCTGAGAATTTCTTTGGAAACGGGATTACAAATAGAAAGTAGACAGCAGCATTCTCAGAAACTGCTTTGTGATGTTTGCATTCAAGTCACATAGTTGAACATTCCCTTTCATAGGGCAGGTTTGAATCACTATTTCTGTAGTATCTGGAAGTGGATATTTCGAGCGCTTTCAGGCCTAAGGTGAGAAAGGAAATGTCTTCAAATAAGAACTAGACAGAAGCATTCTCAGAAACTTCTTTGTAATGTTTGCATTCAACTCATAGAGTTGAACATTCCCTTTCATACAGCAGGTTTGAAACACTCTTTTTGTAGTATGTGGAAGTGGACATTTGGAGCACTTTGAGGCCTACGGTGAAAAAGGAAATATCTTCCCATAAAAACTAGACAGAAGCATTCTCAGAAACTTGTTTGTGACGTGTGTATTCAACTAACAGAGTTGAACCTTTCTTTTTACAGAGCAGCTTTGAAACACGCTTTTTGTGGAATCTGCAATTGGAAATTTCGATAGTTCTGAGGATTTCGTTGGAAACGGGATTACAAATAGAAAGTAGACAGCAGCATTCTCAGAAACTTATTTGTGATGTGTGTCCTCAACTAACAGAGTTGAACCTTTCTTTTGACACAGCAGTTTGGAAACACTCTTTTTGTAGAATCTACAAGTGGATATTTTGAGAGCATTGAAAATTTCGTTGGAAACGGGAAAACCTTCATATAAAATCTAGACAGAAGCATTCTCAGAAACTTCTTTGTAATGTTTGCATTCAACTCATAGAGTTGAACATTCCCTTTCATACAGCAGGTTTGAAACACTCTTTTTGTAGTATGTGGAAGTGGACATTTGGAGCGCTTTGAGGCCTACGGTGAAAAAGGAAATATCTTCCCATAAAAACTAGACAGAAGCATTCTCAGAAACTTGTTTGTGACGTGTGTATTCAACTAACAGAGTTGAACCTTTCTTTTTACAGAGCAGCTTTAAACACGCTTTTTGTGGAATCTGCAATTGGAAATTTCGATAGTTCTGAGGATTTCGTTGGAAACGGGATTACAAATAGAAAGTAGACAGCAGCATTCTCAGAAACTGCTTTGTGATGTTTGCATTCAAGTCACCTAGTTGAACATTCCCTTTCATAGAGCAGGTTTGAATCACAGTTTCTGCCGTATCTGGAAGTGGATATTTCGAGCGCTTTCAGGCCTAAGGTGAGAAAGGAAATGTCTTCAAATAAGAACTAGACAGAAGCATTCTCAGAAACTTATTTGTGATGTGTGTCCTCAACTAACAGAGATGAACCTTTGTTTTGATACAGCAGTTTGGAAACACTCTTTTTGTAGAATCTACAAGAGGATATTTTGAGAGCGTTGAAAATTTCGTTGGAAGCGGGAAAACCTTCATATAAAATACTAGACAGCAGCATTCTCAGAAACTTCTTTGTGATGTTTGCATTCAACTCATAGAGTTGAACATTCCCATTCATACAGCAGGTTTGAGACACTCTTTGTATAGCATGTGGAAATGGATATTTGGAGCGCTTTGAGGCCTATGGTGAAGAAGGAAATATCTTCCCAAAAAAACTAGACGAAAGCATTCTCGGAATCTTGTTTGCCATGTGTGTACTCAACTAACAGAGTTGAACCTATCTTTTGACAGAGCAGTTTTGAAACACTCTTTTTGTGGAATCTGCAAGTGGATATTTGGATAGCTTCGAGGATTTCGTTGGAAACGGGAATATCCTCATTTAAAACCTAGACGGAAGCATTCTCAGAACCTGCTTTGTGATATTTGCATTGAACTCACAGAGCTGAACATACCCTTTGATAGAGCAGGTTTGAAACACTCTTTCTGTACTATCTGGAAGTGGGCATTTTGAGCGCTTTCAGGCCTATGGTGAAAAAGGAAATATCTTCAAATAAAAACTAGACAGAAGCATTCTCAGAAACTTATTTGTGATGTGTGACCTCAACTCACAGAGTTCAACCTTTGTTTTGATACAGCAGTTTGGAGACACTCTTTTTGTAGAATCTACAAATGGATATTTGGAGATCTTTGAAAATTTCGTTGGACATGGGAATATCTTCATATAAAATCTAGACAAAAGCATTCTCAGAATCTTCTTTGTGATGTTTGCATTGAACTCATAGAGTTGAGCATTCCCTTTCATACAGCACGTTAGAAACACACTTTGTGTAGTATGTGGAAATGGACATTTCGAGCACTCTTAGGCCTAAGGTGAAAAGGGAAATATCTTCAAATAAAAACTAGTCAGCAGCATTCTCAGAAACCTCTTGGTGAATGTGTGTACTCAACTAACAGAGTTGAACCTTCCTTTTCACAGAGCAGGTTTGAAACACTCTTTTTGTGGCATTTTCAAGTGGATATTTGGATAGCTTTGAGGATTTCGTTGGAAACGGGAATATTTTCATGTAAAATCTAGACCGAAGCATTCTCAGAATCTTCTTTGTGATGTATGCCCTCAATTCCCAGAGTTGAACCTTTGTTTGGATACAGCATTTTGGAAACATTCCTTTTGTAGAATCTGCAAGTTGATATTTGGATAGCTTTGAGGATTTCGTTGGAAACGGGAATATCTACATATAAAATCTAGACAGAAGCATTCTCAGAAACTTCTTTGTAATGTTTGCATTCAACTCATAGAGTTGAACATTCCCTTTCATACAGCAGGTTTGAAACACTCTTTTTGTAGTATGTGGAAGTGGACATTTGGAGCGCTTTGAGGCCTACGGTGAAAAAGGAAATATCTTCCCATAAAAACTAGACAGAAGCATTCTCAGAAACCTGTTTGTGACGTGTGTATTCAACTAACAGAGTTGAACCTTTCTTTTTACAGAGCAGCTTTGAAACCCTGTTTTTGTGGAATCTGCAATTGGAAATTTCGGTAGTTCTGAGTATTTCGTTGGAAACGGTATTACAAATAGAAAGTAGACAGCAGCATTCTCAGAAACTGCTTTGTGATGTTTGCATTCAAGTCACATAGTTGAACATTTCCTTTGATAGAGCAGGTTTGAATCACTGTCTGTGTAGTATCTGGAAGTGGGTGTTTCGAGCGCTTTCAGGCCTAAGATGAGAAAGGAAATGTCTTCAAATAAGAACTAGACAGAAGCATTCTCAGAAACTTATTTGTGATGTGTGTCCTCAACTAACAGAGATGAACCTTTGTTTTGATACAGCAGTTTGGAAACACTCTTTTTGTAGAATCTACAAGAGGATATTTTGAGAGCATTGAAAATTTCGTTGGAAGCGGGAAAACCTTCATATAAAATCTAGACAGCAGCATTCTCAGAAACTTCTTTGTGATGTTTGCATTCAACTCATAGAGTTGAACATTCCCATTCATACAGCAGGTTTGAGACACTCTTTGTATAGCATGTGGAAATGGATATTTGGAGCGCTTTGAGGCCTATGGTGAAGAAGGAAATATCTTCCCAAAAAAACTAGACGAAAGCATTCTCGGAATCTTGTTTGCCATGTGTGTACTCAACTAACAGAGTTGAACCTATCTTTTGACAGAGCAGTTTTGAAACACTCTTTTTGTGGAATCTGCAAGTGGATATTTGGATAGCTTCGAGGATTTCGTTGGAAACGGGAATATCCTCATTTAAAATCTAGACGGAAGCATTCTCAGAACCTGCTTTGTGATGTTTGCATTCAACTCACAGAGCTGAACATTCCCGTTCATAGAGCAGGTTTGAAACACTCTTTCTGTACTATCTGGAAGTGGACATTTCGAGCGCTTTCAGGCCTATGGTGAAAAAGGAAACATCTTCAAATAAAAACTAGACAGAAGCATTCTCAGAAACTTATTTGTGATGTGTGTCCTCAACTCACAGAGTTCAACCTTTGTTTTGATACAGCAGTTTGGAAACACTCTTTTTGTAGAATCTACAAATGGATATTTGGAGACCTTTGAAAATTTCGTTGGACACCGGGAATATCTTCATATAAAATCTAGACAAAAGCATTCTCAGAATCTTCTTTGTGATATTGGCATTCAACTCATAGAGTTGAACATTCCCTTTCATACAGCACGTTTGAAACACACTTTGTGGAGTATGTGGAAATGGACATTTCGAGCACTCTTAGGCCTAAGGTGAAAAGGGAAATATCTTCAAATAAAAACTAGTCAGCAGCATTCTCAGAAACCTCTTTGTGATGTGTGTACTCAACTAACAGAGTTGAACCTTCCTTTTCACAGAGCAGTTTGGAAACACTCTTTTTGTGGCATTTGCAAGTGGATATTTGGATAGCTTTGAGGATTTCGTTGGAAACGGGAATATTTTCATATAAAATCTAGACAGAAGCATTCTCAGAATCTTCTTTGTGATGTATGCCCTCAATTCACAGAGTTGAACCTTTGTTTGGATACAGCATTTTGGAAACATTCCTTTTGCAGAATCTGCAAGCTGATATTTGGATAGCTTTGAGGATTTCGTTGGAAACGGGAATATCTACATATAAAATCTAGACAGAAGCATTCTCAGAAACCTCTTTGTAATGCTTGCATTCAACTCATAGGTTTCAACATTCCCTATCATAGAGCAGGTTTGAAACACTCTTTTTGTAGTATGTGGAAGTGGACATTTGGAGCGCTTTGAGGCCTACGGTGAAAAAGGAAATATCTTCCCATAAAAACTAGACAGAAGCATTCTCAGTAAACTGCTTTGTGATGTTTGCATTCAAGTCACCTAGTTGAACATTCCCTTTCATAGAGCAGGTTTGAATCACTGTTTCTGTCGTATCTGGAAGTGGATATTTCGAGCGTTTTCAAGCCTAACGTGAGAAAGGAAATGTCTTCAAATAAGAACTAGACAGAAGCATTCTCATGAAACTTATTTGTGATGTGTGTCCTCAACTAACAGAGTTGAACCTTTCTTTTGACACAGCAGTTTGGAAACACTCTTTTTGTAGAATCTACAAGTGGATATTTTCAGAGCATTGAAAATTTCGTTGGAAACGGGAAAACCTTCATATAAAATCTAGACAGAAGCATTCTCAGAAACTTCTTTGTAATGTTTGCATTCAACTCATAGAGTTGAACATTCCCTTTCATACAGCAGGTTTGAAACACTCTTTTTGTAGTATGTGGAAGTGGACATTTGGAGCGCTTTGAGGCCTATGGTGAAAAAGGAAATATCTTCCCATAAAAACTAGACAGAAGCATTCTCAGAAACTTGTTTGTGACGTGTGTATTCAACTAACAGAGTTGAACCTTTCTTTTTACAGAGCAGCTTTGAAACCCTGTTTCTGTGGAATCTGCAATTGGAAATTTCGATAGTTCTGAGGATTTCGTTGGAAACGGGATTACAAATAGAAAGTAGACAGCAGCATTCTCAGAAACTGCTTTGTGATGTTTGCATTCAAGTCACCTAGTTGAACATTCCCTTTCATAGAGCAGGTTTGAATCACAGTTTCTGTCGTATCTGGAAGTGGATATTTCGAGAGTTTTCAGGCCTAAGGAGAGAAAGGAAATGTCTTCAAATAAGAACTAGACAGAAGCATTCTCAGAAACTTATTTGTGATGTGTGTCCTCAACTAACAGAGATGAACCTTTGTTTTGATACAGCAGTTTGGAAACACTCTTTTTGTAGAATCTACAAGAGGATATTTTGAGAGCATTGAAAATTTCGTTGGAAGCGGGAAAACCTTCATATAAAATCTAGACAGCAGCATTCTCAGAAACTTCTTTGTGATGTTTGCATTCAACTCATAGAGTTGAACATTCCCATTCATACAGCAGGTTTGAGACACTCTTTGTATAGCATGTGGAAATGGATATTTGGAGCGCTTTGAGGCCTATGGTGAAGAAGGAAATATCTTCCCAAAAAAACTAGACGAAAGCATTCTCGGAATCTTGTTTGCCATGTGTGTACTCAACTAACAGAGTTGAACCTATCTTTTGACAGAGCAGTTTTGAAACACTCTTTTTGTGGAATCTGCAAGTGGATATTTGGATAGCTTCGAGGATTTCGTTGGAAACGGGAATATCCTCATTTAAAACCTAGACGGAAGCATTCTCAGAACCTGCTTTGTGATGTTTGCATTCAACTCACAGAGGTGAACATTCCCGTTCATAGAGCAGGTTTGAAACACTCTTTCTGTACTATCTGGAAGTGGACATTTCGAGCGCTTTCAGGCCTATGGTGAAAAAGGAAACATCTTCAAATAAAAACTAGACAGAAGCATTCTCAGAAACTTATTTGTGATGTGTGTCCTCAACTCACAGAGTTCAACCTTTGTTTTGATACAGCAGTTTGGAAACACTCTTTTTGTAGAATCTACAAATGGATATTTGGAGACCTTTGAAAATTTCGTTGGACACGGGAATATCTTCATATAAAATCTAGACAAAAGCATTCTCAGAATCTTCTTTGTGATGTTTGCATTCAACTCATAGAGTTGAACATTCCCTTTCATACAGCACGTTTGAAACACACTTTGTGGAGTATGTGGAAATGGACATTTCGAGCACTCTTAGGCCTAAGGTGAAAAGGGAAATATCTTCAAATAAAAACTAGTCAGCAGCATTCTCAGAAACCTCTTTGTGATGTGTGTACTCAACTAACAGAGTTGAACCTTCCTTTTCACAGAGCAGTTTGGAAACACTCTTTTTGTGGCATTTGCAAGTGGATATTTGGATAGCTTTGAGGATTTCGTTGGAAACGGGAATATTTTCATATAAAATCTAGACAGAAGCATTCTCAGAATCTTCTTTGTGATGTATGCCCTCAATTCACAGAGTTGAACCTTTGTTTGGATACAGCATTTTGGAAACATTCCTTTTGTAGAATCTGCAAGTTGATATTTGGATAGCTTTGAGGATTTCGTTGGAAACGGGAATATCTACATATAAAATCTAGACAGAAGCATTCTCAGAAACCTCTTTGTAATGCTTGCATTCAACTCATAGGTTTCAACATTCCCTATCATAGAGCAGGTTTGAAACACTCTTTTTGTAGTATGTGGAAGTGGACATTTGGAGCGCTTTGAGGCCTACCGTGAAAAAGGAAATATCTTCCCATAAAAACTAGACAGAAGCATTCTCAGAAACTTGTTTGTGACGTGTGTATTCAACTAACAGAGTTGAACCTTTCTTTTTACAGAGCAGCTTTGAAACACGCTTTTTGTGGAATCTGCAATTGGAAATTTCGATAGTTCTGAGGATTTCGTTGGAAACGGGATTACAAATAGAAAGTAGACAGCAGCATTCTCAGAAACTTATTTGTGATGTGTGTCCTCAACTAACAGAGTTGAACCTTTCTTTTGACACAGCAGTTTGGAAACACTCTTTTTGTAGAATCTACAAGTGGATATTTTGAGAGCATTGAAAATTTCGTTGGAAACGGGAAAACCTTCATATAAAATCTAGACAGAAGCATTCTCAGAAACTTCTTTGTAATGTTTGCATTCAACTCATAGAGTTGAACATTCCCTTTCATACAGCAGGTTTGAAACACTCTTTTTGTAGTATGTGGAAGTGGACATTTGGAGCGCTTTGAGGCCTACGGTGAAAAAGGAAATATCTTCCCATAAAAACTAGACAGAAGCATTCTCAGAAACTTGTTTGTGACGTGTGTATTCAACTAACAGAGTTGAACCTTTCTTTTTACAGAGCAGCTTTGAAACACGCTTTTTGTGGAATCTGCAATTGGAAATTTCGATAGTTCTGAGGATTTCGTTGCAAACGGGATTACAAATAGAAAGTAGACAGCAGCATTCTCAGAAACTGCTTTGTGATGTTTGCATTCAAGTCACCTAGTTGAACATTCCCTTTCATAGAGCAGGTTTGAATCACAGTTTCTGTCGTATCTGGAAGTGGATATTTCGAGCGTTTTCAGGCCTAAGGTGAGAAAGGAAATGTCTTCAAATAAGAACTAGACAGAAGCATTCTCAGAAACTTATTTGTGATGTGTGTCCTCAACTAACAGAGATGAACCTTTGTTTTGATACAGCAGTTTGGAAACACTCTTTTTGTAGAATCTACAAGAGGATATTTTGAGAGCATTGAAAATTTCGTTGGAAGCGGGAAAACCTTCATATAAAATCTAGACAGCAGCATTCTCAGAAACTTCTTTGTGATGTTTGCATTCAACTCATAGAGTTGAACATTCCCATTCATACAGCAGGTTTGAGACACTCTTTGTATAGCATGTGGAAATGGATATTTGGAGCACTTTGAGGCCTATGGTGAAGAAGGAAATATCTTCCCAAAAAAACTAGACGAAAGCATTCTCGCAATCTTGTTTGCCATGTGTGTACTCAACTAACAGAGTTGAACCTATCTTTTGACAGAGCAGTTTTGAAACACTCTTTTTGTGGAATCTGCAAGTGGATATTTGGATAGCTTCGAGGATTTCGTTGGAAACGGGAATATCCTCATTTAAAATCTAGACGGAAGCATTCTCAGAACCTGCTTTGTGATGTTTGCATTCAACTCACAGAGCTGAACATTCCCGTTCATAGAGCAGGTTTGAAACACTCTTTCTGTACTATCTGGAAGTGGACATTTCGAGCGCTTTCAGGCCTATGGTGAAAAAGGAAACATCTTCAAATAAAAACTAGACAGAAGCATTCTCAGAAACTTATTTGTGATGTGTGTCCTCAACTCACAGAGTTCAACCTTTGTTTTGATACAGCAGTTTGGAAACACTCTTTTTGTAGAATCTACAAATGGATATTTGGAGACCTTTGAAAATTTCGTTGGACACGGGAATATCTTCATATAAAATCTAGACAAAAGCATTCTCAGAATCTTCTTTGTGATGTTTGCATTCAACTCATAGAGTTGAACATTCCCTTTCATACAGCACGTTTGAAACACACTTTGTGGAGTATGTGGAAATGGACATTTCGAGCACTCTTAGGCCTAAGGTGAAAAGGGAAATATCTTCAAATAAAAACTAGTCAGCAGCATTCTCAGAAACCTCTTTGTGATGTGTGTACTCAACTAACAGAGTTGAACCTTCCTTTTCACAGAGCAGTTTGGAAACACTCTTTTTGTGGCATTTGCAAGTGGATATTTGGATAGCTTTGAGGATTTCGTTGGAAACGGGAATATTTTCATATAAAATCTAGACAGAAGCATTCTCAGAATCTTCTTTGTGATGTATGCCCTCAATTCACAGAGTTGAACCTTTGTTTGGATACAGCATTTTGGAAACATTCCTTTTGTAGAATCTGCAAGTTGATATTTGGATAGCTTTGAGGATTTCGTTGGAAACGGGAATATCTACATATAAAATCTAGACAGAAGCATTCTCAGAAACCTCTTTGTAATGCTTGCATTCAACTCATAGGTTTCAACATTCCCTATCATAGAGCAGGTTTGAAACACTCTTTTTGTAGTATGTGGAAGTGGACATTTGGAGCGCTTTGAGGCCTACGGTGAAAAAGGAAATATCTTCCCATAAAAACTAGACAGAAGCATTCTCAGAAACTTGTTTGTGACGTGTGTATTCAACTAACAGAGTTGAACCTTTCTTTTTACAGAGCAGCTTTGAAACACGCTTTTTGTGGAATCTGCAATTGGAAATTTCGATAGTTCTGAGGATTTCGTTGGAAACGGGATTACAAATAGAAAGTAGACAGCAGCATTCTCAGAAACTTATTTGTGATGTGTGTCCTCAACTAACAGAGTTGAACCTTTCTTTTGACACAGCAGTTTGGAAACACTCTTTTTGTAGAATCTACAAGTGGATATTTTGAGAGCATTGAAAATTTCGTTGGAAACGGGAAAACCTTCATATAAAATCTAGACAGAAGCATTCTCAGAAACTTCTTTGTAATGTTTGCATTCGACTCATAGAGTTGAACATTCCCTTTCTTACAGCAGGTTTGAAACACTCTTTTTGTAGTATGTGGAAGTGGACATTTGGAGCGCTTTGAGGCCTACGGTGAAAAAGGAAATATCTTCCCATAAAAACTAGACAGAAGCATTCTCAGAAACTTGTTTGTGACTGTGTGTATTCAACTAACAGAGTTGAACCTTTCTTTTTACAGAGCAGCTTTGAAACCCTGTTTCTGTGGAATCTGCAATTGGAAATTTCGATAGTTCTGAGGATTTCGTTGGAAACGGGATTACAAATAGAAAGTAGACAGCAGCATTCTCAGAAACTGCTTTGTGATGTTTGCATTCAAGTCACCTAGTTGAACATTCCCTTTCATAGAGCAGGTTTGAATCACTGTTTCTGTAGTATCTGGAAGTGGGTATTTCGAGCGCTTTCAGGCCTAAGGTGAGAAAGGAAATGTCTTCAAATAAGAACTAGACAGAAGCATTCTCAGAAACTTATTTGTGATGTGTGTCCTCAACTAACAGAGATGAACCTTTGTTTTGATACAGCAGTTTGGAAACACTCTTTTTGTAGAATCTACAAGAGGATATTTTGAGAGCATTGAAAATTTCGTTGGAAGCGGGAAAACCTTCATATAAAATCTAGACAGCAGCATTCTCAGAAACTTCTTTGTGATGTTTGCATTCAACTCATAGAGTTGAACATTCCCATTCATACAGCAGGTTTGAGACACTCTTTGTATAGCATGTGGAAATGGATATTTGGAGCGCTTTGAGGCCTATGGTGAAGAAGGAAATATCTTCCCAAAAAAACTAGACGAAAGAGCATTCTCGCAATCTTGTTTGCCATGTGTGTACTCAACTAACAGAGTTGAACCTATCTTTTGACAGAGCAGTTTTGAAACACTCTTTTTGTGGAATCTGCAAGTGGATATTTGGATAGCTTCGAGGATTTCGTTGGAAACGGGAATATCCTCATTTAAAATCTAGACGGAAGCATTCTCAGAACCTGCTTTGTGATGTTTGCATTCAACTCACAGAGCTGAACATTCCCGTTCATAGAGCAGGTTTGAAACACTCTTTCTGTACTATCTGGAAGTGGACATTTCGAGCGCTTTCAGGCCTATGGTGAAAAAGGAAACATCTTCAAATAAAAACTAGACAGAAGCATTCTCAGAAACTTATTTGTGATGTGTGTCCTCAACTCACAGAGTTCAACCTTTGTTTTGATACAGCAGTTTGGAAACACTCTTTTTGTAGAATCTACAAATGGATATTTGGAGACCTTTGAAAATTTCGTTGGACACGGGAATATCTTCATATAAAATCTAGACAAAAGCATTCTCAGAATCTTCTTTGTGATGTTTGCATTCAACTCATAGAGTTGAACATTCCCTTTCATACAGCACGTTTGAAACACACTTTGTGGAGTATGTGGAAATGGACATTTCGAGCACTCTTAGGCCTAAGGTGAAAAGGGAAATATCTTCAAATAAAAACTAGTCAGCAGCATTCTCAGAAACCTCTTTGTGATGTGTGTACTCAACTAACAGAGTTGAACCTTCCTTTTCACAGAGCAGTTTGGAAACACTCTTTTTGTGGCATTTGCAAGTGGATATTTGGATAGCTTTGAGGATTTCGTTGGAAACGGGAATATTTTCATATAAAATCTAGACAGAAGCATTCTCAGAATCTTCTTTGTGATGTATGCCCTCAATTCACAGAGTTGAACCTTTGTTTGGATACAGCATTTTGGAAACATTCCTTTTGTAGAATCTGCAAGTTGATATTTGGATAGCTTTGAGGATTTCGTTGGAAACGGGAATATCTACATATAAAATCTAGACAGAAGCATTCTCAGAAACCTCTTTGTAATGCTTGCATTCAACTCATAGGTTTCAACATTCCCTATCATAGAGCAGGTTTGAAACACTCTTTTTGTAGTATGTGGAAGTGGACATTTGGAGCGCTTTGAGGCCTACGGTGAAAAAGGAAATATCTTCCCATAAAAACTAGACAGAAGCATTCTCAGAAACTTGTTTGTGACGTGTGTATTCAACTAACAGAGTTGAACCTTTCTTTTTACAGAGCAGCTTTGAAACACGCTTTTTGTGGAATCTGCAATTGGAAATTTCGATAGTTCTGAGGATTTCGTTGGAAACGGGATTACAAATAGAAAGTAGACAGCAGCATTCTCAGAAACTTATTTGTGATGTGTGTCCTCAACTAACAGAGTTGAACCTTTCTTTTGACACAGCAGTTTGGAAACACTCTTTTTGTAGAATCTACAAGTGGATATTTTGAGAGCATTGAAAATTTCGTTGGAAACGGGAAAACCTTCATATAAAATCTAGACAGAAGCATTCTCAGAAACTTCTTTGTAATGTTTGCATTCAACTCATAGAGTTGAACATTCCCTTTCATACAGCAGGTTTGAAACACTCTTTTTGTAGTATGTGGACGTGGACATTTGGAGCGCTTTGAGGCCTACGGTGAAAAAGGAAATATCTTCCCATAAAAACTAGACAGAAGCATTCTCAGAAACTTGTTTGTGACGTGTGTATTCAACTAACAGAGTTGAACCTTTCTTTTTACAGAGCAGCTTTGAAACCCTGTTTCTGTGGAATCTGCAATTGGAAATTTCGATAGTTCTGAGGATTTCGTTGGAAACGGGATTACAAATAGAAAGTAGACAGCAGCATTCTCAGAAACTGCTTTGTGATGTTTGCATTCAAGTCACCTAGTTGAACATTCCCTTTCATAGAGCAGGTTTGAATCACTGTTTCTGTAGTATCTGGAAGTGGGTATTTCGAGCGCTTTCAGGCCTAAGGTGAGAAAGGAAATGTCTTCAAATAAGAACTAGACAGAAGCATTCTCAGAAACTTGTGATGTGTGTCCTCAACTAACAGAGTTGAACCTTTCTTTTGACACAGCAGTTTGGAAACACTCTTTTTGTAGAATCTACAAGTGGATATTTTGAGAGCATTGAAAATTTCGTTGGAAACGGGAAAACCTTCATATAAAATCTAGACAGAAGCATTCTCAGAAACTTCTTTGTGATGTTTGCATTCAACTCATAGAGTTGAACATTCCCTTTCATACAGCAGGTTTGAAACACTCTTTTTGTAGTATGTGGAAGTGGACATTTGGAGCGCTTTGAGGCCTACGGTGAAAAAGGAAATATCTTCCCATAAAAACTAGACAGAAGCATTCTCAGAAACTTGTTTGTGACGTGTGTATTCAACTAACAGAGTTGAACCTTTCTTTTTACAGAGCAGCTTTGAAACCCTGTTTCTGTGGAATCTGCAATTGGAAATTTCGATAGTTCTGAGGATTTCGTTGGAAACGGGATTACAAATAGAAAGTAGACAGCAGCATTCTCAGAAACTGCTTTGTGATGTTTGCATTCAACTCACCTAGTTGAACATTCCCTTTCATAGAGCAGGTTTGAATCACTGTTTCTGTAGTATCTGGAAGTGGGTATTTCGAGCGCTTTCAGGCCTAAGGTGAGAAAGGAAATGTCTTCAAATAAGAACTAGACAGAAGCATTCTCAGAAACTTATTTGTGATGTGTGTCCTCAACTAACAGAGATGAACCTTTGTTTTGATACAGCAGTTTGGAAACACTCTTTTTGTAGAATCTACAAGAGGATATTTTGAGAGCATTGAAAATTTCGTTGGAAGCGGGAAAACCTTCATATAAAATCTAGACAGCAGCATTCTCAGAAACTTCTTTGTGATGTTTGCATTCAACTCATAGAGTTGAACATTCCCATTCATACAGCAGGTTTGAGACACTCTTTGTATAGCATGTGGAAATGGATATTTGGAGCGCTTTGAGGCCTATGGTGAAGAAGGAAATATCTTCCCAAAAAAACTAGACGAAAGCATTCTCGGAATCTTGTTTGCCATGTGTGTACTCAACTAACAGAGTTGAACCTATCTTTTGACAGAGCAGTTTTGAAACACTCTTTTTGTGGAATCTGCAAGTGGATATTTGGATAGCTTCGAGGATTTCGTTGGAAACGGGAATATCCTCATTTAAAATCTAGACGGAAGCATTCTCAGAACCTGCTTTGTGATGTTTGCATTCAACTCACAGAGCTGAACATTCCCGTTCATAGAGCAGGTTTGAAACACTCTTTCTGTACTATCTGGAAGTGGACATTTCGAGCGCTTTCAGGCCTATGGTGAAAAAGGAAACATCTTCAAATAAAAACTAGACAGAAGCATTCTCAGAAACTTATTTGTGATGTGTGTCCTCAACTCACAGAGTTCAACCTTTGTTTTGATACAGCAGTTTGGAAACACTCTTTTTGTAGAATCTACAAATGGATATTTGGAGACCTTTGAAAATTTCGTTGGACACGGGAATATCTTCATATAAAATCTAGACAAAAGCATTCTCAGAATCTTCTTTGTGATGTTTGCATTCAACTCATAGAGTTGAACATTCACTTTCATACAGCACGTTTGAAACACACTTTGTGGAGTATGTGGAAATGGACATTTCGAGCACTCTTAGGCCTAAGGTGAAAAGGGAAATATCTTCAAATAAAAACTAGTCAGCAGCATTCTCAGAAACCTCTTTGTGATGTGTGTACTCAACTAACAGAGTTGAACCTTCCTTTTCACAGAGCAGTTTGGAAACACTCTTTTTGTGGCATTTGCAAGTGGATATTTGGATAGCTTTGAGGATTTTGTTGGAAACGGGAATATTTTCATATAAAATCTAGACAGAAGCATTCTCAGAATCTTCTTTGTGATGTATGCCCTCAATTCACAGAGTTGAACCTTTGTTTGGATACAGCATTTTGGAAACATTCCTTTTGTAGAATCTGCAAGTTGATATTTGGATAGCTTTGAGGATTTCGTTGGAAACGGGAATATCTACATATAAAATCTAGACAGAAGCATTCTCAGAAACCTCTTTGTAATGCTTGCATTCAACTCATAGGTTTCAACATTCCCTATCATAGAGCAGGTTTGAAACACTCTTTTTGTAGTATGTGGAAGTGGACATTTGGAGCGCTTTGAGGCCTACGGTGAAAAAGGAAATATCTTCCCATAAAAACTAGACAGAAGCATTCTCAGAAACTTGTTTGTGACGTGTGTATTCAACTAACAGAGTTGAACCTTTCTTTTTACAGAGCAGCTTTGAAACACGCTTTTTGTGGAATCTGCAATTGGAAATTTCGATAGTTCTGAGGATTTCGTTGGAAACGGGATTACAAATAGAAAGTAGACAGCAGCATTCTCAGAAACCTCTTTGTGATGTGTGTCCTCAACTAACAGAGTTGAACCTTTCTTTTGACACAGCAGATTGGAAACACTCTTTTTGTAGAATCTACAAGTGGATATTTTGAGAGCATTGAAATTTTCCTTGGAAACGGGAAAACCTTCATATAAAATCTAGACAGAAGCATTCTCAGAAACTTCTTTGTAATGTTTGCATTCAACTCATAGAGTTGAACATTCCCTTTCATACAGCAGGTTTGAAACACTCTTTTTGTAGTATGTGGAAGTGGACATTTGGAGCGCTTTGAGGCCTACGGTGAAAAAGGAAATATCTTCCCATAAAAACTAGACAGAAGCATTCTCAGAAACTTGTTTGTGACGTGTGTATTCAACTAACAGAGTTGAACCTTTCTTTTTACAGAGCAGCTTTGAAACCCTGTTTCTGTGGAATCTGCAATTGGAAATTTCGATAGTTCTGAGGATTTCGTTGGAAACGGGATTACAAATAGAAAGTAGACAGCAGCATTCTCAGAAACTGCTTTGTGATGTTTGCATTCAAGTCACCTAGTTGAACATTCCCTTTCATAGAGCAGGTTTGAATCACAGTTTCTGTCGTATCTGGAAGTGGATATTTCGAGCGTTTTCAGGCCTAAGGTGAGAAAGGAAATGTCTTCAAATAAGAACTAGACAGAAGCATTCTCAGAAACTTATTTGTGATGTGTGTCCTCAACTAACAGAGATGAACCTTTGTTTTGATACAGCAGTTTGGAAACACTCTTTTTGTAGAATCTACAAGAGGATATTTTGAGAGCATTGAAAATTTCGTTGGAAGCGGGAAAACCTTCATATAAAATCTAGACAGCAGCATTCTCAGAAACTTCTTTGTGATGTTTGCATTCAACTCATAGAGTTGAACATTCCCATTCATACAGCAGGTTTGAGACACTCTTTGTATAGCATGTGGAAATG
The DNA here is from genome assembly GCF_000001405.40 of Homo sapiens. Classification (NCBI taxonomy): domain Eukaryota; kingdom Metazoa; phylum Chordata; class Mammalia; order Primates; family Hominidae; genus Homo; species Homo sapiens. Next base: position 19,617,032 of record NC_000015.10, read on the forward strand.
GATATTTGGAGCGCTTTGAGGCCTATGGTGAAGAAGGAAATATCTTCCCAAAAAAACTAGACGAAAGCATTCTCGGAATCTTGTTTGCCATGTGTGTACTCAACTAACAGAGTTGAACGTATCCTTTGACAAAGCAGTTTTGAAACACTCTTTTTGTGGAATCTGCAAGTGGATATTTGGATAGCTTCGAGGATTTCGTTGGAAACGGGAATATCCTCATTTAAAATCTAGACGGAAGCATTCTCAGAACCTGCTTTGTGATGTTTGCATTCAACTCACAGAGCTGAACATTCCCGTTCATAGAGCAGGTTTGAAACACTCTTTCTGTACTATCTGGAAGTGGACATTTCGAGCGCTTTCAGGCCTATGGTGAAAAAGGAAACATCTTCAAATAAAAACTAGACAGAAGCATTCTCAGAAACTTATTTGTGATGTGTGTCCTCAACTCACAGAGTTCAACCTTTGTTTTGATACAGCAGTTTGGAAACACTCTTTTTGTAGAATCTACAAATGGATATTTGGAGACCTTTGAAAATTTCGTTGGACACGGGAATATCTTCATATAAAATCTAGACAAAAGCATTCTCAGAATCTTCTTTGTGATGTTTGCATTCAACTCATAGAGTTGAACATTCCCTTTCATACAGCACGTTTGAAACACACTTTGTGGAGTATGTGGAAATGGACATTTCGAGCACTCTTAGGCCTAAGGTGAAAAGGGAAATATCTTCAAATAAAAACTAGTCAGCAGCATTCTCAGAAACCTCTTTGTGATGTGTGTACTCAACTAACAGAGTTGAACCTTCCTTTTCACAGAGCAGTTTGGAAACACTCTTTTTGTGGCATTTGCAAGTGGATATTTGGATAGCTTTGAGGATTTCGTTGGAAACGGGAATATTTTCATATAAAATCTAGACAGAAGCATTCTCAGAATCTTCTTTGTGATGTATGCCCTCAATTCACAGAGTTGAACCTTTGTTTGGATACAGCATTTTGGAAACATTCCTTTTGCAGAATCTGCAAGCTGATATTTGGATAGCTTTGAGGATTTCGTTGGAAACGGGAATATCTACATATAAAATCTAGACAGAAGCATTCTCAGAAACCTCTTTGTAATGCTTGCATTCAACTCATAGGTTTCAACATTCCCTATCATAGAGCAGGTTTGAAACACTCTTTTTGTAGTATGTGGAAGTGGACATTTGGAGCGCTTTGAGGCCTACGGTGAAAAAGGAAATATCTTCCCATAAAAACTAGACAGAAGCATTCTCAGAAACTTGTTTGTGACGTGTGTATTCAACTAACAGAGTTGAACCTTTCTTTTTACAGAGCAGCTTTGAAACACGCTTTTTGTGGAATCTGCAATTGGAAATTTCGATAGTTCTGAGGATTTCGTTGGAAACGGGATTACAAATAGAAAGTAGACAGCAGCATTCTCAGAAACTTATTTGTGATGTGTGTCCTCAACTAACAGAGTTGAACCTTTCTTTTGACACAGCAGTTTGGAAACACTCTTTTTGTAGAATCTACAAGTGGATATTTTGAGAGCATTGAAAATTTCGTTGGAAACGGGAAAACCTTCATATAAAATCTAGACAGAAGCATTCTCAGAAACTTCTTTGTAATGTTTGCATTCAACTCATAGAGTTGAACATTCCCTTTCATACAGCAGGTTTGAAACACTCTTTTTGTAGTATGTGGACGTGGACATTTGGAGCGCTTTGAGGCCTACGGTGAAAAAGGAAATATCTTCCCATAAAAACTAGACAGAAGCATTCTCAGAAACTTGTTTGTGACGTGTGTATTCAACTAACAGAGTTGAACCTTTCTTTTTACAGAGCAGCTTTGAAACACGCTTTTTGTGGAATCTGCAATTGGAAATTTCGATAGTTCTGAGGATTTCGTTGGAAACGGGATTACAAATAGAAAGTAGACAGCAGCATTCTCAGAAACTGCTTTGTGATGTTTGCATTCAAGTCACCTAGTTGAACATTCCCTTTCATAGAGCAGGTTTGAATCACAGTTTCTGTCGTATCTGGAAGTGGATATTTCGAGCGTTTTCAGGCCTAAGGTGAGAAAGGAAATGTCTTCAAATAAGAACTAGACAGAAGCATTCTCAGAAACTTATTTGTGATGTGTGTCCTCAACTAACAGAGATGAACCTTTGTTTTGATACAGCAGTTTGGAAACACTCTTTTTGTAGAATCTACAAGAGGATATTTTGAGAGCGTTGAAAATTTCGTTGGAAGCGGGAAAACCTTCATATAAAATCTAGACAGCAGCATTCTCAGAAACTTCTTTGTGATGTTTGCATTCAACTCATAGAGTTGAACATTCCCATTCATACAGCAGGTTTGAGACACTCTTTGTATAGCATGTGGAAATGGATATTTGGAGCGCTTTGAGGCCTATGGTGAAGAAGGAAATATCTTCCCAAAAAAACTAGACGAAAGCATTCTCGGAATCTTGTTTGCCATGTGTGTACTCAACTAACAGAGTTGAACCTATCTTTTGACAGAGCAGTTTTGAAACACTCTTTTTGTGGAATCTGCAAGTGGATATTTGGATAGCTTCGAGGATTTCGTTGGAAACGGGAATATCCTCATTTAAAATCTAGACGGAAGCATTCTCAGAACCTGCTTTGTGATGTTTGCATTCAACTCACAGAGCTGAACATTCCCGTTCATAGAGCAGGTTTGAAACACTCTTTCTGTACTATCTGGAAGTGGACATTTCGAGCGCTTTCAGGCCTATGGTGAAAAAGGAAACATCTTCAAATAAAAACTAGACAGAAGCATTCTCAGAAACTTATTTGTGATGTGTGTCCTCAACTCACAGAGTTCAACCTTTGTTTTGATACAGCAGTTTGGAAACACTCTTTTTGTAGAATCTACAAATGGATATTTGGAGACCTTTGAAAATTTCGTTGGACACGGGAATATCTTCATATAAAATCTAGACAAAAGCATTCTCAGAATCTTCTTTGTGATGTTTGCATTCAACTCATAGCAGTTGAACATTCCCTTTCATACAGCACGTTTGAAACACACTTTGTGGAGTATGTGGAAATGGACATTTCGAGCACTCTTAGGCCTAAGGTGAAAAGGGAAATATCTTCAAATAAAAACTAGTCAGCAGCATTCTCAGAAACCTCTTTGTGATGTGTGTACTCAACTAACAGAGTTGAACCTTCCTTTTCACAGAGCAGTTTGGAAACACTCTTTTTGTGGCATTTGCAAGTGGATATTTGGATAGCTTTGAGGATTTCGTTGGAAACGGGAATATTTTCATATAAAATCTAGACAGAAGCATTCTCAGAATCTTCTTTGTGATGTATGCCCTCAATTCACAGAGTTGAACCTTTGTTTGGATACAGCATTTTGGAAACATTCCTTTTGTAGAATCTGCAAGTTGATATTTGGATAGCTTTGAGGATTTCGTTGGAAACGGGAATATCTACATATAAAATCTAGACAGAAGCATTCTCAGAAACCTCTTTGTAATGCTTGCATTCAACTCATAGGTTTCAACATTCCCTATCATAGAGCAGGTTTGAAACACTCTTTTTGTAGTATGTGGAAGTGGACATTTGGAGCGCTTTGAGGCCTACGGTGAAAAAGGAAATATCTTCCCATAAAAACTAGACAGAAGCATTCTCAGAAACTTGTTTGTGACGTGTGTATTCAACTAACAGAGTTGAACCTTTCTTTTTACAGAGCAGCTTTGAAACACGCTTTTTGTGGAATCTGCAATTGGAAATTTCGATAGTTCTGAGGATTTCGTTGGAAACGGGATTACAAATAGAAAGTAGACAGCAGCATTCTCAGAAACTTATTTGTGATGTGTGTCCTCAACTAACAGAGTTGAACCTTTCTTTTGACACAGCAGTTTGGAAACACTCTTTTTGTAGAATCTACAAGTGGATATTTTGAGAGCATTGAAAATTTCGTTGGAAACGGGAAAACCTTCATATAAAATCTAGACAGAAGCATTCTCAGAAACTTCTTTGTAATGTTTGCATTCAACTCATAGAGTTGAACATTCCCTTTCATACAGCAGGTTTGAAACACTCTTTTTGTAGTATGTGGACGTGGACATTTGGAGCGCTTTGAGGCCTACGGTGAAAAAGGAAATATCTTCCCATAAAAACTAGACAGAAGCATTCTCAGAAACTTGTTTGTGACGTGTGTATTCAACTAACAGAGTTGAACCTTTCTTTTTACAGAGCAGCTTTGAAACACGCTTTTTGTGGAATCTGCAATTGGAAATTTCGATAGTTCTGAGGATTTCGTTGGAAACGGGATTACAAATAGAAAGTAGACAGCAGCATTCTCAGAAACTGCTTTGTGATGTTTGCATTCAAGTCACATAGTTGAACATTCCCTTTCATAGAGCAGGTTTGAATCACTGTTTCTGTAGTATCTGGAAGTGGGTATTTCGAGCGCTTTCAGGCCTAAGGTGAGAAAGGAAATGTCTTCAAATAAGAACTAGACAGAAGCATTCTCAGAAACTTATTTGTGATGTGTGTCCTCAACTAACAGAGGTGAACCTTTGTTTTGATACAGCAGTTTGGAATCACTCTTTTTGTAGAATCTACAAGAGGATATTTTGAGAGCATTGAAAATTTCGTTGGAAGCGGGAAAACCTTCATATAAAATCTAGACAGCAGCATTCTCAGAAACTTCTTTGTGATGTTTGCATTCAATTCATAGAGTTGAACATTCCCATTCATACAGCAGGTTTTAGACACTCTTTGTATAGCATGTGGAAATGGATATTTGGAGCGCTTTGAGGCCTATGGTGAAGAAGGAAATATCTTCCCACAAAAACTAGACGAAAGCATTCTCGCAATCTTGTTTGCCATGTGTGTACTCAACTAACAGAGTTGAACCTATCTTTTGACAGAGCAGTTTTGAAACACTCTTTTTGTGGAATCTGCAAGTGGATATTTGGATAGCTTCGAGGATTTCGTTGGAAACGGGAATATCCTCATTTAAAATCTAGACGGAAGCATTCTCAGAACCTGCTTTGTGATGTTTGCATTCAACTCACAGAGCTGAACATTCCCGTTCATAGAGCAGGTTTGAAACACTCTTTCTGTACTATCTGGAAGTGGACATTTCGAGCGCTTTCAGGCCTATGGTGAAAAAGGAAACATCTTCAAATAAAAACTAGACAGAAGCATTCTCAGAAACTTATTTGTGATGTGTGTCCTCAACTCACAGAGTTCAACCTTTGTTTTGATACAGCAGTTTGGAAACACTCTTTTTGTAGAATCTACAAATGGATATTTGGAGACCTTTGAAAATTTCGTTGGACACGGGAATATCTTCATATAAAATCTAGACAAAAGCATTCTCAGAATCTTCTTTGTGATGTTTGCATTCAACTCATAGAGTTGAACATTCCCTTTCATACAGCACGTTTGAAACACACTTTGTGGAGTATGTGGAAATGGACATTTCGAGCACTCTTAGGCCTAAGGTGAAAAGGGAAATATCTTCAAATAAAAACTAGTCAGCCAGCATTCTCAGAAACCTCTTTGTGATGTGTGTACTCAACTAACAGAGTTGAACCTTCCTTTTCACAGAGCAGTTTGGAAACACTCTTTTTGAGGCATTTGCAAGTGGATATTTGGATAGCTTTGAGGATTTCGTTGGAAACGGGAATATTTTCATATAAAATCTAGACAGAGCATTCTCAGAATCTTCTTTGTGATGTATGCCCTCAATTCACAGAGTTGAACCTTTGTTTGGATACAGCATTTTGGAAACATTCCTTTTGTAGAATCTGCAAGTTGATATTTGGATAGCTTTGAGGATTTCGTTGGAAACGGGAATATCTACATATAAAATCTAGACAGAAGCATTCTCAGAAACCTCTTTGTAATGCTTGCATTCAACTCATAGGTTTCAACATTCCCTATCATAGAGCAGGTTTGAAACACTCTTTTTGTAGTATGTGGAAGTGGACATTTGGAGCGCTTTGAGGCCTACGGTGAAAAAGGAAATATCTTCCCATAAAAACTAGACAGAAGCATTCTCAGAAACTTGTTTGTGACGTGTGTATTCAACTAACAGAGTTGAACCTTTCTTTTTACAGAGCAGCTTTGAAACACGCTTTTTGTGGAATCTGCAATTGGAAATTTCGATAGTTCTGAGGATTTCGTTGGAAACGGGATTACAAATAGAAAGTAGACAGCAGCATTCTCAGAAACTTATTTGTGATGTGTGTCCTCAACTAACAGAGTTGAACCTTTCTTTTGACACAGCAGTTTGGAAACACTCTTTTTGTAGAATCTACAAGTGGATATTTTGAGAGCATTGAAAATTTCGTTGGAAACGGGAAAACCTTCATATAAAATCTAGACAGAAGCCATTCTCAGAAACTTCTTTGTAATGTTTGCATTCAACTCATAGAGTTGAACATTCCCTTTCATACAGCAGGTTTGAAACACTCTTTTTGTAGTATGTGGACGTGGACATTTGGAGCGCTTTGAGGCCTACGGTGAAAAAGGAAATATCTTCCCATAAAAACTAGACAGAAGCATTCTCAGAAACTTGTTTGTGACGTGTGTATTCAACTAACAGAGTTGAACCTTTCTTTTTACAGAGCAGCTTTGAAACCCTGTTTCTGTGGAATCTGCAATTGGAAATTTCGATAGTTCTGAGGATTTCGTTGGAAACGGGATTACAAATAGAAAGTAGACAGCAGCATTCTCAGAAACTGCTTTGTGATGTTTGCATTCAAGTCACATAGTTGAACATTCCCTTTCATAGAGCAGGTTTGAATCACTGTTTCTGTAGTATCTGGAAGTGGGTATTTCGAGCGCTTTCAGGCCTAAGGTGAGAAAGGAAATGTCTTCAAATAAGAACTAGACAGAAGCATTCTCAGAAACTTATTTGTGATGTGTGTCCTCAACTAACAGAGATGAACCTTTGTTTTGATACAGCAGTTTGGAAACACTCTTTTTGTAGAATCTACAAGAGGATATTTTGAGAGCATTGAAAATTTCGTTGGAAGCGGGAAAACCTTCATATAAAATCTAGACAGCAGCATTCTCAGAAACTTCTTTGTGATGTTTGCATTCAACTCATAGAGTTGAACATTCCCATTCATACAGCAGGTTTGAGACACTCTTTGTATAGCATATGGAAATGGATATTTGGAGCGCTTTGAGGCCTATGGTGAAGAAGGAAATATCTTCCCAAAAAAACTAGACGAAAGCATTCTCGCAATCTTGTTTGCCATGTGTGTACTCAACTAACAGAGTTGAACCTATCTTTTGACAGAGCAGTTTTGAAACACTCTTTCTGTGGAATCTGCAAGTGGATATTTGGATAGCTTCGAGGATTTCCTTGGAAACGGGAATATCCTCATATAAAATCTAGACGGAAGCATTCTCAGAACCTGCTTTGTGATGTTTGCATTCAACTCACGGAGCTGAACATTCCTGTTCATAGAGTAGGTTTGAAACACTCTTTCTGTACTATCTGGAAGTGGACATTTCGAGCGCTTTCAGGCCTATGGTGAAAAAGGAAACATCTTCAAATAAAAACTAGACAGAAGCATTCTCAGAAACTTATTTGTGATGTGTGTCCTCAACTCACAGAGTTCAACCTTTGTTTTGATACAGCAGTTTGGAAACAATCTTTATTTGGAGACCTTTGAAAATTTCGTTGGACACGGGAATATCTTCATATAAAATCTAGACAAAAGCATTCTCAGAATCTTCTTTGTGATGTTTGCATTCAACTCATAGAGTTGAACATTCCCTTTCATACAGCACGTTTGAAACACACTTTGTGGAGTATGTGGAAATGGACATTTCGAGCACTCTTAGGCCTAAGGTGAAAAGGGAAATATCTTCAAATAAAAACTAGTCAGCAGCATTCTCAGAAACCTCTTTGTGATGTGTGTACTCAACTAACAGAGTTGAACCTTCCTTTTCACAGAGCAGTTTGGAAACACTCTTTTTGTGGCATTTGCAAGTGGATATTTGGATAGCTTTGAGGATTTCGTTGGAAACGGGAATATTTTCATATAAAATCTAGACAGAAGCATTCTCAGAATCTTCTTTGTGATGTATGCCCTCAATTCACAGAGTTGAACCTTTGTTTGGATACAGCATTTTGGAAACATTCCTTTTGCAGAATCTGCAAGCTGATATTTGGATAGCTTTGAGGATTTCGTTGGAAACGGGAATATCTACATATAAAATCTAGACAGAAGCATTCTCAGAAACCTCTTTGTAATGCTTGCATTCAACTCATAGGTTTCAACATTCCCTATCATAGAGCAGGTTTGAAACACTCTTTTTGTAGTATGTGGAAGTGGACATTTGGAGCGCTTTGAGGCCTACGGTGAAAAAGGAAATATCTTCCCATAAAAACTAGACAGAAGCATTCTCAGAAACTTGTTTGTGACGTGTGTATTCAACTAACAGAGTTGAACCTTTCTTTTTACAGAGCAGCTTTGAAACACGCTTTTTGTGGAATCTGCAATTGGAAATTTCGATAGTTCTGAGGATTTCGTTGGAAACGGGATTACAAATAGAAAGTAGACAGCAGCATTCTCAGAAACTTATTTGTGATGTGTGTCCTCAACTAACAGAGTTGAACCTTTCTTTTGACACAGCAGTTTGGAAACACTCTTTTTGTAGAATCTACAAGTGGATATTTTGAGAGCATTGAAAATTTCGTTGGAAACGGGAAAACCTTCATATAAAATCTAGACAGAAGCATTCTCAGAAACTTCTTTGTAATGTTTGCATTCAACTCATAGAGTTGAACATTCCCTTTCATACAGCAGGTTTGAAACACTCTTTTTGTAGTATGTGGAAGTGGACATTTGGAGCGCTTTGAGGCCTACGGTGAAAAAGGAAATATCTTCCCATAAAAACTAGACAGAAGCATTCTCAGAAACTTGTTTGTGACGTGTGTATTCAACTAACAGAGTTGAACCTTTCTTTTTACAGAGCAGCTTTGAAACCCTGTTTCTGTGGAATCTGCAATTGGAAATTTCGATAGTTCTGAGGATTTCGTTGGAAACGGGATTACAAATAGAAAGAAGACAGCAGCATTCTCAGAAACTGCTTTGTGATGTTTGCATTCAAGTCACCTAGTTGAACATTCCCTTTCATAGAGCAGGTTTGAATCACTGTTTCTGTAGTATCTGGAAGTGGGTATTTCGAGTGCTTTCAGGCCTAAGGTGAGAAAGGAAATGTCTTCAAATAAGAACTAGACAGAAGCATTCTCAGAAACTTATTTGTGATGTGTGTCCTCAACTACCAGAGATGAACCTTTGTTTTGATACAGCAGTTTGGAAACACTCTTTTTGTAGAATCTACAAGAGGATATTTTGAGAGCATTGAAAATTTCGTTGGAAGCGGGAAAACCTTCATATAAAATCTAGACAGCAGCATTCTCAGAAACTTCTTTGTAATGTTTGCATTCAACTCATAGAGTTGAACATTCCCATTCATACAGCAGGTTTGAGACACTCTTTGTATAGCATGTGGAAATGGATATTTGGAGCGCTTTGAGGCCTATGGTGAAGAAGGAAATATCTTCCCAAAAAAACTAGACGAAAGCATTCTCGGAATCTTGTTTGCCATGTGTGTACTCAACTAACAGAGTTGAACCTATCTTTTGAGAGAGCAGTTTTGAAACACTCTTTCTGTGGAATCTGCAAGTGGATATTTGGATAGCTTCGAGGATTTCGTTGGAAACGGGAATATCCTCATTTAAAATCTAGACGGAAGCATTCTCAGAACCTGCTTTGTGATGTTTGCATTCAACTCACGGAGCTGAACATTCCCGTTCATAGAGCAGGTTTGAAACACTCTTTCTGTACTATCTGGAAGTGGACATTTCGAGCGCTTTCAGGCCTATGGTGAAAAAGGAAACATCTTCAAATAAAAACTAGACAGAAGCATTCTCAGAAACTTATTTGTGATGTGTGTCCTCAACTCACAGAGTTCAACCTTTGTTTTGATACAGCAGTTTGGAAACACTCTTTTTGTAGAATCTACAAATGGATATTTGGAGACCTTTGAAAATTTCGTTGGACACGGGAATATCTTCATATAAAATCTAGACAAAAGCATTCTCAGAATCTTCTTTGTGATGTTTGCATTCAACTCATAGAGTTGAACATTCCCTTTCATACAGCACGTTTGAAACACACTTTGTGGAGTATGTGGAAATGGACATTTCGAGCACTCTTAGGCCTAAGGTGAAAAGGGAAATATCTTCAAATAAAAACTAGTCAGCAGCATTCTCAGAAACCTCTTTGTGATGTGTGTACTCAACTAACAGAGTTGAACCTTCCTTTTCACAGAGCAGTTTGGAAACACTCTTTTTGTGGCATTTGCAAGTGGATATTTGGATAGCTTTGAGGATTTCGTTGGAAACGGGAATATTTTCATATAAAATCTAGACAGAAGCATTCTCAGAATCTTCTTTGTGATGTATGCCCTCAATTCACAGAGTTGAACCTTTGTTTGGATACAGCATTTTGGAAACATTCCTTTTGTAGAATCTGCAAGTTGATATTTGGATAGCTTTGAGGATTTCGTTGGAAACGGGAATATCTACATATAAAATCTAGACAGAAGCATTCTCAGAAACCTCTTTGTAATGCTTGCATTCAACTCATAGGTTTCAACATTCCCTATCATAGAGCAGGTTTGAAACACTCTTTTTGTAGTATGTGGAAGTGGACATTTGGAGCGCTTTGAGGCCTACGGTGAAAAAGGAAATATCTTCCCATAAAAACTAGACAGAAGCATTCTCAGAAACTTGTTTGTGACGTGTGTATTCAACTAACAGAGTTGAACCTTTCTTTTTACAGAGCAGCTTTGAAACACGCTTTTTGTGGAATCTGCAATTGGAAATTTCGATAGTTCTGAGGATTTCGTTGGAAACGGGATTACAAATAGAAAGTAGACAGCAGCATTCTCAGAAACTTATTTGTGATGTGTGTCCTCAACTAACAGAGTTGAACCTTTCTTTTGACACAGCAGTTTGGAAACACTCTTTTTGTAGAATCTACAAGTGGATATTTTGAGAGCATTGAAAATTTCGTTGGAAACGGGAAAACCTTCATATAAAATCTAGACAGAAGCATTCTCAGAAACTTCTTTGTAATGTTTGCATTCAACTCATAGAGTTGAACATTCCCTTTCATACAGCAGGTTTGAAACACTCTTTTTGTAGTATGTGGAAGTGGACATTTGGAGCGCTTTGAGGCCTACGGTGAAAAAGGAAATATCTTCCCATAAAAACTAGACAGAAGCATTCTCAGAAACTTGTTTGTGACGTGTGTATTCAACTAACAGAGTTGAACCTTTCTTTTTACAGAGCAGCTTTGAAACCCTGTTTCTGTGGAATCTGCAATTGGAAATTTCGATAGTTCTGAGGATTTCGTTGCAAACGGGATTACAAATAGAAAGTAGACAGCAGCATTCTCAGAAACTGCTTTGTGATGTTTGCATTCAAGTCACCTAGTTGAACATTCCCTTTCATAGAGCAGGTTTGAATCACTGTTTCTGTAGTATCTGGAAGTGGGTATTTCGAGCGCTTTCAGGCCTAAGGTGAGAAAGGAAATGTCTTCAAATAAGAACTAGACAGAAGCATTCTCAGAAACTTATTTGTGATGTGTGTCCTCAACTAACAGAGATGAACCTTTGTTTTGATACAGCAGTTTGGAAACACTCTTTTTGTAGAATCTACAAGAGGATATTTTGAGAGCATTGAAAATTTCGTTGGAAGCGGGAAAACCTTCATATAAAATCTAGACAGCAGCATTCTCAGAAACTTCTTTGTGATGTTTGCATTCAACTCATAGAGTTGAACATTCCCATTCATACAGCAGGTTTGAGACACTCTTTGTATAGCATGTGGAAATGGATATTTGGAGCGCTTTGAGGCCTATGGTGAAGAAGGAAATATCTTCCCAAAAAAACTAGACGAAAGCATTCTCGGAATCTTGTTTGCCATGTGTGTACTCAACTAACAGAGTTGAACCTATCTTTTGACAGAGCAGTTTTGAAACACTCTTTTTGTGGAATCTGCAAGTGGATATTTGGATAGCTTCGAGGATTTCGTTGGAAACGGGAATATCCTCATTTAAAATCTAGACGGAAGCATTCTCAGAACCTGCTTTGTGATGTTTGCATTCAACTCACAGAGCTGAACATTCCCGTTCATAGAGCAGGTTTGAAACACTCTTTCTGTACTATCTGGAAGTGGACATTTCGAGCGCTTTCAGGCCTATGGTGAAAAAGGAAACATCTTCAAATAAAAACTAGACAGAAGCATTCTCAGAAACTTATTTGTGATGTGTGTCCTCAACTCACAGAGTTCAACCTTTGTTTTGATACAGCAGTTTGGAAACACTCTTTTTGTAGAATCTACAAATGGATATTTGGAGACCTTTGAAAATTTCGTTGGACACGGGAATATCTTCATATAAAATCTAGACAAAAGCATTCTCAGAATCTTCTTTGTGATGTTTGCATTCAACTCATAGAGTTGAACATTCCCTTTCATACAGCACGTTTGAAACACACTTTGTGGAGTATGTGGAAATGGACATTTCGAGCACTCTTAGGCCTAAGGTGAAAAGGGAAATATCTTCAAATAAAAACTAGTCAGCAGCATTCTCAGAAACCTCTTTGTGATGTGTGTACTCAACTAACAGAGTTGAACCTTCCTTTTCACAGAGCAGTTTGGAAACACTCTTTTTGTGGCATTTGCAAGTGGATATTTGGATAGCTTTGAGGATTTCGTTGGAAACGGGAATATTTTCATATAAAATCTAGACAGAAGCATTCTCAGAATCTTCTTTGTGATGTATGCCCTCAATTCACAGAGTTGAACCTTTGTTTGGATACAGCATTTTGGAAACATTCCTTTTGTAGAATCTGCAAGTTGATATTTGGATAGCTTTGAGGATTTCGTTGGAAACGGGAATATCTACATATAAAATCTAGACAGAAGCATTCTCAGAAACCTCTTTGTAATGCTTGCATTCAACTCATAGGTTTCAACATTCCCTATCATAGAGCAGGTTTGAAACACTCTTTTTGTAGTATGTGGAAGTGGACATTTGGAGCGCTTTGAGGCCTACGGTGAAAAAGGAAATATCTTCCCATAAAAACTAGACAGAAGCATTCTCAGAAACTTGTTTGTGACGTGTGTATTCAACTAACAGAGTTGAACCTTTCTTTTTACAGAGCAGCTTTGAAACACGCTTTTTGTGGAATCTGCAATTGGAAATTTCGATAGTTCTGAGGATTTCGTTGGAAACGGGATTACAAATAGAAAGTAGACAGCAGCATTCTCAGAAACTTATTTGTGATGTGTGTCCTCAACTAACAGAGTTGAACCTTTCTTTTGACACAGCAGTTTGGAAACACTCTTTTTGTAGAATCTACAAGTGGATATTTTGAGAGCATTGAAAATTTCGTTGGAAACGGGAAAACCTTCATATAAAATCTAGACAGAAGCATTCTCAGAAACTTCTTTGTAATGTTTGCATTCAACTCATAGAGTTGAACATTCCCTTTCATACAGCAGGTTTGAAACACTCTTTTTGTAGTATGTGGAAGTGGACATTTGGAGCGCTTTGAGGCCTACGGTGAAAAAGGAAATATCTTCCCATAAAAACTAGACAGAAGCATTCTCAGTAAACTTGTTTGTGACGTGTGTATTCAACTAACAGAGTTGAACCTTTCTTTTTACAGAGCAGCTTTGAAACCCTGTTTCTGTGGAATCTGCAATTGGAAATTTCGATAGTTCTGAGGATTTCGTTGGAAACGGGATTACAAATAGAAAGTAGACAGCAGCATTCTCAGAAACTGCTTTGTGATGTTTGCATTCAAGTCACCTAGTTGAACATTCCCTTTCATAGAGCAGGTTTGAATCACTGTTTCTGTAGTATCTGGAAGTGGGTATTTCGAGCGCTTTCAGGCCTAAGGTGAGAAAGGAAATGTCTTCAAATAAGAACTAGACAGAAGCATTCTCAGAAACTTATTTGTGATGTGTGTCCTCAACTAACAGAGATGAACCTTTGTTTTGATACAGCAGTTTGGAAACACTCTTTTTGTAGAATCTACAAGAGGATATTTTGAGAGCATTGAAAATTTCGTTGGAAGCGGGAAAACCTTCATATAAAATCTAGACAGCAGCATTCTCAGAAACTTCTTTGTGATGTTTGCATTCAACTCATAGAGTTGAACATTCCCATTCATACAGCAGGTTTGAGACACTCTTTGTATACCATGTGGAAATGGATATTTGGAGCGCTTTGAGGCCTATGGTGAAGAAGGAAATATTTTCCCAAAAAAACTAGACGAAAGCATTCTCGGAATCTTGTTTGCCATGTGTGTACTCAACTAACAGAGTTGAACCTATCTTTTGACAGAGCAGTTTTGAAACACTCTTTTTGTGGAATCTGCAAGTGGATATTTGGATAGCTTCGAGGATTTCGTTGGAAACGGGAATATCCTCATTTAAAATCTAGACGGAAGCATTCTCAGAACCTGCTTTGTGATGTTTGCATTCAACTCACAGAGCTGAACATTCCCGTTCATAGAGCAGGTTTGAAACACTCTTTCTGTACTATCTGGAAGTGGACATTTCGAGCGCTTTCAGGCCTATGGTGAAAAAGGAAACATCTTCAAATAAAAACTAGACAGAAGCATTCTCAGAAACTTATTTGTGATGTGTGTCCTCAACTCACAGAGTTCAACCTTTGTTTTGATACAGCAGTTTGGAAACACTCTTTTTGTAGAATCTACAAATGGATATTTGGAGACCTTTGAAAATTTCGTTGGACACGGGAATATCTTCATATAAAATCTAGACAAAAGCATTCTCAGAATCTTCTTTGTGATGTTTGCATTCAACTCATAGAGTTGAACATTCCCTTTCATACAGCACGTTTGAAACACACTTTGTGGAGTATGTGGAAATGGACATTTCGAGCACTCTTAGGCCTAAGGTGAAAAGGGAAATATCTTCAAATAAAAACTAGTCAGCAGCATTCTCAGAAACCTCTTTCTGATGTGTGTACTCAACTAACAGAGTTGAACCTTCCTTTTCACAGAGCAGTTTGGAAACACTCTTTTTGTGGCATTTGCAAGTGGATATTTGGATAGCTTTGAGGATTTCGTTGGAAACGGGAATATTTACATATAAAATCTAGACAGAAGCATTCTCAGAATCTTCTTTGTGATGTATGCCCTCAATTCACAGAGTTGAACCTTTGTTTGGATACAGCATTTTGGAAACATTCCTTTTGTAGAATCTGCAAGTTGATATTTGGATAGCTTTGAGGATTTCGTTGGAAACGGGAATATCTACATATAAAATCTAGACAGAAGCATTCTCAGAAACCTCTTTGTAATGCTTGCATTCAACTCATAGGTTTCAACATTCCCTATCATAGAGCAGGTTTGAAACACTCTTTTTGTAGTATGTGGAAGTGGACATTTGGAGCGCTTTGAGGCCTACGGTGAAAAAGGAAATATCTTCCCATAAAAACTAGACAGAAGCATTCTCAGAAACTTGTTTGTGACGTGTGTATTCAACTAACAGAGTTGAACCTTTCTTTTTACAGAGCAGCTTTGAAACCCTGTTTCTGTGGAATCTGCAATTGGAAATTTCGACAGTTCTGAGGATTTCGTTGGAAACGGGATTACAAATAGAAAGTAGACAGCAGCATTCTCAGAAACTTATTTGTGATGTGTGTCCTCAACTAACAGAGTTGAACCTTTCTTTTGACACAGCAGTTTGGAAACACTCTTTTTGTAGAATCTACAAGTGGATATTTTGAGAGCATTGAAAATTTCGTTGGAAACGGGAAAACCTTCATATAAAATCTAGACAGAAGCATTCTCAGAAACTTCTTTGTAATGTTTGCATTCAACTCATAGAGTTGAACATTCCCTTTCATACAGCAGGTTTGAAACACTCTTTTTGTAGTATGTGGAAGTGGACATTTGGAGCGCTTTGAGGCCTACGGTGAAAAAGGAAATATCTTCCCATAAAAACTAGACAGAAGCATTCTCAGAAACTTGTTTGTGACGTGTGTATTCAACTAACAGAGTTGAACCTTTCTTTTTACAGAGCAGCTTTGAAACCCTGTTTCTGTGGAATCTGCAATTGGAAATTTCGATAGTTCTGAGGATTTCGTTGGAAACGGGATTACAAATAGAAAGTAGACAGCAGCATTCTCAGAAACTGCTTTGTGATGTTTGCATTCAACTCATAGAGTTGAACATTCCCTTTCATAGAGCAGGTTTGAATCACTGTTTCTGTAGTATCTGGAAGTGGGTATTTCGAGCGCTTTCAGGCCTAAGGTGAGAAAGGAAATGTCTTCAAATAAGAACTAGACAGAAGCATTCTCAGAAACTTATTTGTGATGTGTGTCCTCAACTAACAGAGATGAACCTTTGTTTTGATACAGCAGTTTGGAAACACTCTTTTTGTAGAATCTACAAGAGGATATTTTGAGAGCATTGAAAATTTCGTTGGAAGCGGGAAAACCTTCATATAAAATCTAGACAGCAGCATTCTCAGAAACTTCTTTGTGATGTTTGCATTCAACTCATAGAGTTGAACATTCCCATTCATACAGCAGGTTTGAGACACTCTTTGTATAGCATGTGGAAATGGATATTTGGAGCGCTTTGAGGCCTATGGTGAAGAAGGAAATATCTTCCCAAAAAAACTAGACGAAAGCATTCTCGGAATCTTGTTTGCCATGTGTGTACTCAACTAACAGAGTTGAACCTATCTTTTGACAGAGCAGTTTTGAAACACTCTTTTTGTGGAATCTGCAAGTGGATATTTGGATAGCTTCGAGGATTTCGTTGGAAACGGGAATATCCTCATTTAAAATCTAGACGGAAGCATTCTCGGAAACTGCTTTGTGATGTTTGCATTCAACTCACAGAGCTGAACATTCCCGTTCATAGAGCAGGTTTGAAACACTCTTTCTGTACTATCTGGAAGTGGACATTTCGAGCGCTTTCAGGCCTATGGTGAAAAAGGAAACATCTTCAAATAAAAACTAGACAGAAGCATTCTCAGAAACTTATTTGTGATGTGTGTCCTCAACTCACAGAGTTCAACCTTTGTTTTGATACAGCAGTTTGGAAACACTCTTTTTGTAGAATCTACAAATGGATATTTGGAGACCTTTGAAAATTTCGTTGGACACGGGAATATCTTCATATAAAATCTAGACAAAAGCATTCTCAGAGTCTTCTTTGTGATGTTTGCATTCAACTCATAGAGTTGAACATTCCCTTTCATACAGCACGTTTGAAACACACTTTGTGGAGTATGTGGAAATGGACATTTCGAGCACTCTTAGGCCTAAGGTGAAAAGGGAAATATCTTCAAATAAAAACTAGTCAGCAGCATTCTCAGAAACCTCTTTGTGATGTGTGTACTCAACTAACAGAGTTGAACCTTCCTTTTCACAGAGCAGTTTGGAAACACTCTTTTTGTGGCACTTGCAAGTGGATATTTGGATAGCTTTGAGGATTTCGTTGGAAACGGGAATATTTTCATATAAAATCTAGACAGAAGCATTCGCAGAATCTTCTTTGTGATGTATGCCCTCAATTCACAGAGTTGAACCTTTGTTTGGATACAGCATTTTGGAAACATTCCTTTTGTAGAATCTGCAAGTTGATATTTGGATAGCTTTGAGGATTTCGTTGGAAACGGGAATATCTACATATAAAATCTAGACAGAAGCATTCTCAGAAACCTCTTTGTAATGCTTGCATTCAACTCATAGGTTTCAACATTCCCTATCATAGAGCAGGTTTGAAACACTCTTTTTGTAGTATGTGGAAGTGGACATTTGGAGCGCTTTGAGGCCTACCGTGAAAAAGGAAATATCTTCCCATAAAAACTAGACAGAAGCATTCTCAGAAACTTGTTTGTGACGTGTGTATTCAACTAACAGAGTTGAACCTTTCTTTTTACAGAGCAGCTTTGAAACACGCTTTTTGTGGAATCTGCAATTGGAAATTTCGATAGTTCTGAGGATTTCGTTGGAAACGGGATTACAAATAGAAAGTAGACAGCAGCATTCTCAGAAACTTATTTGTGATGTGTGTCCTCAACTAACAGAGTTGAACCTTTCTTTTGACACAGCAGTTTGGAAACACTCTTTTTGTAGAATCTACAAGTGGATATTTTGAGAGCATTGAAAATTTCGTTGGAAACGGGAAAACCTTCATATAAAATCTAGACAGAAGCATTCTCAGAAACTTCTTTGTAATGTTTGCATTCAACTCATAGAGTTGAACATTCCCTTTCATACAGCAGGTTTGAAACACTCTTTTTGTAGTATGTGGACGTGGACATTTGGAGCGCTTTGAGGCCTACGGTGAAAAAGGAAATATCTTCCCATAAAAACTAGACAGAAGCATTCTCAGAAACTTGTTTGTGACGTGTGTATTCAACTAACAGAGTTGAACCTTTCTTTTTACAGAGCAGCTTTGAAACCCTGTTTCTGTGGAATCTGCAATTGGAAATTTCGATAGTTCTGAGGATTTCGTTGGAAACGGGATTACAAATAGAAAGTAGACAGCAGCGTTCTCAGAAACTGCTTTGTGATGTTTGCATTCAAGTCACCTAGTTGAACATTCCCTTTCATAGAGCAGGTTTGAATCACAGTTTCTGTCGTATCTGGAAGTGGATATTTCGAGCGTTTTCAGGCCTAAGGTGAGAAAGGAAATGTCTTCAAATAAGAACTAGACAGAAGCATTCTCAGCAAACTTATTTGTGATGTGTGTCCTCAACTAACAGAGATGAACCTTTGTTTTGATACAGCAGTTTGGAAACACTCTTTTTGTAGAATCTACAAGAGGATATTTTGAGAGCATTGAAAATTTCGTTGGAAGCGGGAAAACCTTCATATAAAATCTAGACAGAAGCATTCTCAGAAACTCCTTTGTAATGTTTGCATTCAACTCATAGAGTTGAACATTCCCTTTCATACAGCAGGTTTGAAACACTCTTTTTGTAGTATGTGGACGTGGACATTTGGAGCCGCTTTGAGGCCTACGGTGAAAAAGGAAATATCTTCCCATAAAAACTAGACAGAAGCATTCTCAGAAACTTGTTTGTGACGTGTGTATTCAACTAACAGAGTTGAACCTTTCTTTTTACAGAGCAGCTTTGAAACCCTGTTTCTGTGGAATCTGCAATTGGAAATTTCGATAGTTCTGAGGATTTCGTTGGAAACGGGATTACAAATAGAAAGTAGACAGCAGCATTCTCAGAAACTGCTTTGTGATGTTTGCATTCAAGTCACCTAGTTGAACATTCGCTTTCATAGAGCAGGTTTGAATCACTGTTTCTGTAGTATCTGGAAGTGTGTATTTCGAGCGCTTTCAGGCCTAAGGTGAGAAAGGAAATGTCTTCAAATAAGAACTAGACAGAAGCATTCTCAGAAACTTATTTGTGATGTGTGTCCTCAACTAACAGAGATGAACCTTTGTTTTGATACAGCAGTTTGGAAACACTCTTTTTGTAGAATCTACAAGAGGATATTTTGAGAGCATTGAAAATTTCGTTGGAAGCGGGAAAGCCTTCATATAAAATCTAGACAGCAGCATTCTCAGAAACTTCTTTGTGATGTTTGCATTCAACTCATAGAGTTGAACATTCCCATTCATACAGCAGGTTTGAGACACTCTTTGTATAGCATGTGGAAATGGATATTTGGAGCGCTTTGAGGCCTATGGTGAAGAAGGAAATATCTTCCCAAAAAAACTAGACGAAAGCATTCTCGGAATCTTGTTTGCCATGTGTGTACTCAACTAACAGAGTTGAACCTATCTTTTGACAGAGCAGTTTTGAAACACTCTTTTTGTGGAATCTGCAAGTGGATATTTGGATAGCTTCGAGGATTTCGTTGGAAACGGGAATATCCTCATTTAAAATCTAGACGGAAGCATTCTCAGAACCTGCTTTGTGATGTTTGCATTCAACTCACAGAGCTGAACATTCCCGTTCATAGAGCAGGTTTGAAACACTCTTTCTGTACTATCTGGAAGTGGACATTTCGAGCGCTTTCAGGCCTATGGTGAAAAAGGAAACATCTTCAAATAAAAACTAGACAGAAGCATTCTCAGAAACTTATTTGTGATGTGTGTCCTCAACTCACAGAGTTCGACCTTTGTTTTGATACAGCAGTTTGGAAACACTCTTTTTGTAGAATCTACAAATGGATATTTGGAGACCTTTGAAAATTTCGTTGGACACGGGAATATCTTCATATAAAATCTAGACAAAAGCATTCTCAAAATCTTCTTTGTGATGTTTGCATTCAACTCATAGAGTTGAACATTCCCCTTTCATACAGCACGTTTGAAACACACTTTGTGGAGTATGTGGAAATGGACATTTCGAGCACTCTTAGGCCTAAGGTGAAAAGGGAAATATCTTCAAATAAAAACTAGTCAGCAGCATTCTCAGAAACCTCTTTGTGATGTGTGTACTCAACTAACAGAGTTGAACCTTCCTTTTCACAGAGCAGTTTGGAAACACTCTTTTTGTGGCATTTGCAAGTGGATATTTGGATAGCTTTGAGGATTTCGTTGGAAACGGGAATATTTTCATATAAAATCTAGACAGAAGCATTCTCAGAATCTTCTTTGTGATGTATGCCCTCAATTCACAGAGTTGAACCTTTGTTTGGATACAGCATTTTGGAAACATTCCTTTTGTAGAATCTGCAAGTTGATATTTGGATAGCTTTGAGGATTTCGTTGGAAACGGGAATATCTACATATAAAATCTAGACAGAAGCATTCTCAGAAACCTCTTTGTAATGCTTGCATTCAACTCATAGGTTTCAACATTCCCTATCATAGAGCAGGTTTGAAACACTCTTTTTGTAGTATGTGGAAGTGGACATTTGGAGCGCTTTGAGGCCTACGGTGAAAAAGGAAATATCTTCCCATAAAAACTAGACAGAAGCATTCTCAGAAACTTGTTTGTGACGTGTGTATTCAACTAACAGAGTTGAACCTTTCTTTTTACAGAGCAGCTTTGAAACACGCTTTTTGTGGAATCTGCAATTGGAAATTTCGATAGTTCTGAGGATTTCGTTGGAAACGGGATTGCAAATAGAAAGTAGACAGCAGCATTCTCAGAAACTGCTTTGTGATGTTTGCATTCAAGTCACCTAGTTGAACATTCCCTTTCATAGAGCAGGTTTGAATCACTGTTTCTGTCGTATCTGGAAGTGGATATTTCGAGCGTTTTCAGGCCTAAGGTGAGAAAGGAAATGTCTTCAAATAAGAACTAGACAGAAGCATTCTCAGAAACTTATTTGTGATGTGTGTCCTCAACTAACAGTAGTTGAACCTTTCTTTTGACACAGCAGTTTGGAAACACTCTTTTTGTAGAATCTACAAGTGGATATTTTCAGAGCATTGAAAATTTCGTTGGAAACGGGAAAATCTTCATATAAAATCTAGACAGAAGCATTCTCAGAATCTTCTTTGTAATGTTTGCATTCAACTCATAGGTTTCAACATTCCCTATCATAGAGCAGGTTTGAAACACTCTTTTTGTAGTATGTGGAAGTGGACATTTGGAGCGCTTTGAGGCCTACGGTGAAAAAGGAAATATCTTCCCATAAAAACTAGACAGAAGCATTCTCAGAAACTTGTTTGTGACGTGTGTATTCAACTAACAGAGTTGAACCTTTCTTTTTACAGAGCAGCTTTGAAACCCTGTTTCTGTGGAATCTGCAATTGGAAATTTCGATAGTTCTGAGGATTTCGTTGGAAACGGGATTACAAATAGAAAGTAGACAGCCAGCATTCTCAGCAAACTGCTTTGTGATGTTTGCATTCAAGTCACATAGTTGAACATTCCCTTTCATAGAGCAGGTTTGAATCACTGTTTCTGTAGTATCTGGAAGTGGGTATTTCGAGCGCTTTCAGGCCTAAGGTGAGAAAGGAAATGTCTTCAAATAAGAACTAGACAGAGCATTCTCAGAAACTTATTTGTGATGTGTGTCCTCAACTAACAGAGATGAACCTTTGTTTTGATACAGCAGTTTGGAAACACTCTTTTTGTAGAATCTACAAGAGGATATTTTGAGAGCATTGAAAATTTCGTTGGAAGCGGGAAAACCTTCATATAAAATCTAGACAGCAGCATTCTCAGAAACTTCTTTGTGATGTTTGCATTCAACTCATAGAGTTGAACATTCCCATTCATACAGCAGGTTTGAGACACTCTTTGTATAGCATGTGGAAATGGATATTTGGAGCGCTTTGAGGCCTATGGTGAAGAAGGAAATATCTTCCCAAAAAAAATAGACGAAAGCATTCTCGGAATCTTGTTTGCCATGTGTGTACTCAACTAACAGAGTTGAACCTATCTTTTGACAGAGCAGTTTTGAAACACTCTTTTTGTGGAATCTGCAAGTGGATATTTGGATAGCTTCGAGGATTTCGTTGGAAACGGGAATATCCTCATTTAAAATCTAGACGGAAGCATTCTCAGAACCTGCTTTGTGATGTTTGCATTCAACTCACAGAGCTGAACATTCCCGTTCATAGAGCAGGTTTGAAACACTCTTTCTGTACTATCTGGAAGTGGACATTTCGAGCGCTTTCAGGCCTATGGTGAAAAAGGAAACATCTTCAAATAAAAACTAGACAGAAGCATTCTCAGAAACTTATTTGTGATGTGTGTCCTCAACTCACAGAGTTCAACCTTTGTTTTGATACAGCAGTTTGGAAACAATCTTTATTTGGAGACCTTTGAAAATTTCGTTGGACACGGGAATATCTTCATATAAAATCTAGACAAAAGCATTCTCAGAAACTTCTTTGTAATGTTTGCATTCAACGCATAGAGTTGAACATTCCCTTTCATACAGCAGGTTTGAAACACTCTTTTTGTAGTATGTGGAAGTGGACATTTGGAGCGCTTTGAGGCCTACGGTGAAAAAGGAAATATTCTTCCCATAAAAACTAGACAGAAGCATTCTCAGAAAGCTCTTTGTGATGTGTGTACTCAGCTAACAGAGTTGAACCTTCCATTTCACAGAGCAGTTTGGAAACACTCTTTTTGTGGCATTTGCAAGTGGACATTTGGATAGCTTTGAGGATTTCTTTGAAACGGGAATATTTTCATATAAAATCTAGACAGAAGCATTCTCAGAATCTTCTTTGTGATGTATGCCCTCAATTCACAGAGTTGAACCATTGTTTCGATACAGCATTTTGGAAACATTCCTTTTGTAGAATCTGCAAGTTGATATTTGTATAGCTTTGAGGATTTCGTTGGAAACGGGAATATCTACATATAAAATACTGGACAGAAGCATTCTCAGAAACATGTTTGTAATGTTTTCATTCAACTCATAGGTTTCAACATTCCCTATCTTAGAGCAGGATTGAAACACTCTTTTTGTAGTATGTGGAAGTGGACATTTGGAGCGCTTTGAGGCCTACGGTGAAAAAGGAAATATCTTCCCATAAAAACTAGACAGAAGCATTCTCAGAAACTTGTTTGTGACGTGTGTATTCAACTAACAGAGTTGAACCTTTCTTTTTACAGAGCAGCTTTGAAACATGCTTTTTGTGGAATCTGCAATTGGAAATTTCGATAGTTCTGAGGATTTCGGTGGAAACGGGATTACAAATAGAAAGTAGACAGCAGCATTCTCAGAAACTGCTTTCTGATGTTTGCATTCAAGTCACCTAGTTGAACATTCCCTTTCATAGAGCAGGTTTGAATCACTGTTTCTGTCGTATCTGGAAGTGGATATTTCGAGCGTTTTCAGGCCTAAGGTGAGAAAGGAAATGTCTTCAAATAAGAACTAGACAGAAGCATTCTCAGAAACTTATTTGTGATGTGTGTCCTCAACTAACAGAGATGAACCTTTGTTTTGATACAGCAGTTTGGAAACACTCTTTTTGTAGAATCTACAAGAGGATATTTTGAGAGCATTGAAAATTTCGTTGGAAGCGGGAAAACCTTCATATAAAATCTAGACAGCAGCATTCTCAGAAACTTCTTTGTGATGTTTGCATTCAACTCATAGAGTTGAACATTCCCATTCATACAGCAGGTTTGAGACACTCTTTGTATAGCATGTGGAAATGGATATTTGGAGCGCTTTGAGGCCTATGGTGAAGAAGGAAATATCTTCCCAAAAAAACTAGACGAAAGCATTCTCGCAATCTTGTTTGCCATGTGTGTACTCAACTAACAGAGTTGAACCTATCTTTTGACAGAGCAGTTTTGAAACACTCTTTTTGTGGAATCTGCAAATGGATATTTGGATAGCTTCGAGGATTTCCTTGGAAACGGGAATATCCTCATATAAAATCTAGACGGAAGCATTCTCAGAACCTGCTTTGTGATGTTTGCATTCAACTCACAGAGCTGAACATTCCTCTTCATAGAGCAGGTTTGAAACACTCTTTCTGTACTATCTGGAAGTGGACATTTCGAGCGCTTTCAGGCCTATGGTGAAAAAGGAAACATCTTCAAATAAAAACTAGACAGAAGCATTCTCAGAAACTTATTTGTGATGTGTGTCCTCAACTCACAGAGTTCAACCTTTGTTTTGATACAGCAGTTTGGAAACACTCTTTTTGTAGAATCTACAAATGGATATTTGGAGACCATTGAAAATTTCGTTGGACACGGGAATACCTTCATATAAAATCTAGACAAAAGCATTCTCAGAATCTTCTTTGTGATGTTTGCATTCAACTCATAGAGTTGAACATTCCCTTTCATACAGCACGTTTGGAACACACTTTGTGGAGTATGTGGAAATGGACATTTCGAGCACTCTTAGGCCTAAGGTGAAAAGGGAAATATCTTCAAATAAAAACTAGCCAGCAGCATTCTCAGAAACCTCTTTGTGATGTGTGTACTCAACTAACAGAGTTGAACCTTCCTTTTCACAGAGCAGTTTGGAAACACTCTTTTTGTGGCATTTGCAAGTGGATATTTGGATAGCTTTGAGGATTTCGTTGGAAACGGGAATATTTTCATATAAAATCTAGACAGAAGCATTCTCAGAATCTTCTCTGTGATGTATGCCCTCAATTCACAGAGTTGAACCTTTGTTTGGATACAGCATTTTGGAAACATTCCTTTTGTAGAATCTGCAAGTTGATATTTGGATAGCTTTGAGGATTTCGTTGGAAACGGGAATATCTACATATAAAATCTAGACAGAAGCATTCTCAGAAACCTCTTTGTAATGCTTGCATTCAACTCATAGGTTTCAACATTCCCTATCATAGAGCAGGTTTGAAACACTCTTTTTGTAGTATGTGGAAGTGGACATTTGGAGCGCTTTGAGGCCTACGGTGAAAAAGGAAATATCTTCCCATAAAAACTAGACAGAAGCATTCTCAGAAACTTGTTTGTGACGTGTGTATTCAACTAACAGAGTTGAACCTTTCTTTTTACAGAGCAGCTTTGAAACACGCTTTTTGTGGAATCTGCAATTGGAAATTTCGATAGTTCTGAGGATTTCGTTGGAAACGGGATTACAAATAGAAAGTAGACAGCAGCATTCTCAGAAACTTATTTGTGATGTGTGTCCTCAACTAACAGAGTTGAACCTTTCTTTTGACACAGCAGTTTGGAAACACTCTTTTTGTAGAATCTACAAGTGGATATTTTGAGAGCATTGAAAATTTCGTTGGAAACGGGAAAACCTTCATATAAAATCTAGACAGAAGCATTCTCAGAAACTTCTTTGTAATGTTTGCATTCAACTCATAGAGTTGAACATTCCCTTTCATACAGCAGGTTTGAAACACTCTTTTTGTAGTATGTGGAAGTGGACATTTGGAGCGCTTTGAGGCCTACGGTGAAAAAGGAAATATCTTCCCATAAAAACTAGACAGAAGCATTCTCAGAAACTTGTTTGTGACGTGTGTATTCAACTAACAGAGTTGAACCTTTCTTTTTACAGAGCAGCTTTGAAACCCTGTTTCTGTGGAATCTGCAATTGGAAATTTCGATAGTTCTGAGGATTTCGTTGGAAACGGGATTACAAATAGAAAGTAGACAGCAGCATTCTCAGAAACTGCTTTGTGATGTTTGCATTCAAGTCACCTAGTTGAACATTCCCTTTCATAGAGCAGGTTTGAATCACTGTTTCTGTCGTATCTGGAAGTGGGTATTTCGAGCACTTTCAGGCCTAAGGTGAGAAAGGAAATGTCTTCAAATAAGAACTAGACAGAAGCATTCTCAGAAACTTATTTGTGATGTGTGTCCTCAACTAACAGAGATGAACCTTTGTTTTGATACAGCAGTTTGGAAACACTCTTTTTGTAGAATCTACAAGAGGATATTTTGAGAGCATTGAAAATTTCGTTGGAAGCGGGAAAACCTTCATATAAAATCTAGACAGCAGCATTCTCAGAAACTTCTTTGTGATGTTTGCATTCAACTCATAGAGTTGAACATTCCCATTCATACAGCAGGTTTGAGACACTCTTTGTATAGCATGTGGAAATGGATATTTGGAGCGCTTTGAGGCCTATGGTGAAGAAGGAAATATCTTCCCTAAAAAACTAGACGAAAGCATTCTCGCAATCTTGTTTGCCATGTGTGTACTCAACTAACAGAGTTGAACCTATCTTTTGACAGAGCAGTTTTGAAACACTCTTTTTGTGGAATCTGCAAGTGGATATTTGGATAGCTTCGAGGATTTCGTTGGAAACGGGAATATCCTCATTTAAAATCTAGACGGAAGCATTCTCAGAACCTGCTTTGTGATGTTTGCATTCAACTCACAGAGCTGAACATTCCCGTTCATAGAGCAGGTTTGAAACACTCTTTCTGTACTATCTGGAAGTGGACATTTCGAGCGCTTTCAGGCCTATGGTGAAAAAGGAAACATCTTCAAATAAAAACTAGACAGAAGCATTCTCAGAAACTTATTTGTGATGTGTGTCCTCAACTCACAGAGTTCAACCTTTGTTTTGATACAGCAGTTTGGAAACACTCTTTTTGTAGAATCTACAAATGGATATTTGGAGACCTTTGAAAATTTCGTTGGACACGGGAATATCTTCATATAAAATCTAGACAAAAGCATTCTCAGAATCTTCTTTGTGATGTTTGCATTCAACTCATAGAGTTGAACATTCCCTTTCATACAGCACGTTTGAAACACACTTTGTGGAGTATGTGGAAATGGACATTTCGAGCACTCTTAGGCCTAAGGTGAAAAGGGAAATATCTTCAAATAAAAACTAGTCAGCAGCATTCTCAGAAACCTCTTTGTGATGTGTGTACTCAACTAACAGAGTTGAACCTTCCTTTTCACAGAGCAGTTTGGAAACACTCTTTTTGTGGCATTTGCAAGTGGATATTTGGATAGCTTTGAGGATTTCGTTGGAAACGGGAATATTTTCATATAAAATCTAGACAGAAGCATTCTCAGAATCTTCTTTGTGATGTATGCCCTCAATTCACAGAGTTGAACCTTTGTTTGGATACAGCATTTTGGAAACATTCCTTTTGTAGAATCTGCAAGTTGATATTTGGATAGCTTTGAGGATTTCGTTGGAAACGGGAATATCTACATATAAAATCTAGACAGAAGCATTCTCAGAAACCTCTTTGTAATGCTTGCATTCAACTCATAGGTTTCAACATTCCCTATCATAGAGCAGGTTTGAAACACTCTTTTTGTAGTATGTGGAAGTGGACATTTGGAGCGCTTTGAGGCCTACCGTGAAAAAGGAAATATCTTCCCATAAAAACTAGACAGAAGCATTCTCAGAAACTTGTTTGTGACGTGTGTATTCAACTAACAGAGTTGAACCTTTCTTTTTACAGAGCAGCTTTGAAACACGCTTTTTGTGGAATCTGCAATTGGAAATTTCGATAGTTCTGAGGATTTCGTTGGAAACGGGATTACAAATAGAAAGTAGACAGCAGCATTCTCAGAAACTTATTTGTGATGTGTGTCCTCAACTAACAGAGTTGAACCTTTCTTTTGACACAGCAGTTTGGAAACACTCTTTTTGTAGAATCTACAAGTGGATATTTTGAGAGCATTGAAAATTTCGTTGGAAACGGGAAAACCTTCATATAAAATCTAGACAGAAGCATTCTCAGAAACTTCTTTGTAATGTTTGCATTCAACTCATAGAGTTGAACATTCCCTTTCATACAGCAGGTTTGAAACACTCTTTTTGTAGTATGTGGACGTGGACATTTGGAGCGCTTTGAGGCCTACGGTGAAAAAGGAAATATCTTCCCATAAAAACTAGACAGAAGCAATCTCAGAAACTTGTTTGTGACGTGTGTATTCAACTACCAGAGTTGAACCTTTCTTTTTACAGAGCAGCTTTGAAACCCTGTTTCTGTGGAATCTGCAATTGGAAATTTCGATAGTTCTGAGGATTTCGTTGGAAACGGGATTACAAATAGAAAGTAGACAGCAGCATTCTCAGAAACTGCTTTGTGATGTTTGCATTCAAGTCACCTAGTTGAACATTCCCTTTCATAGAGCAGGTTTGAATCACTGTTTCTGTCGTATCTGGAAGTGGATATTTCGAGCGTTTTCAGGCCTAAGGTGAGAAAGGAAATGTCTTCAAATAAGAACTAGACAGAAGCATTCTCAGAAACTTATTTGTGATGTGTGTCCTCAACTAACAGAGTTGAACCTTTCTTTTGACACAGCAGTTTGGAAACACTCTTTTTGTAGAATCTACAAGTGGATATTTTGAGAGCATTGAAAATTTCATTGGAAACGGGAAAACCTTCATATAAAATCTAGACAGAAGCATTCTCAGAAACTTCTTTGTAATGTTTGCATTCAACTCATAGAGTTGAACATTCCCTTTCATACAGCAGGTTTGAAACACTCTTTTTGTAGTATGTGGACGTGGACATTTGGAGCGCTTTGAGGCCTACGGTGAAAAAGGAAATATCTTCCCATAAAAACTAGACAGAAGCATTCTCAGAAACTTGTTTGTGACGTGTGTATTCAACTAACAGAGTTGAACCTTTCTTTTTACAGAGCAGCTTTGAAACCCTGTTTCTGTGGAATCTGCAATTGGAAATTTCGATAGTTCTGAGGATTTCGTTGGAAACGGGATTACAAATAGAAAGTAGACAGCAGCATTCTCAGAAACTGCTTTGTGATGTTTGCATTCAAGTCACCTAGTTGAACATTCCCTTTCATAGAGAAGGTTTGAATCACTGTTTCTGTCGTATCTGGAAGTGGATATTTCGAGCGTTTTCAGGCCTAAGGTGAGAAAGGAAATGTCTACAAATCAGAACTAGACAGAAGCATTCTCAGAAACTTATTTGTGATGTGTGTCCTCAACTAACAGAGTTGAACCTTTCTTTTGCAACAGCAGTTTGGAAACACTCTTTTTGTAGAATCTACAAGTGGATATTTTGAGAGCATTGAAAATTTCGTTGGAAACGGGAAAACCTTCATATAAAATCTAGACAGAAGCATTCTCAGAAACTTCTTTGTAATGTTTGCATTCGACTCATAGAGTTGAACATTCCCTTTCATACAGCAGGTTTGAAACACTCTTTTTGTAGTATGTGGAAGTGGACATTTGGAGCGCTTTGAGGCCTACGGTGAGAAAGGAAATATCTTCCCATAAAAACCAGACAGAAGCATTCTCAGAAACTTGTTTGTGACGTGTGTATTCAACTAACAGAGTTGAACCTTTCTTTTTACAGAGCAGCTTTGAAACCCTGTTTCTGTGGAATCTGCAATTGGAAATTTCGATAGTTCTGAGGATTTCGTTGGAAACGGGATTACAAATAGGAAAGTAGACAGCAGCATTCTCAGAAACTGCTTTGTGATGTTTGCGTTCAAGTCACATAGTTGAACATTCCCTTTCATAGAGCAGGTTTGAATCACTTTTTCTGTAGTATCTGGAAGTGGGTATTTCGAGCGCTTTCAGGCCTAAGGTGAGAAAAGAAATGTCTTCAAATAAGAACTAGACAGAAGCATTCTCAGAAACTTATTTGTGATGTGTGTCCTCAACTAACAGAGATGAACCTTTGTTTTGATACAGCAGTTTGGAAACACTCTTTTTGTAGAATCTACAAGAGGATATTTTGAGAGCATTGAAAATTTCGTTGGAAGCGGGAAAACCTTCATATAAAATCTAGACAGCAGCATTCTCAGAAACTTCTTTGTGATGTTTGCATTCAACTCATAGAGTTGAACATTCCCATTCATACAGCAGGTTTGAGACACTCTTTGTATAGCATGTGGAAATGGATATTTGGAGCGCTTTGAGGCCTATGGTGAAGAAGGAAATATCTTCCCAAAAAAACTAGACGAAAGCATTCTCGCAATCTTGTTTGCCATGTGTGTACTCAACTAACAGAGTTGAACCTATCTTTTGACAGAGCAGTTTTGAAACACTCTTTTTGTGGAATCTGCAAGTGGATATTTGGATAGCTTCGAGGATTTCGTTGGAAACGGGATTACAAATAGAAAGTAGACAGCAGCATTCTCAGAACCTGCTTTGTGATGTTTGCATTCAACTCACAGAGCTGAACATTCCCGTTCATAGAGCAGGTTTGAAACACTCTTTCTGTACTATCTGGAAGTGGACATTTCGAGCGCTTTCAGGCCTATGGTGAAAAAGGAAACATCTTCAAATAAAAACTAGACAGAAGCATTCTCAGAAACTTATTTGTGATGTGTGTCCTCAACTCACAGAGTTCAACCTTTGTTTTGATACAGCAGTTTGGAAACACTCTTTTTGTAGAATCTACAAATGGATATTTGGAGACCTTTGAAAATTTCGTTGGACACGGGAATATCTTCATATAAAATCTAGACAAAAGCATTCTCAGAGTCTTCTTTGTGATGTTTGCATTCAACTCATAGAGTTGAACATTCCCTTTCATACAGCACGTTTGAAACACACTTTGTGGAGTATGTGGAAATGGACATTTCGAGCACTCTTAGGCCTAAGGTGAAAAGGGAAATATCTTCAAATAAAAACTAGTCAGCAGCATTCTCAGAAACCTCTTTGTGATGTGTGTACTCAACTAACAGAGTTGAACCTTCCTTTTCACAGAGCAGTTTGGAAACACTCTTTTTGTGGCATTTGCAAGTGGATATTTGGATAGCTTTGAGGATTTCGTTGGAAACGGGAATATTTTCATATAAAATCTAGACAGAAGCATTCTCAGAATCTTCTTTGTGATGTATGCCCTCAATTCACAGAGTTGAACCTTTGTTTGGATACAGCATTTTGGAAACATTCCTTTTGTAGAATCTGCAAGTTGATATTTGGATAGTTTGAGGATTTCGTTGGAAACGGGAATATCTACATATAAAATCTAGACAGAAGCATTCTCAGAAACCTCTTTGTAATGCTTGCATTCAACTCATAGGTTTCAACATTCCCTATCATAGAGCAGGTTTGAAACACTCTTTTTGTAGTATGTGGAAGTGGACATTTGGAGCGCTTTGAGGCCTACGGTGAAAAAGGAAATATCTTCCCATAAAAACTAGACAGAAGCATTCTCAGAAACTTGTTTGTGACGTGTGTATTCAACTAACAGAGTTGAACCTTTCTTTTTACAGAGCAGCTTTGAAACACGCTTTTTGTGGAATCTGCAATTGGAAATTTCGATAGTTCTGAGGATTTCGTTGGAAACGGGATTACAAATAGAAAGTAGACAGCAGCATTCTCAGAAACTTATTTGTGATGTGTGTCCTCAACTAACAGAGTTGAACCTTTCTTTTGACACAGCAGTTTGGAAACACTCTTTTTGTAGAATCTACAAGTGGATATTTTGAGAGCATTGAAAATTTCGTTGGAAACGGGAAAACCTTCATATAAAATCTAGACAGAAGCATTCTCAGAAACTTCTTTGTAATGTTTGCATTCAACTCATAGAGTTGAACATTCCCTTTCATACAGCAGGTTTGAAACACTCTTTTTGTAGTATGTGGACGTGGACATTTGGAGCGCTTTGAGGCCTACGGTGAAAAAGGAAATATCTTCCCATAAAAACTAGACAGAAGCATTCTCAGAAACTTGTTTGTGACGTGTGTATTCAACTAACAGAGTTGAACCTTTCTTTTTACAGAGCAGCTTTGAAACCCTGTTTCTGTGGAATCTGCAATTGGAAATTTCGATAGTTCTGAGGATTTCGTTGGAAACGGGATTACAAATAGAAAGTAGACAGCAGCATTCTCAGAAACTGCTTTGTGATGTTTGCATTCAAGTCACCTAGTTGAACATTCCCTTTCATAGAGCAGGTTTGAATCACTGTTTCTGTCGTATCTGGAAGTGGATATTTCGAGCGCTTTCAGGCCTAAGGTGAGAAAGGAAATGTCTTCAAATAAGAACTAGACAGAAGCATTCTCAGAAACTTATTTGTGATGTGTGTCCTCAACTAACAGAGATGAACCTTTGTTTTGATACAGCAGTTTGGAAACACTCTTTTTGTAGAATCTACAAGAGGATATTTTGAGAGCATTGAAAATTTCGTTGGAAGCGGGAAAACCTTCATATAAAATCTAGACAGCAGCATTCTCAGAAACTTCTTTGTGATGTTTGCATTCAACTCATAGAGTTGAACATTCCCATTCATACAGCAGGTTTGAGACACTCTTTGTATAGCATGTGGAAATGGATATTTGGAGCGCTTTGAGGCCTATGGTGAAGAAGGAATTATCTTCCCAAAAAAACTAGACGAAAGCATTCTCGGAATCTTGTTTGCCATGTGTGTACTCAACTAACAGAGTTGAACGTATCCTTTGACAAAGCAGTTTTGAAACACTCTTTTTGTGGAATCTGCAAGTGGATATTTGGATAGCTTCGAGGATTTCGTTGGAAACGGGAATATCCTCATTTAAAATCTAGACGGAAGCATTCTCAGAACCTGCTTTGTGATGTTTGCATTCAACTCACAGAGCTGAACATTCCCGTTCATAGAGCAGGTTTGAAACACTCTTTCTGTACTATCTGGAAGTGGACATTTCGAGCGCTTTCAGGCCTATGGTGAAAAAGGAAACATCTTCAAATAAAAACTAGACAGAAGCATTCTCAGAAACTTATTTGTGATGTGTGTCCTCAACTCACAGAGTTCAACCTTTGTTTTGATACAGCAGTTTGGAAACACTCTTTTTGTAGAATCTACAAATGGATATTTGGAGACCTTTGAAAATTTCGTTGGACACGGGAATATCTTCATATAAAATCTAGACAAAAGCATTCTCAGAATCTTCTTTGTGATGTTTGCATTCAACTCATAGAGTTGAACATTCCCTTTCATACAGCACGTTTGAAACACACTTTGTGGAGTATGTGGAAATGGACATTTCGAGCACTCTTAGGCCTAAGGTGAAAAGGGAAATATCTTCAAATAAAAACTAGTCAGCAGCATTCTCAGAAACCTCTTTGTGATGTGTGTACTCAACTAACAGAGTTGAACCTTCCTTTTCACAGAGCAGTTTGGAAACACTCTTTTTGTGGCATTTGCAAGTGGATATTTGGATAGCTTTGAGGATTTCGTTGGAAACGGGAATATTTTCATATAAAATCTAGACAGAAGCATTCTCAGAATCTTCTTTGTGATGTATGCCCTCAATTCACAGAGTTGAACCTTTGTTTGGATACAGCATTTTGGAAACATTCCTTTTGTAGAATCTGCAAGTTGATATTTGGATAGCTTTGAGGATTTCGTTGGAAACGGGAATATCTACATATAAAATCTAGACAGAAGCATTCTCAGAAACCTCTTTGTAATGCTTGCATTCAACTCATAGGTTTCAACATTCCCTATCATAGAGCAGGTTTGAAACACTCTTTTTGTAGTATGTGGAAGTGGACATTTGGAGCGCTTTGAGGCCTACGGTGAAAAAGGAAATATCTTCCCATAAAAACTAGACAGAAGCATTCTCAGAAACTTGTTTGTGACGTGTGTATTCAACTAACAGAGTTGAACCTTTCTTTTTACAGAGCAGCTTTGAAACACGCTTTTTGTGGAATCTGCAATTGGAAATTTCGATAGTTCTGAGGATTTCGTTGGAAACGGGATTACAAATAGAAAGTAGACAGCAGCATTCTCAGAAACTTATTTGTGATGTGTGTCCTCAACTAACAGAGTTGAACCTTTCTTTTGACACAGCAGTTTGGAAACACTCTTTTTGTAGAATCTACAAGTGGATATTTTGAGAGCATTGAAAATTTCGTTGGAAACGGGAAAACCTTCATATAAAATCTAGACAGAAGCATTCTCAGAAACTTCTTTGTAATGTTTGCATTCAACTCATAGAGTTGAACATTCCCTTTCATACAGCAGGTTTGAAACACTCTTTTTGTAGTATGTGGAAGTGGACATTTGGAGCGCTTTGAGGCCTACGGTGAAAAAGGAAATATCTTCCCATAAAAACTAGACAGAAGCATTCTCAGAAACTTGTTTGTGACGTGTGTATTCAACTAACAGAGTTGAACCTTTCTTTTTACAGAGCAGCTTTGAAACCCTGTTTCTGTGGAATCTGCAATTGGAAATTTCGATAGTTCTGAGGATTTCGTTGGAAACGGGATTACAAATAGAAAGTAGACAGCAGCATTCTCAGAAACTGCTTTGTGATGTTTGCGTTCAAGTCACATAGTTGAACATTCCCTTTCATAGAGCAGGTTTGAATCACTTTTTCTGTAGTATCTGGAAGTGGGTATTTCGAGCGCTTTCAGGCCTAAGGTGAGAAAAGAAATGTCTTCAAATAAGAACTAGACAGAAGCATTCTGAGAAACTTATTTGTGATGTGTGTCCTCAACTAACAGAGATGAACCTTTGTTTTGATACAGCAGTTTGGAAACACTCTTTTTGTAGAATCTACAAGAGGATATCTTGAGAGCATTGAAAATTTCGTTGGAAGCGGGAAAACCTTCATATAAAATCTAGACAGCAGCATTCTCAGAAACTTCTTTGTAAGGTTTGCATTCAACTCATAGAGTTGAACATTCACTTTCATACAGCAGGTTTGAAACACTCTTTTTGTAGTATGTGGAAGTGGACATTTGGAGCGCTTTGAGGCCTACGGTGAAAAAGGAAATATCTTCCCATAAAAACTAGACAGAAGCATTCTCAGAAACTTGTTTGTGACGTGTGTATTCAACTAACAGAGTTGAACCTTTCTTTTTACAGAGCAGCTTTGAAACCCTGTTTCTGTGGAATCTGCAATTGGAAATTTCGATAGTTCTGAGGATTTCGTTGGAAACGGGATTACAAATAGAAAGTAGACAGCAGCATTCTCAGAAACTGCTTTCTGATGTTTGCATTCAAGTCACCTAGTTGAACATTCCCTTTCATAGAGCAGGTTTGAATCACAGTTTCTGTCGTATCTGGAAGTGGATATTTCGAGCGTTTTCAGGCCTAAGGTGAGAAAGGAAATGTCTTCAAATAAGAACTAGACAGAAGCATTCTCAGAAACTTATTTGTGATGTGTGTCCTCAACTAACAGAGATGAACCTTTGTTTTGATACAGCAGTTTGGAAACACTC
Organism: Homo sapiens; assembly: GCF_000001405.40. Classification (NCBI taxonomy): domain Eukaryota; kingdom Metazoa; phylum Chordata; class Mammalia; order Primates; family Hominidae; genus Homo; species Homo sapiens. The sequence continues at coordinate 19,652,589 of NC_000015.10, forward strand.
TTTTTGTAGAATCTACAAGAGGATATTTTGAGAGCATTGAAAATTTCGTTGGAAGCGGGAAAACCTTCATATAAAATCTAGACAGCAGCATTCTCAGAAACTTCTTTGTGATGTTTGCATTCAACTCATAGAGTTGAACATTCCCATTCATACAGCAGGTTTGAGACACTCTTTGTATAGCATGTGGAAATGGATATTTGGAGCGCTTTGAGGCCTATGGTGAAGAAGGAAATATCTTCCCAAAAAAACTAGACGAAAGCATTCTCGGAATCTTGTTTGCCATGTGTGTACTCAACTAACAGAGTTGAACCTATCTTTTGACAGAGCAGTTTTGAAACACTCTTTTTGTGGAATCTGCAAGTGGATATTTGGATAGCTTCGAGGATTTCGTTGGAAACGGGAATATCCTCATTTAAAATCTAGACGGAAGCATTCTCAGAACCTGCTTTGTGATGTTTGCATTCAACTCACAGAGCTGAACATTCCCGTTCATAGAGCAGGTTTGAAACACTCTTTCTGTACTATCTGGAAGTGGACATTTCGAGCGCTTTCAGGCCTATGGTGAAAAAGGAAACATCTTCAAATAAAAACTAGACAGAAGCATTCTCAGAAACTTATTTGTGATGTGTGTCCTCAACTCACAGAGTTCAACCTTTGTTTTGATACAGCAGTTTGGAAACACTCTTTTTGTAGAATCTACAAATGGATATTTGGAGACCTTTGAAAATTTCGTTGGACACGGGAATATCTTCATATAAAATCTAGACAAAAGCATTCTCAGAATCTTCTTTGTGATGTTTGCATTCAACTCATAGAGTTGAACATTCCCTTTCATACAGCACGTTTGAAACACACTTTGTGGAGTATGTGGAAATGGACATTTCGAGCACTCTTAGGCCTAAGGTGAAAAGGGAAATATCTTCAAATAAAAACTAGTCAGCAGCATTCTCAGAAACCTCTTTGTGATGTGTGTACTCAACTAACAGAGTTGAACCTTCCTTTTCACAGAGCAGTTTGGAAACACTCTTTTTGTGGCATTTGCAAGTGGATATTTGGATAGCTTTGAGGATTTCGTTGGAAACGGGAATATTTTCATATAAAATCTAGACAGAAGCATTCTCAGAATCTTCTTTGTGATGTATGCCCTCAATTCACAGAGTTGAACCTTTGTTTGGATACAGCATTTTGGAAACATTCCTTTTGTAGAATCTGCAAGTTGATATTTGGATAGCTTTGAGGATTTCGTTGGAAACGGGAATATCTACATATAAAATCTAGACAGAAGCATTCTCAGAAACCTCTTTGTAATGCTTGCATTCAACTCATAGGTTTCAACATTCCCTATCATAGAGCAGGTTTGAAACACTCTTTTTGTAGTATGTGGAAGTGGACATTTGGAGCGCTTTGAGGCCTACGGTGAAAAAGGAAATATCTTCCCATAAAAACTAGACAGAAGCATTCTCAGAAACTTGTTTCTGACGTGTATTCAACTAACAGAGTTGAACCTTTCTTTTTACAGAGCAGCTTTGAAACACTCTTTTTGTGGAATCTGCAATTGGAAATTTCGATAGTTCTGAGGATTTCGTTGGAAACGGGATTACAAATAGAAAGTCGACAGCAGCATTCTCAGAAACTGCTTTGTGATGTTTGCATTCAAGTCACATAGTTGAACATTCCCTTTCATAGAGCAGGTTTGAATCACTGTCTCTGTAGTATCTGGAAGTGCATATTTCGAGCGCTTTCAGGCCTAAGGTGAGAAAGGAAATGTCTTCAAATAAGAACTAGACAGAAGCATTCTCAGAAACTTCTTTGTAATGTTTGCATTCAACTCATAGAGTTGAACATTCCCTTTCATACAGCAGGTTTGAAACACTCTTTTTGTAGTATGTGGAAGTGGACATTTGGAGCGCTTTGAGGCCTACGGTGAAAAAGGAAATATCTTCCCATAAAAACTAGACAGAAGCATTCTCAGAAACTTGTTTGTGACGTGTGTATTCAACTAACAGAGTTGAACCTTTCTTTTTACAGAGCAGCTTTGAAACCCTGTTTCTGTGGAATCTGCAATTGGAAATTTCGATAGTTCTGAGGATTTCGTTGGAAACGGGATTACAAATAGAAAGTAGACAGCAGCATTCTCAGAAACTGCTTTGTGATGTTTGCATTCAACTCACAGAGCTGAACATTCCCTTTCATAGAGCAGGTTTGAATCACTGTTTCTGTAGTATCTGGAAGTGGGTATTTCGAGCGCTTTCAGGCCTAAGGTGAGAAAGGAAATGTCTTCAAATAAGAACTAGACAGAAGCATTCTCAGAAACTTATTTGTGATGTGTGTCCTCAACTAACAGAGATGAACCTTTGTTTTGATACAGCAGTTTGGAAACACTCTTTTTGTAGAATCTACAAGAGGATATTTTGAGAGCATTGAAAATTTCGTTGGAAGCGGGAAAACCTTCATATAAAATCTAGACAGCAGCATTCTCAGAAACTTCTTTGTGATGTTTGCATTCAACTCATAGAGTTGAACATTCCCATTCATACAGCAGGTTTGAGACACTCTTTGTATAGCATGTGGGAATGGATATTTGGAGCGCTTTGAGGCCTATGGTGAAGAAGGAAATATCTTCCCAAAAAAACTAGACGAAAGCATTCTCGCAATCTTGTTTGCCATGTGTGTACTCAACTAACAGAGTTGAACCTATCTTTTGACAGAGCAGTTTTGAAACACTCTTTTTGTGGAATCTGCAAGTGGATATTTGGATAGCTTCGAGGATTTCGTTGGAAACGGGAATATCCTCATTTAAAATCTAGACGGAAGCATTCTCAGAACCTGCTTTGTGATGTTTGCATTCAACTCACAGAGCTGAACATTCCCGTTCATAGAGCAGGTTTGAAACACTCTTTCTGTACTATCTGGAAGTGGACATTTCGAGCGCTTTCAGGCCTATGGTGAAAAAGGAAACATCTTCAAATAAAAACTAGACAGAAGCATTCTCAGAAACTTATTTGTGATGTGTGTCCTCAACTCACAGAGTTCAACCTTTGTTTTGATACAGCAGTTTGGAAACACTCTTTTTGTAGAATCTACAAATGGATATTTGGAGACCTTTGAAAATTTCGTTGGACACGGGAATATCTTCATATAAAATCTAGACAAAAGCATTCTCAGAATCTTCTTTGTGATGTTTGCATTCAACTCATAGAGTTGAACATTCCCTTTCATACAGCACGTTTGAAACACACTTTGTGGAGTATGTGGAAATGGACATTTCGAGCACTCTTAGGCCTAAGGTGAAAAGGGAAATATCTTCAAATAAAAACTAGTCAGCAGCATTCTCAGAAACCTCTTTGTGATGTGTGTACTCAACTAACAGAGTTGAACCTTCCTTTTCACAGAGCAGTTTGGAAACACTCTTTTTGTGGCATTTGCAAGTGGATATTTGGATAGCTTTGAGGATTTCGTTGGAAACGGGAATATTTTCATATAAAATCTAGACAGAAGCATTCTCAGAATCTTCTTTGTGATGTATGCCCTCAATTCACAGAGTTGAACCTTTGTTTGGATACAGCATTTTGGAAACATTCCTTTTGTAGAATCTGCAAGTTGATATTTGGATAGTTTGAGGATTTCGTTGGAAACGGGAATATCTACATATAAAATCTAGACAGAAGCATTCTCAGAAACCTCTTTGTAATGCTTGCATTCAACTCATAGGTTTCAACATTCCCTATCATAGAGCAGGTTTGAAACACTCTTTTTGTAGTATGTGGAAGTGGACATTTGGAGCGCTTTGAGGCCTACGGTGAAAAAGGAAATATCTTCCCATAAAAACTAGACAGAAGCATTCTCAGAAACTTGTTTGTGACGTGTGTATTCAACTAACAGAGTTGAACCTTTCTTTTTACAGAGCAGCTTTGAAACACGCTTTTTGTGGAATCTGCAATTGGAAATTTCGATAGTTCTGAGGATTTCGTTGGAAACGGGATTACAAATAGAAAGTAGACAGCAGCATTCTCAGAAACTTATTTGTGATGTGTGTCCTCAACTAACAGAGTTGAACCTTTCTTTTGACACAGCAGTTTGGAAACACTCTTTTTGTAGAATCTACAAGTGGATATTTTGAGAGCATTGAAAATTTCGTTGGAAACGGGAAAACCTTCATATAAAATCTAGACAGAAGCATTCTCAGAAACTTCTTTGTAATGTTTGCATTCAACTCATAGAGTTGAACATTCCCTTTCATACAGCAGGTTTGAAACACTCTTTTTGTAGTATGTGGACGTGGACATTTGGAGCGCTTTGAGGCCTACGGTGAAAAAGGAAATATCTTCCCATAAAAACTAGACAGAAGCATTCTCAGAAACTTGTTTGTGACGTGTGTATTCAACTAACAGAGTTGAACCTTTCTTTTTACAGAGCAGCTTTGAAACCCTGTTTCTGTGGAATCTGCAATTGGAAATTTCGATAGTTCTGAGGATTTCGTTGGAAACGGGATTACAAATAGAAAGTAGACAGCAGCATTCTCAGAAACTGCTTTGTGATGTTTGCATTCAAGTCACATAGTTGAACATTCCCTTTCATAGAGCAGGTTTGAATCACTGTTTCTGTAGTATCTGGAAGTGGGTGTTTCGAGCGCTTTCAGGCCTAAGGTGAGAAAGGAAATGTCTTCAAATAAGAACTAGACAGAAGCATTCTCAGAAACTTATTTGTGATGTGTGTCCTCAACTAACAGAGATGAACCTTTGTTTTGATACAGCAGTTTGGAAACACTCTTTTTGTAGAATCTACAAGAGGATATTTTGAGAGCATTGAAAATTTCGTTGGAAGCGGGAAACCTTCATATAAAATCTAGACAGCAGCATTCTCAGAAACTTCTTTGTGATGTTTGCATTCAACTCATAGAGTTGAACATTCCCATTCATACAGCAGGTTTGAGACACTCTTTGTATAGCATGTGGAAATGGATATTTGGAGCGCTTTGAGGCCTATGGTGAAGAAGGAAATATCTTCCCAAAAAAACTAGACGAAAGCATTCTCGGAATCTTGTTTGCCATGTGTGTACTCAACTAACAGAGTTGAACCTATCTTTTGACAGAGCAGTTTTGAAACACTCTTTTTGTGGAATCTGCAAGTGGATATTTGGATAGCTTCGAGGATTTCTTTGGAAACGGGAATATCCTCATTTAAAATCTAGACGGAAGCATTCTCAGAACCTGCTTTGTGATGTTTGCATTCAACTCACAGAGCTGAACATTCCCGTTCATAGAGCAGGTTTGAAACACTCTTTCTGTACTATCTGGAAGTGGACATTTCGAGCGCTTTCAGGCCTATGGTGAAAAAGGAAACATCTTCAAATAAAAACTAGACAGAAGCATTCTCAGAAACTTATTTGTGATGTGTGTCCTCAACTCACAGAGTTCAACCTTTGTTTTGATACAGCAGTTTGGAAACACTCTTTTTGTAGAATCTACAAATGGATATTTGGAGACCTTTGAAAATTTCGTTGGACACGGGAATATCTTCATATAAAATCTAGACAAAAGCATTCTCAGAATCTTCTTTGTGATGTTTGCATTCAACTCATAGAGTTGAACATTCCCTTTCATACAGCACGTTTGAAACACACTTTGTGGAGTATGTGGAAATGGACATTTCGAGCACTCTTAGGCCTAAGGTGAAAAGGGAAATATCTTCAAATAAAAACTAGTCAGCAGCATTCTCAGAAACCTCTTTGTGATGTGTGTACTCAACTAACAGAGTTGAACCTTCCTTTTCACAGAGCAGTTTGGAAACACTCTTTTTGTGGCATTTGCAAGTGGATATTTGGATAGCTTTGAGGATTTCGTTGGAAACGGGAATATTTTCATATAAAATCTAGACAGAAGCATTCTCAGAATCTTCTTTGTGATGTATGCCCTCAATTCACAGAGTTGAACCTTTGTTTGGATACAGCATTTTGGAAACATTCCTTTTGTAGAATCTGCAAGTTGATATTTGGATAGCTTTGAGGATTTCGTTGGAAACGGGAATATCTACATATAAAATCTAGACAGAAGCATTCTCAGAAACCTCTTTGTAATGCTTGCATTCAACTCATAGGTTTCAACATTCCCTATCATAGAGCAGGTTTGAAACACTCTTTTTGTAGTATGTGGAAGTGGACATTTGGAGCGCTTTGAGGCCTACGGTGAAAAAGGAAATATCTTCCCATAAAAACTAGACAGAAGCATTCTCAGAAACTTGTTTGTGACGTGTGTATTCAACTAACAGAGTTGAACCTTTCTTTTTACAGAGCAGCTTTGAAACACGCTTTTTGTGGAATCTGCAATTGGAAATTTCGATAGTTCTGAGGATTTCGTTGGAAACGGGATTACAAATAGAAAGTAGACAGCAGCATTCTCACAAACTTATTTGTGATGTGTGTCCTCAACTAACAGAGTTGAACCTTTCTTTTGACACAGCAGTTTGGAAACACTCTTTTTGTAGAATCTACAAGTGGATATTTTGAGAGCATTGAAAATTTCGTTGGAAACGGGAAAACCTTCATATAAAATCTAGACAGAAGCATTCTCAGAAACTTCTTTGTAATGTTTGCATTCAACTCATAGAGTTGAACATTCCCTTTCATACAGCAGGTTTGAAACACTCTTTTTCTAGTATGTGGAAGTGGACATTTGGAGCGCTTTGAGGCCTACGGTGAAAAAGGAAATATCTTCCCATAAAAACTAGACAGAAGCATTCTCAGAAACTTGTTTGTGACGTGTGTATTCAACTAACAGAGTTGAACCTTTCTTTTTACAGAGCAGCTTTGAAACCCTGTTTCTGTGGAATCTGCAATTGGAAATTTCGATAGTTCTGAGGATTTCGTTGGAAACGGGATTACAAATAGAAAGTAGACAGCAGCATTCTCAGAAACTGCTTTGTGATGTTTGCATTCAAGTCACCTAGTTGAACATTCCCTTTCATAGAGCAGGTTTGAATCACTGTTTCTGTCGTATCTGGAAGTGGATATTTCGAGCGTTTTGAGGCCTAAGGTGAGAAAGGAAATGTCTTCAAATTAGAACTAGACAGAAGCATTCTCAGAAACTTATTTGTGATGTGTGTCCTCAACTAACAGAGTTGAACCTTTCTTTTGACACAGCAGTTTGGAAACACTCTTTTTGTAGAATCTACAAGTGGATATTTTGAGAGCATTGAAAATTTCGTTGGAAACGGGAAAACCTTCATATAAAATCTAGACAGAAGCATTCTCAGAAACTTCTTTGTAATGTTTGCATTCAACTCATAGAGTTGAACATTCCCTTTCATACAGCAGGTTTGAAACACTCTTTTTGTAGTATGTGGACGTGGACATTTGGAGCGCTTTGAGGCCTACGGTGAAAAAGGAAATATCTTCCCATAAAAACTAGACAGAAGCATTCTCAGAAACTTGTTTGTGACGTGTGTATTCAACTAACAGAGTTGAACCTTTCTTTTTACAGAGCAGCTTTGAAACCCTGTTTCTGTGGAATCTGCAATTGGAAATTTCGATAGTTCTGAGGATTTCGTTGGAAACGGGATTACAAATAGAAAGTAGACAGCAGCATTCTCAGAAACTGCTTTGTGATGTTTGCATTCAAGTCACCTAGTTGAACATTCCCTTTCATAGAGCAGGTTTGAATCACTGTTTCTGTCGTATCTGGAAGTGGATATTTCGAGCGTTTTCAGGCCTAAGGTGAGAAAGGAAATGTCTTCAAATAAGAACTAGACAGAAGCATTCTCAGAAACTTATTTGTGATGTGTGTCCTCAACTAACAGAGTTGAACCTTTCTTTTGACACAGCAGTTTGGAATCACTGTTTTTGTAGAATCTACAAGTGGATATTTTGAGAGCATTGAAAATTTCGTTGGAAACGGGAAAACCTTCATATAAAATCTAGACGGAAGCATTCTCAGAAACTTCTTTGTAATGTTTGCATTCAACTCATAGAGTTGAACATTCACTTTCATACAGCAGGTTTGAAACACTCTTTTTGTAGTATGTGGAAGTGGACATTTGGAGCGCTTTGAGGCCTACGGTGAAAAAGGAAATATCTTCCCATAAAAACTAGACAGAAGCATTCTCAGAAACTTGTTTGTGACGTGTGTATTCAACTGACAGAGTTGAACCTTTCTTTTTACAGAGCAGCTTTGAAACCCTGTTTCTGTGGAATCTGCAATTGGAAATTTCGATAGTTCTGAGGATTTCGTTGGAAACGGGATTACAAATAGAAAGTAGACAGCAGCATTCTCAGAAACTGCTTTGTGATGTTTGCATTCAAGTCACATAGTTGAACATTCCCTTTCATAGAGCAGGTTTGAATCACTGTTTCTGTAGTATCAGGAAGTGGGTATTTCGAGCGCTTTCAGGCCTAAGGTGAGAAAGGAAATGTCTTCAAATAAGAACTAGACAGAAGCATTCTCAGAAACTTATTTGTGATGTGTGTCCTCAACTAACAGAGATGAACCTTTGTTTTGATACAGCAGTTTGGAAACACTCTTTTTGTAGAATCTACAAGAGGATATTTTGAGAGCATTGAAAATTTCGTTGGAAGCGGGAAAACCTTCATATAAAATACTAGACAGCAAGCATTCTCAGAAACTTCTTTGTGATGTTTGCATTCAACTCATAGAGTTGAACATTCCCATTCATACAGCAGGTTTGAGACACTCTTTGTATAGCATGTGGAAATGGATATTTGGAGCGCTTTGAGGCCTATGGTGAAGAAGGAAATATCTTCCCAAAAAAACTAGACGAAAGCATTCTCGGAATCTTGTTTGCCATGTGTGTACTCAACTAACGGAGTTGAACCTATCTTTTGACAGAGCAGTTTTGAAACACTCTTTTTGTGGAATCTGCAAGTGGATATTTGGATAGCTTCGAGGATTTCGTTGGAAACGGGAATATCCTCATTTAAAATCTAGACGGAAGCATTCTCAGAACCTGCTTTGTGATGTTTGCATTCAACTCACAGAGCTGAACATTCCTGTTCATAGAGCAGGTTTGAAACACTCTTTCTGTACTATCTGGAAGTGGACATTTCGAGCGCTTTCAGGCCTATGGTGAAAAAGGAAATATCTTCAAATAAAAACTAGACAGAAGCATTCTCAGAAACTTATTTGTGATGTGTGTCCTCAACTCACAGATTTCAACCTTTGTTTTGATACAGCAGTTTGGAAACACTCTTTTTGTAGAATCTACAAATGGATATTTGGAGACCTTTGAAAATTTCGTTGGACACGGGAATATCTTCATATAAAATCTAGACAAAAGCATTCTCAGAATCTTCTTTGTGATGTTTGCATTCAACTCATAGAGTTGAACATTCCCTTTCATACAGCACGTTTGAAACACACTTTGTGGAGTATGTGGAAATGGACATTTCGAGCACTCTTAGGCCTAAGGTGAAAAGGGAAATATCTTCAAATAAAAACTAGTCAGCAGCATTCTCAGAAACCTCTTTGTGATGTGTGTACTCAACTAACAGAGTTGAACCTTCCTTTTCACAGAGCAGTTTGGAAACACTCTTTTTGTGGCATTTGCAAGTGGATATTTGGATAGCTTTGAGGATTTCGTTGGAAACGGGAATATTTTCATATAAAATCTAGACAGAAGCATTCTCAGAATCTTCTTTGTGATGTATGCCCTCAATTCACAGAGTTGAACCTTTGTTTCGATACAGCATTTTGGAAACATTCCTTTTGTAGTATCTGCAAGTTGGTATTTGGATAGCTTTGAGGATTTCGTTGGAAACGGGAATATCTACATATAAAATCTAGACAGAAGCATTCTCAGAAACCTCTTTGTAATGTTTGCATTCAACTCATAGGTTTCAATATTCCCTATCATAGAGCAGGTTTGAAACACTCTTTTTGTAGTATGTGGAAGTGGACATTTGGAGCGCTTTGAGGCCTACGGTGAAAAAGGAAATATCTTCCCATAAAAACTAGACAGAAGCATTCTCAGAAACTTGTTTGTGACGTGTGTATTCAGCTAACAGAGTTGAACCTTTCTTTTTACAGAGCAGCTTTCAAACACGCTTTTTGTGGAATCTGCAATTGGAAATTTCGATAGTTCTGAGGATTTCGTTGGAAACGGGATTACAAATAGAAAGTAGACAGCAGCATTCTCAGAAACTGCTTTGTGATGTTTGCATTCAAGTCACCTAGTTGAACATTCCCTTTCATAGAGCAGGTTTGAATCACTGTTTCTGTCGTATCTGGAAGTGGATATTTCGAGCGTTTTCAGGCCTAAGGTGAGAAAGGAAATGTCTTCAAATAAGAACTAGACAGAAGCATTCTCAGAAACTTATTTGTGATGTGTGTCCTCAACTAACAGAGTTGAACCTTTCTTTTGACACAGCAGTTTGGAAACACTCTTTTTGTAGAATCTACAAGTGGATATTTTGAGAGCATTGAAAATTTCGTTGGAAACGGGAAAACCTTCATATAAAATCTAGACAGAAGCATTCTCAGAAACTTCTTTGTAATGTTTGCATTCAACTCATAGAGTTGAACATTCCCTTTCATACAGCAGGTTTGAAACACTCTTTTTGTAGTATGTGGAAGTGGACATTTGGAGCGCTTTGAGGCCTACGGTGAAAAAGGAAATATCTTCCCATAAAAACTAGACAGAAGCATTCTCAGAAACTTGTTTGTGACGTGTGTATTCAACTAACAGAGTTGAACCTTTCTTTTTACAGAGCAGCTTTGAAACCCTGTTTCTGTGGAATCTGCAATTGGAAATTTCGATAGTTCTGAGGATTTCGTTGGAAACGGGATTACAAATAGAAAGTAGACAGCAGCATTCTCAGAAACTGCTTTGTGATGTTTGCATTCAAGTCACCTAGTTGAACATTCCCTTTCATAGAGCAGGTTTGAATCACTGTTTCTGTCGTATCTGGAAGTGGATATTTCGAGCGTTTTCAGGCCTAAGGTGAGAAAGGAAATGTCTTCAAATAAGAACTAGACAGAAGCATTCTCAGAAACTTATTTGTGATGTGTGTCCTCAACTAACAGAGTTGAACCTTTCTTTTGACACAGCAGTTTGGAAACACTCTTTTTGTAGAATCTACAAGTGGATATTTTGAGAGCATTGAAAATTTCGTTGGAAACGGGAAAACCTTCATATAAAATCTAGACAGAAGCATTCTCAGAAACTTCTTTGTAATGTTTGCATTCAACTCATAGAGTTGAACATTCCCATTCATACAGCAGGTTTGAAACACTCTTTTTGTAGTATGTGGACGTGGACATTTGGAGCGCTTTGAGGCCTACGGTGAAAAAGGAAATATCTTCCCATAAAAACTAGACAGAAGCATTCTCAGAAACTTGTTTGTGACGTGTGTATTCAACTAACAGAGTTGAACCTTTCTTTTTACAGAGCAGCTTTGAAACCCTGTTTCTGTGGAATCTGCAATTGGAAATTTCGATAGTTCTGAGGATTTCGTTGGAAACGGGATTACAAATAGAAAGTAGACAGCAGCATTCTCAGAAACTGCTTTGTGATGTTTGCATTCAAGTCACATAGTTGAACATTCCCTTTCATAGAGCAGGTTTGAATCACTGTTTCTGTAGTATCTGGAAGTGGGTATTTCGAGCGCTTTCAGGCCTAAGGTGAGAAAGGAAATGTCTTCAAATAAGAACTAGACAGAAGCATTCTCAGAAACTTATTTGTGATGTGTGTCCTCAACTATCAGAGATGAACCTTTGTTTTGATACAGCAGTTTGGAAACACTCTTTTTGTAGAATCTACAAGAGGATATTTTGAGAGCATTGAAAATTTCGTTGGAAGCGGGAAAACCTTCATATAAAATCTAGACAGCAGCATTCTCAGAAACTTCTTTGTGATGTTTGCATTCAACTCATAGAGTTGAACATTCCCATTCATACAGCAGGTTTGAGACACTCTTTGTATAGCATGTGGAAATGGATATTTGGAGCGCTTTGAGGCCTATGGTGAAGAAGGAAATATCTTCCCAAAAAAACTAGACGAAAGCATTCTCGCAATCTTGTTTGCCATGTGTGTACTCAACTAACAGAGTTGAACCTATCTTTTGACAGAGCAGTTTTGAAACACTCTTTTTGTGGAATCTGCAAGTGGATATTTGGATAGCTTCGAGGATTTCGTTGGAAACGGGAATATCCTCATTTAAAATCTAGACGGAAGCATTCTCAGAACCTGCTTTGTGATGTTTGCATTCAACTCACAGAGCTGAACATTCCCGTTCATAGAGCAGGTTTGAAACACTCTTTCTGTACTATCTGGAAGTGGACATTTCGAGCGCTTTCAGGCCTATGGTGAAAAAGGAAACATCTTCAAATAAAAACTAGACAGAAGCATTCTCAGAAACTTATTTGTGATGTGTGTCCTCAACTCACAGAGTTCAACCTTTGTTTTGATACAGCAGTTTGGAAACACTCTTTTTGTAGAATCTACAAATGGATATTTGGAGAACTTTGAAAATTTCGTTGGACACGGGAATATCTTCATATAAAATCTAGACAAAAGCATTCTCAGAATCTTCTTTGTGATGTTTACATTCAACTCATAGAGTTGAACATTCCCTTTCATACAGCACGTTTGAAACACACTTTGTGGAGTATGTGGAAATGGACATTTCGAGCACTCTTAGGCCTAAGGTGAAAAGGGAAATATCTTCAAATAAAAACTAGTCAGCAGCATTCTCAGAAACCTCTTTGTGATGTGTGTACTCAACTAACAGAGTTGAACCTTCCTTTTCACAGAGCAGTTTGGAAACACTCTTTTTGTGGCATTTGCAAGTGGATATTTGGATAGCTTTGAGGATTTCGATGGAAACGGGAATATTTTCATATAAAATCTAGACAGAAGCATTCTCAGAATCTTCTTTGTGATGTATGCCCTCAATTCACAGAGTTGAACCTTTGTTTGGATACAGCATTTTGGAAACATTCCTTTTGTAGAATCTGCAAGTTGATATTTGGATAGCTTTGAGGATTTCGTTGGAAACGGGAATATCTACATATAAAATCTAGACAGAAGCATTCTCAGAAACCTCTTTGTAATGCTTGCATTCAACTCATAGGTTTCAACATTCCCTATCATAGAGCAGGTTTGAAACACTCTTTTTGTAGTATGTGGAAGTGGACATTTGGAGCGCTTTGAGGCCTACCGTGAAAAAGGAAATATCTTCCCATAAAAACTAGACAGAAGCATTCTCAGAAACTTGTTTGTGACGTGTGTATTCAACTAACAGAGTTGAACCTTTCTTTTTACAGAGCAGCTTTGAAACACGCTTTTTGTGGAATCTGCAATTGGAAATTTCGATAGTTCTGAGGATTTCGTTGGAAACGGGATTACAAATAGAAAGTAGACAGCAGCATTCTCAGAAACTTATTTGTGATGTGTGTCCTCAACTAACAGAGTTGAACCTTTCTTTTGACACAGCAGTTTGGAAACACTCTTTTTGTAGAATCTACAAGTGGATATTTTGAGAGCATTGAAAATTTCGTTGGAAACGGGAAAACCTTCATATAAAATCTAGACAGAAGCATTCTCAGAAACTTCTTTGTAATGTTTGCATTCAACTCATAGAGTTGAACATTCCCTTTCATACAGCAGGTTTGAAACACTCTTTTTGTAGTATGTGGACGTGGACATTTGGAGCGCTTTGAGGCCTACGGTGAAAAAGGAAATATCTTCCCATAAAAACTAGACAGAAGCATTCTCAGAAACTTGTTTGTGACGTGTGTATTCAACTAACAGAGTTGAACCTTTCTTTTTACAGAGCAGCTTTGAAACCCTGTTTCTGTGGAATCTGCAATTGGAAATTTCGATAGTTCTGAGGATTTCGTTGGAAACGGGATTACAAATAGAAAGTAGACAGCAGCATTCTCAGAAACTGCTTTGTGGATGTTTGCATTCAAGTCACCTAGTTGAACATTCCCTTTCATAGAGCAGGTTTGAATCACTGTTTCTGTCGTATCTGGAAGTGGATATTTCGAGCGTTTTCAGGCCTAAGGTGAGAAAGGAAATGTCTTCAAATAAGAACTAGACAGAAGCATTCTCAGAAACTTATTTGTGATGTGTGTCCTCAACTAACAGAGTTGAACCTTTCTTTTGACACAGCAGTTTGGAAACACTCTTTTTGTAGAATCTACAAGTGGATATTTTGAGAGCATTGAAAATTTCGTTGGAAACGGGAAAAGCTTCATATAAAATCTAGACAGAAGCATTCTCAGAAACTTCTTTGTAATGTTTGCATTCAACTCATACAGTTGAACATTCCCTTTCATACAGCAGGTTTGAAACACTCTTTTTGTAGTATGTGGAAGTGGACATTTGGAGCGCTTTGAGGCCTACGGTGAAAAAGGAAATATCTTCCCATAAAAACTAGACAGAAGCATTCTCAGAAACTTGTTTGTGACGTGTGTATTCAACTAACAGAGTTGAACCTTTCTTTTTACAGAGCAGCTTTGAAACCCTGTTTCTGTGGAATCTGCAATTGGAAATTTCGATAGTTCTGAGGATTTCGTTGGAAACGGGATTACAAATAGAAAGTAGACAGCAGCATTCTCAGAAACTGCTTTGTGATGTTTGCATTCAAGTCACCTAGTTGAACATTCCCTTTCATAGAGCAGGTTTGAATCACAGTTTCTGTCGTATCTGGAAGTGGATATTTCGAGCGCTTTCAGGCCTAAGGTGAGAAAGGAAATGTCTTCAAATAAGAACTAGACAGAAGCATTCTCAGAAACTTATTTGTGATGTGTGTCCTCAACTAACAGAGTTGAACCTTTCTTTTGACACAGCAGTTTGGAAACACTCTTTTTGTAGAATCTACAAGTGGATATTTTGAGAGCATTGAAAATTTCGTTGGAAACGGGAAAACCTTCATATAAAATCTAGACAGAAGCATTCTCAGAAACTTCTTTGTAATGTTTGCATTCAACTCATAGAGTTGAACATTCCCTTTCATACAGCAGGTTTGAAACACTCTTTTTGTAGTATGTGGAAGTGGACATTTGGAGCGCTTTGAGGCCTACGGTGAAAAAGGAAATATCTTCCCATAAAAACTAGACAGAAGCATTCTCAGAAACTTGTTTGTGACGTGTGTATTCAACTAACAGAGTTGAACCTTTCTTTTTACAGAGCAGCTTTGAAACCCTGTTTCTGTGGAATCTGCAATTGGAAATTTCGATAGTTCTGAGGATTTCGTTGGAAACGGGATTACAAATAGAAAGTAGACAGCAGCATTCTCAGAAACTGCTTTGTGATGTTTGCATTCAAGTCACCTAGTTGAACATTCCCTTTCATAGAGCAGGTTTGAATCACTGTTTCTGTAGTATCTGGAAGTGGGTATTTCGAGCGCTTTCAGGCCTAAGGTGAGAAAGGAAATGTCTTCAAATAAGAACTAGACAGAAGCATTCACAGAAACTTATTTGTGATGTGTGTCCTCAACTAACAGAGATGAACCTTTGTTTTGATACAGCAGTTTGGAAACACTCTTTTTGTAGAATCTACAAGAGGATATTTTGAGAGCATTGAAAATTTCGTTGGAAGCGGGAAAACCTTCATATAAAATCTAGACAGCAGCATTCTCAGAAACTTCTTTGTGATGTTTGCATTCAACTCATAGAGTTGAACATTCCCATTCATACAGCAGGTTTGAGACACTCTTTGTATAGCATGTGGAAATGGATATTTGGAGCGCTTTGAGGCCTATGGTGAAGAAGGAAATATCTTCCCTAAAAAACTAGACGAAAGCATTCTCGGAATCTTGTTTGCCATGTGTGTACTCAACTAACAGAGTTGAACCTATCTTTTGACAGAGCAGTTTTGAAACACTCTTTTTGTGGAATCTGCAAGTGGATATTTGGATAGCTTCGAGGATTTCGTTGGAAACGGGAATATCCTCATTTAAAATCTAGACGGAAGCATTCTCAGAACCTGCTTTGTGATGTTTGCATTCAACTCACAGAGCTGAACATTCCCGTTCATAGAGCAGGTTTGAAACACTCTTTCTGTACTATCTGGAAGTGGACATTTCGAGCGCTTTCAGGCCTAAGGTGAAAAAGGAAACATCTTCAAATAAAAACTAGACAGAAGCATTCTCAGAAACTTATTTGTGATGTGTGTCCTCAACTCACAGAGTTCAACCTTTGTTTTGATACAGCAGTTTGGAAACACTCTTTTTGTAGAATCTACAAATGGATATTTGGAGACCTTTGAAAATTTCGTTGGACACGGAAATATCTTCATATAAAATCTAGACAAAAGCATTCTCAGAATCTTCTTTGTGATGTTTGCATTCAACTCATAGAGTTGAACATTCCCTTTCATACAGCACGTTTGAAACACACTTTGTGGAGTATGTGGAAATGGACATTTCGAGCACTCTTAGGCCTAAGGTGAAAAGGGAAATATCTTCAAATAAAAACTAGTCAGCAGCATTCTCAGAAACCTCTTTGTGATGTGTGTACTCAACTAACAGAGTTGAACCTTCTTTTTCACAGAGCAGTTTGGAAACACTCTTTTTGTGGCATTTGCAAGTGGATATTTGGATAGCTTTGAGGATTTCGTTGGAAACGGGAATATTTTCATATAAAATCTAGACAGAAGCATTCTCAGAATCTTCTTTGTGATGTATGCCCTCAATTCACAGAGTTGAACCTTTGTTTGGATACAGCATTTTGGAAACATTCCTTTTGTAGAATCTGCAAGTTGATATTTGGATAGCTTTGAGGATTTCGTTGGAAACGGGAATATCTACATATAAAATCTAGACAGAAGCATTCGAAGAAACTACTTTGTAATGTTTGCATTCAACTCATAGAGTTGCACATTCTGTTTCATACAGCAGGTTTGAAACACTCTTTTTGTAGTATGTGGAAATGGACATTTGGAGCCCTTTGAGGCCTACGGTGAAAAAGGAAATATCTTCCCATAAAAACTAGACAGAAGCATTCTCAGAAACTTGTTTGTGACGTGTGTATTCAACTAACAGAGTTGAACCTTTCTTTTTACAGGGCAGCTTTGAAACACTCTTTTTGTGGAATCTGCAATTGAAAATTTCGATAGTTCTGAGGATTTCGTTGGAAACGGGATTACAAATAGAAAGTAGACAGCAGCATTCTGAGAAACTGCTTTGTGATGTTTGCATTCAAGTCACCTAGTTGAACATTCCCTTTCATAGAGCAGGTTTGAATCACTATTTCTGTACTATCTGGAAGTGGACATTTCGAGCGCTTTCAGGCCTAAGGTGAGAAAGGAAACGTCTACAAATAAGAACTAGACAGAAGCATCTCAGAAACTTCTTTGTAATGTTTGCATTCAACTCATAGAGTTGAACATTCCCTTTCATACAGCAGGTTTGAAACACTCTTTTTGTAGTATGTGGAAGTGGACATTTGGAGCGCTTTGAGGCCTACGGTGAAAAAGGAAATATCTTCCCATAAAAACTAGACAGAAGCATTCTCAGAAACTTGTTTGTGACGTGTGTATTCAACTAACAGAGTTGAACCTTTCTTTTTACAGAGCAGCTTTGAAACCCTGTTTCTGTGGAATCTGCAATTGGAAATTTCGATAGTTCTGAGGATTTCGTTGGAAACGGGATTACAAATAGAAAGTAGACAGCAGCATTCTCAGAAACTGCTTTGTGATGTTTGCATTCAAGTCACCTAGTTGAACATTCCCTTTCATAGAGCAGGTTTGAATCACTGTTTCTGTAGTATCTGGAAGTGGGTATTTCGAGCGCTTTCAGGCCTAAGGTGAGAAAGGAAATGTCTTCAAATAAGAACTAGACAGAAGCATTCTCAGAAACTTATTTGTGATGTGTGTCCTCAACTAACAGAGATGAACCTTTGTTTTGATACAGCAGTTTGGAAACACTCTTTTTGTAGAATCTACAAGAGGATATTTTGAGAGCATTGAAAATTTCGTTGGAAGCGGGAAAACCTTCATATAAAATCTAGACAGAAGCATTCTCAGAAACTTCTTTGTAATGTTTGCATTCAACTCATAGAGTTGAACATTCCCTTTCATACAGCAGGTTTGAAACACTCTTTTTGTAGTATGTGGAAGTGGACATTTGGAGCGCTTTGAGGCCTACGGTGAAAAAGGAAATATCTTCCCATAAAAACTAGACAGAAGCATTCTCAGAAACTTGTTTGTGACGTGTGTATTCAACTAACAGAGTTGAACCTTTCTTTTTACAGAGCAGCTTTGAAACCCTGTTTCTGTGGAATCTGCAATTGGAAATTTCGATAGTTCTGAGGATTTCGTTGGAAACGGGATTACAAATAGAAAGTAGACAGCAGCATTCTCAGAAACTGCTTTGTGATGTTTGCATTCAAGTCACCTAGTTGAACATTCCCTTTCATAGAGCAGGTTTGAATCACTGTTTCTGTCGTATCTGGAAGTGGATATTTCGAGCGTTTTCAGGCCTAAGGTGAGAAAGGAAATGTCTTCAAATAAGAACTAGACAGAAGCATTCTCAGAAACTTATTTGTGATGTGTGTCCTCAACTAACAGAGTTGAACCTTTCTTTTGACACAGCAGTTAGGAAACACTCTTTTTGTAGAATCTACAAGTGGATATTTTGAGAGCATTGAAAATTTCGTTGGAAACGGGAAAACCTTCATATAAAATCTAGACAGAAGCATTCTCAGAAACTTCTTTGTAATGTTTGCATTCAACTCATAGAGTTGAACATTCCCTTTCATACAGCAGGTTTGAAACACTCTTTTTGTAGTATGTGGAAGTGGACATTTGGAGCGCTTTGAGGCCTACGGTGAAAAAGGAAATATCTTCCCATAAAAACTAGACAGAAGCATTCTCAGAAACTTGTTTGTGACGTGTGTATTCAACTAACAGAGTTGAACCTTTCTTTTTACAGAGCAGCTTTGAAACCCTGTTTCTGTGGAATCTGCAATTGGAAATTTCGATAGTTCTGAGGATTTCGTTGGAAACGGGATTACAAATAGAAAGTAGACAGCAGCATTCTCAGAAACTGCTTTGTGATGTTTGCATTCAAGTCACCTAGTTGAACATTCCCTTTCATAGAGCAGGTTTGAATCACTGTTTCTGTCGTATCTGGAAGTGGATATTTCGAGCGTTTTCAGGCCTAAGGTGAGAAAGGAAATGTCTTCAAATAAGAACTAGACAGAAGCATTCTCAGAAACTTATTTGTGATGTGTGTCCTCAACTAACAGAGTTGAACCTTTCTTTTGACACAGCAGTTTGGAAACACTCTTTTTGTAGAATCTACAAGTGAATATTTTGAGAGCATTGAAAATTTCGTTGGAAACGGGAAAATCTTCATATAAAATCTAGACAGAAGCATTCTCAGAAACTTCTTTGTAATGTTTGCATTCAACTCATAGAGTTGAACATTCCCTTTCATACAGCAGGTTTGAAACACTCTTTTTGTAGTATGTGGAAGTGGACATTTGGAGCGCTTTGAGGCCTACGGTGAAAAAGGAAATATCTTCCCATAAAAACTAGACAGAAGCATTCTCAGAAACTTGTTTGTGACGTGTGTATTCAACTAACAGAGTTGAACCTTTCTTTTTACAGAGCAGCTTTGAAACACGCTTTTTGTGGAATCTGCAATTGGAAATTTCGATAGTTCTGAGGATTTCGTTGGAAACGGGATTACAAATAGAAAGTAGACAGCAGCATTCTCAGAAACCTCTTTGTGATGTGTGTCCTCAACTAACAGAGTTGAACCTTTGTTTTGACACAGCAGATTGGAAACACTCTTTTTGTAGAATCTACAAGTGGATATTTTGAGAGCATTGAAAATTTCCTTGGAAACGGGAAAACCTTCATATAAAATCTAGACAGAAGCATTCTCAGAAACTTCTTTGTAATGTTTGCATTCAACTCATAGAGTTAAACATTCCCTTTCATACAGCAGGTTTGAAACACTCTTTTTGTAGTATGTGGAAGTGGACATTTGGAGCGCTTTGAGGCCTACGGTGAAAAAGGAAATATCTTCCCATAAAAACTAGACAGAAGCATTCTCAGAAACTTGTTTGTGACGTGTGTATTCAACTAACAGAGTTGAACCTTTCTTTTTACAGAGCAGCTTTGAAACCCTGTTTCTGTGGAATCTGCAATTGGAAATTTCGATAGTTCTGAGGATTTCGTTGGAAACGGGATTACAAATAGAAAGTAGACAGCAGCATTCTCAGAAACTGCTTTGTGATGTTTGCATTCAAGTCACCTAGTTGAACATTCCCTTTCATAGAGCAGGTTTGAATCACTGTTTCTGTCGTATCTGGAAGTGGATATTTCGAGCGTTTTCAGGCCTAAGGTGAGAAAGGAAATGTCTTCAAATAAGAACTAGACAGAAGCATTCTCAGAAACTTATTTGTGATGTGTGTCCTCAACTAACAGAGTTGAACCTTTCTTTTGACACAGCAGTTTGGAAACACTCTTTTTGTAGAATCTACAAGTGGATATTTTGAGAGCATTGAAAATTTCGTTGGAAACGGGAAAACCTTCATATAAAATCTAGACAGAAGCATTCTCAGAAACTTCTTTGTAATGTTTGCATTCGACTCATAGAGTTGAACATTCCCTTTCATACAGCAGGTTTGAAACACTCTTTTTGTAGTATGTGGAAGTGGACATTTGGAGCGCTTTGAGGCCTACGGTGAAAAAGGAAATATCTTCCCATAAAAACTAGACAGAAGCATTCTCAGAAACTTGTTTGTGACGTGTGTATTCAACTAACAGAGTTGAACCTTTCTTTTTACAGAGCAGCTTTGAAACCCTGTTTCTGTGGAATCTGCAATTGGAAATTTCGATAGTTCTGAGGATTTCGTTGGAAACGGGATTACAAATAGAAAGTAGACAGCAGCATTCTCAGAAACTGCTTTGTGATGTTTGCATTCAAGTCACATAGTTGAACATTCCCTTTCATAGAGCAGGTTTGAATCACTGTTTCTGTAGTATCTGGAAGTGGGTATTTCGAGCGCTTTCAGGCCTAAGGTGAGAAAGGAAATGTCTTCAAATAAGAACTAGACAGAAGCATTCTCAGAAACTTATTTGTGATGTGTGTCCTCAACTAACAGAGATGAACCTTTGTTTTGATACAGCAGTTTGGAAACACTCTTTTTGTCGAATCAACAAGAGGATATTTTGAGAGCATTGAAAATTTCGTTGGAAGCGGGAAAACCTTCATATAAAATCTAGACAGCAGCATTCTCAGAAACTTCTTTGTGATGTTTGCATTCAACTCATAGAGTTGAACATTCCCATTCATACAGCAGGTTTGAGACACTCTTTGTATAGCATGTGGAAATGGATATTTGGAGCGCTTTGAGGCCTATGGTGAAGAAGGAAATATCTTCCCAAAAAAACTAGACGAAAGCATTCTCGCAATCTTGTTTGCCATGTGTGTACTCAACTAACAGAGTTGAACCTATCTTTTGACAGAGCAGTTTTGAAACACTCTTTTTGTGGAATCTGCAAGTGGATATTTGGATAGCTTCGAGGATTTCGTTGGAAACGGGAATATCCTCATTTAAAATCTAGACGGAAGCATTCTCAGAACCTGCTTTGTGATGTTTGCATTCAACTCACAGAGCTGAACATTCCCGTTCATAGAGCAGGTTTGAAACACTCTTTCTGTACTATCTGGAAGTGGACATTTCGAGCGCTTTCAGGCCTATGGTGAAAAAGGAAACATCTTCAAATAAAAACTAGACAGAAGCATTCTCAGAAACTTATTTGTGATGTGTGTCCTCAACTCACAGAGTTCAACCTTTGTTTTGATACAGCAGTTTGGAAACACTCTTTTTGTAGAATCTACAAATGGATATTTGGAGACCTTTGAAAATTTCGTTGGACACGGGAATATCTTCATATAAAATCTAGACAAAAGCATTCTCAGAATCTTCTTTGTGATGTTTGCATTCAACTCATAGAGTTGAACATTCCCTTTCATACAGCACGTTTGAAACACACTTTGTGGAGTATGTGGAAATGGACATTTCGAGCACTCTTAGGCCTAAGGTGAAAAGGGAAATATCTTCAAATAAAAACTAGTCAGCAGCATTCTCAGAAACCTCTTTGTGATGTGTGTACTCAACTAACAGAGTTGAACCTTCCTTTTCACAGAGCAGTTTGGAAACACTCTTTTTGTGGCATTTGCAAGTGGATATTTGGATAGCTTTGAGGATTTCGTTGGAAACGGGAATATTTTCATATAAAATCTAGACAGAAGCATTCTCAGAATCTTCTTTGTGATGTATGCCCTCAATTCACAGAGTTGAACCTTTGTTTGGATACAGCATTTTGGAAACATTCCTTTTGCAGAATCTGCAAGCTGATATTTGGATAGCTTTGAGGATTTCGTTGGAAACGGGAATATCTACATATAAAATCCTAGACAGAAGCATTCTCAGAATCTTCTTTGTGATGTATGCCCTCAATTCACAGAGTTGAACCTTTGTTTGGATACAGCATTTTGGAAACATTCCTTTTGCAGAATCTGCAAGCTGATATTTGGATAGCTTTGAGGATTTCGTTGGAAACGGGAATATCTACATATAAAATCCTAGACAGAAGCATTCTCAGAAACCTCTTTGTAATGCTTGCATTCAACTCATAGGTTTCAACATTCCCTATCATAGAGCAGGTTTGAAACACTCTTTTTGTAGTATGTGGAAGTGGACATTTGGAGCGCTTTGAGGCCTACGGTGAAAAAGGAAATATCTTCCCATAAAAACTAGACAGAAGCATTCTCAGAAACTTGTTTGTGACGTGTGTATTCAACTAACAGAGTTGAACCTTTCTTTTTACAGAGCAGCTTTGAAACACGCTTTTTGTGGAATCTGCAATTGGAAATTTCGATAGTTCTGAGGATTTCGTTGGAAACGGGATTACAAATAGAAAGTAGACAGCAGCATTCTCAGAAACTTATTTGTGATGTGTGTCCTCAACTAACAGAGTTGAACCTTTCTTTTGACACAGCAGTTTGGAAACACTCTTTTTGTAGAATCTACAAGTGGATATTTTGAGAGCATTGAAAATTTCGTTGGAAACGGGAAAACCTTCATATAAAATCTAGACAGAAGCATTCTCAGAAACTTCTTTGTAATGTTTGCATTCAACTCATAGAGTTGAACATTCCCTTTCATACAGCAGGTTTGAAACACTCTTTTTGTAGTATGTGGACGTGGACATTTGGAGCGCTTTGAGGCCTACGGTGAAAAAGGAAATATCTTCCCATAAAAACTAGACAGAAGCATTCTCAGAAACTTGTTTGTGACGTGTGTA
This sequence comes from Homo sapiens, assembly GCF_000001405.40. NCBI lineage: Eukaryota > Metazoa > Chordata > Mammalia > Primates > Hominidae > Homo > Homo sapiens. The sequence continues at coordinate 19,675,872 of NC_000015.10, forward strand.
TTCAACTAACAGAGTTGAACCTTTCTTTTTACAGAGCAGCTTTGAAACCCTGTTTCTGTGGAATCTGCAATTGGAAATTTCGATAGTTCTGAGGATTTCGTTGGAAACGGGATTACAAATAGAAAGTAGACAGCAGCATTCTCAGAAACTGCTTTGTGATGTTTGCATTCAAGTCACCTAGTTGAACATTCCCTTTCATAGAGCAGGTTTGAATCACTGTTTCTGTAGTATCTGGAAGTGGGTATTTCGAGCGCTTTCAGGCCTAAGGTGAGAAAGGAAATGTCTTCAAATAAGAACTAGACAGAAGCATTCTCAGAAACTTATTTGTGATGTGTGTCCTCAACTAACAGAGATGAACCTTTGTTTTGATACAGCAGTTTGGAAACACTCTTTTTGTAGAATCTACAAGAGGATATTTTGAGTGCATTGAAAATTTCGTTGGAAGCGGGAAAACCTTCATATAAAATCTAGACAGCAGCATTCTCAGAAACTTCTTTGTGATGTTTGCATTCAACTCATAGAGTTGAACATTCCCATTCATACAGCAGGTTTGAGACACTCTTTGTATAGCATGTGGAAATGGATATTTGGAGCGCTTTGAGGCCTATGGTGAAGAAGGAAATATCTTCCCAAAAAAACTAGACGAAAGCATTCTCGGAATCTTGTTTGCCATGTGTGTACTCAACTAACAGAGTTGAACCTATCTTTTGACAGAGCAGTTTTGAAACACTCTTTTTGTGGAATCTGCAAATGGATATTTGGATAGCTTCGAGGATTTCGTTGGAAACGGGAATATCCTCATTTAAAATCTAGACGGAAAGCATTCTCAGAACCTGCTTTGTGATGTTTGCATTCAACTCACAGAGCTGAACATTCCCGTTCATAGAGCAGGTTTGAAACACTCTTTCTGTACTATCTGGAAGTGGACATTTCGAGCGCTTTCAGGCCTATGGTGAAAAAGGAAACATCTTCAAATAAAAACTAGACAGAAGCATTCTCAGAAACTTATTTGTGATGTGTGTCCTCAACTCACAGAGTTCAACCTTTGTTTTGATACAGCAGTTTGGAAACACTCTTTTTGTAGAATCTACAAATGGATATTTGGAGACCTTTGAAAATTTCGTTGGACACGGGAATATCTTCATATAAAATCTAGACAAAAGCATTCTCAGAATCTTCTTTGTGATGTTTGCATTCAACTCATAGAGTTGAACGTTCCCTTTCATACAGCACGTTTGAAACACACTTTGTGGAGTATGTGGAAATGGACATTTCGAGCACTCTTAGGCCTAAGGTGAAAAGGGAAATATCTTCAAATAAAAACTAGTCAGCAGCATTCTCAGAAACCTCTTTGTGATGTGTGTACTCAACTAACAGAGTTGAACCTTCCTTTTCACAGAGCAGTTTGGAAACAGTCTTTTTGTGGCATTTGCAAGTGGATATTTGGATAGCTTTGAGGATTTCGTTGGAAACGGGAATATTTTCATATAAAATCTAGACAGAAGCATTCTCAGAATCTTCTTTGTGATGTATGCCCTCAATTCACAGAGTTGAACCTTTGTTTGGATACAGCATTTTGGAAACATTCCTTTTGTAGAATCTGCAAGTTGATATTTGGATAGCTTTGAGGATTTCGTTGGAAACGGGAATATCTACATATAAAATCTAGACAGAAGCATTCTCAGAAACCTCTTTGTAATGCTTGCATTCAACTCATAGGTTTCAACATTCCCTATCATAGAGCAGGTTTGAAACACTCTTTTTGTAGTATGTGGAAGTGGACATTTGGAGCGCTTTGAGGCCTACGGTGAAAAAGGAAATATCTTCCCATAAAAACTAGACAGAAGCATTCTCAGAAACTTGTTTGTGACGTGTGTATTCAACTAACAGAGTTGAACCTTTCTTTTTACAGAGCAGCTTTGAAACACGCTTTTTGTGGAATCTGCAATTGGAAATTTCGATAGTTCTGAGGATTTCGTTGGAAACGGGATTACAAATAGAAAGTAGACAGCAGCATTCTCAGAAACTTATTTGTGATGTGTGTCCTCAACTAACAGAGTTGAACCTTTCTTTTGACACAGCAGTTTGGAAACACTCTTTTTGTAGAATCTACAAGTGGATATTTTGAGAGCATTGAAAATTTCGTTGGAAACGGGAAAACCTTCATATAAAATCTAGACAGAAGCATTCTCAGAAACTTCTTTGTAATGTTTGCATTCAACTCATAGAGTTGAACATTCCCTTTCATACAGCAGGTTTGAAACACTCTTTTTGTAGTATGTGGAAGTGGACATTTGGAGCGCTTTGAGGCCTACGGTGAAAAAGGAAATATCTTCCCATAAAAACTAGACAGAAGCATTCTCAGAAACTTGTTTGTGACGTGTGTATTCAACTAACAGAGTTGAACCTTTCTTTTTACAGAGCAGCTTTGAAACCCTGTTTCTGTGGAATCTGCAATTGGAAATTTCGATAGTTCTGAGGATTTCGTTGGAAACGGGATTACAAATAGAAAGTAGACAGCAGCATTCTCAGCAAACTGCTTTGTGATGTTTGCATTCAAGTCACCTAGTTGAACATTCCCTTTCATAGAGCAGGTTTGAATCACTGTTTCTGTCGTGTCTGGAAGTGGATATTTCGAGCGTTTTCAGGCCTAAGGTGAGAAAGGAAATGTCTTCAAATAAGAACTAGACAGAAGCATTCTCAGAAACTTATTTGTGATGTGTGTCCTCAACTAACAGAGTTGAACCTTTCTTTTGACACAGCAGTTTGGAAACACTCTTTTTGTAGAATCTACAAGTGGATATTTTGAGAGCATTGAAAATTTCGTTGGAAACGGGAAAATCTTCATATAAAATCTAGACAGAAGCATTCTCAGAAACTTCTTTGTAATGTTTGCATTCAACTCATAGAGTTGAACATTCCCTTTCATACAGCAGGTTTGAAACACTCTTTTTGTAGTATGTGGAAGTGGACATTTGGAGCACTTTGAGGCCTACGGTGAAAAAGGAAATATCTTCCCATAAAAACTAGACAGAAGCATTCTCAGAAACTTGTTTGTGACGTGTGTATTCAACTAACAGAGTTGAACCTTTCTTTTTACAGAGCAGCTTTGAAACACGCTTTTTGTGGAATCTGCAATTGGAAATTTCGATAGTTCTGAGGATTTCGTTGGAAACGGGATTACAAATAGAAAGTAGACAGCAGCATTCTCAGAAACTTATTTGTGATGTGTGTCCTCAACTAACAGAGTTGAACCTTTCTTTTGACACAGCAGTTTGGAAACACTCTTTTTGTAGAATCTACAAGTGGATATTTTGAGAGCATTGAAAATTTCGTTGGAAACGGGAAAACCTTCATATAAAATCTAGACAGAAGCATTCTCAGAAACTTCTTTGTAATGTTTGCATTCAACTCATAGAGTTGAACATTCCCTTTCATACAGCAGGTTTGAAACACTCTTTTTGTAGTATGTGGACGTGGACATTTGGAGCGCTTTGAGGCCTACGGTGAAAAAGGAAATATCTTCCCATAAAAACTAGACAGAAGCATTCTCAGAAACTTGTTTGTGACGTGTGTATTCAACTAACAGAGTTGAACCTTTCTTTTTACAGAGCAGCTTTGAAACCCTGTTTCTGTGGAATCTGCAATTGGAAATTTCGATAGTTCTGAGGATTTCGTTGGAAACGGGATTACAAATAGAAAGTAGACAGCAGCATTCTCAGAAACTGCTTTGTGATGTTTGCATTCAAGTCACCTAGTTGAACATTCCCTTTCATAGAGCAGGTTTGAATCACTGTTTCTGTCGTATCTGGAAGTGGATATTTCGAGCGTTTTCAGGCCTAAGGTGAGAAAGGAAATGTCTTCAAATAAGAACTAGACAGAAGCATTCTCAGAAACTTATTTGTGATGTGTGTCCTCAACTAACAGAGTTGAACCTTTCTTTTGACACAGCAGTTTGGAAACACTCTTTTTGTAGAATCTACAAGTGGATATTTTGAGAGCATTGAAAATTTCGTTGGAAACGGGAAAACCTTCATATAAAATCTAGACAGAAGCATTCTCAGAAACTTCTTTGTGATGTTTGCATTCGACTCATAGAGTTGAACATTCCCTTTCATACAGCAGGTTTGAAACACTCTTTTTGTAGTATGTGGAAGTGGACATTTGGAGCGCTTTGAGGCCTACGGTGAAAAAGGAAATATCTTCCCATAAAAACTAGACAGAAGCATTCTCAGAAACTTGTTTGTGACGTGTGTATTCAACTAACAGAGTTGAACCTTTCTTTTTACAGAGCAGCTTTGAAACCCTGTTTCTGTGGAATCTGCAATTGGAAATTTCGATAGTTCTGAGGATTTCGTTGGAAACGGGATTACAAATAGAAAGTAGACAGCAGCATTCTCAGAAACTGCTTTGTGATGTTTGCATTCAACTCATAGAGTTGAACATTCCCTTTCATAGAGCAGGTTTGAATCACTGTTTCTGTAGTATCTGGAAGTGGGTATTTCGAGCGCTTTCAGGCCTAAGGTGAGAAAGGAAATGTCTTCAAATAAGAACTAGACAGAAGCATTCTCAGAAACTTATTTGTGATGTGTGTCCTCAACTAACAGAGATGAACCTTTGTTTTGATACAGCAGTTTGGAAACACTCTTTTTGTAGAATCTACAAGAGGATATTTTGAGAGCATTGAAAATTTCGTTGGAAGCGGGAAAACCTTCATATAAAATCTAGACAGCAGCATTCTCAGAAACTTCTTTGTGATGTTTGCATTCAACTCATAGAGTTGAACATTCCCATTCATACAGCAGGTTTGAGACACTCTTTGTATAGCATGTGGAAATGGATATTTGGAGCGCTTTGAGGCCTATGGTGAAGAAGGAAATATCTTCCCAAAAAAACTAGACGAAAGCATTCTCGGAATCTTGTTTGCCATGTGTGTACTCAACTAACAGAGTTGAACCTATCTTTTGACAGAGCAGTTTTGAAACACTCTTTTTGTGGAATCTGCAAGTGGATATTTGGATAGCTTCGAGGATTTCGTTGGAAACGGGAATATCCTCATTTAAAATCTAGACGGAAGCATTCTCAGAACCTGCTTTGTGATGTTTGCATTCAACTCACAGAGCTGAACATTCCCGTTCATAGAGCAGGTTTGAAACACTCTTTCTGTACTATCTGGAAGTGGACATATCGAGCGCTTTCAGGCCTATGGTGAAAAAGGAAACATCTTCAAATAAAAACTAGACAGAAGCATTCTCAGAAACTTATTTGTGATGTGTGTCCTCAACTCACAGAGTTCAACCTTTGTTTTGATACAGCAGTTTGGAAACACTCTTTTTGTAGAATCTACAAATGGGTATTTGGAGACCTTTGAAAATTTCGTTGGACACGGGAATATCTTCATATAAAATCTAGACAAAAGCATTCTCAGAGTCTTCTTTGTGATGTTTGCATTCAACTCATAGAGTTGAACATTCCCTTTCATACAGCACGTTTGAAACACACTTTGTGGAGTATGTGGAAATGGACATTTCGAGCACTCTTAGGCCTAAGGTGAAAAGGGAAATATCTTCAAATAAAAACTAGTCAGCAGCATTCTCAGAAACCTCTTTGTGATGTGTGTACTCAACTAACAGAGTTGAACCTTCCTTTTCACAGAGCAGTTTGGAAACACTCTTTTTGTGGCATTTGCAAGTGGATATTTGGATAGCTTTGAGGATTTCGTTGGAAACGGGAATATTTTCATATAAAATCTAGACAGAAGCATTCTCAGAATCTTCTTTGTGATGTATGCCCTCAATTCACAGAGTTGAACCTTTGTTTGGATACAGCATTTTGGAAACATTCCTTTTGTAGAATCTGCAAGTTGATATTTGGATAGCTTTGAGGATTTCGTTGGAAACGGGAATATCTACATATAAAATCTAGACAGAAGCATTCTCAGAAACCTCTTTGTAATGCTTGCATTCAACTCATAGGTTTCAACATTCCCTATCATAGAGCAGGTTTGAAACACTCTTTTTGTAGTATGTGGAAGTGGACATTTGGAGCGCTTTGAGGCCTACGGTGAAAAAGGAAATATCTTCCCATAAAAACTAGACAGAAGCATTCTCAGAAACTTGTTTGTGACGTGTGTATTCAACTAACAGAGTTGAACCTTTCTTTTTACAGAGCAGCTTTGAAACACGCTTTTTGTGGAATCTGCAATTGGAAATTTCGATAGTTCTGAGGATTTCGTTGGAAACGGGATTACAAATAGAAAGTAGACAGCAGCATTCTCAGAAACTTATTTGTGATGTGTGTCCTCAACTAACAGAGTTGAACCTTTCTTTTGACACAGCAGTTTGGAAACACTCTTTTTGTAGAATCTACAAGTGGATATTTTGAGAGCATTGAAAATTTCGTTGGAAACGGGAAAACCTTCATATAAAATCTAGACAGAAGCATTCTCAGAAACTTCTTTGTAATGTTTGCATTCAACTCATAGAGTTGAACATTCCCTTTCATACAGCAGGTTTGAAACACTCTTTTTGTAGTATGTGGACGTGGACATTTGGAGCGCTTTGAGGCCTACGGTGAAAAAGGAAATATCTTCCCATAAAAACTAGACAGAAGCATTCTCAGAAACTTGTTTGTGACGTGTGTATTCAACTAACAGAGTTGAACCTTTCTTTTTACAGAGCAGCTTTGAAACCCTGTTTCTGTGGAATCTGCAATTGGAAATTTCGATAGTTCTGAGGATTTCGTTGGAAACGGGATTACAAATAGAAAGTAGACAGCAGCATTCTCAGAAACTGCTTTGTGATGTTTGCATTCAAGTCACATAGTTGAACATTCCCTTTCATAGAGCAGGTTTGAATCACTGTTTCTGTAGTATCTGGAAGTGGGTATTTCGAGCGCTTTCAGGCCTAAGGTGAGAAAGGAAATGTCTTCAAATAAGAACTAGACAGAAGCATTCTCAGAAACTTATTTGTGATGTGTGTCCTCAACTAACAGAGATGAACCTTTGTTTTGATACAGCAGTTTGGAAACACTCTTTTTGTAGAATCTACAAGAGGATATTTTGAGAGCATTGAAAATTTCGTTGGAAGCGGGAAAACCTTCATATAAAATCTAGACAGCAGCATTCTCAGAAACTTCTTTGTGATGTTTGCATTCAACTCATAGAGTTGAACATTCCCATTCATACAGCAGGTTTGAGACACTCTTTGTATAGCATGTGGAAATGGATATTTGGAGCGCTTTGAGGCCTATGGTGAAGAAGGAAATATCTTCCCAAAAAAACTAGACGAAAGCATTCTCGGAATCTTGTTTGCCATGTGTGTACTCAACTAACAGAGTTGAACCTATCTTTTGACAGAGCAGTTTTGAAACACTCTTTTTGTGGAATCTGCAAGTGGATATTTGGATAGCTTCGAGGATTTCGTTGGAAACGGGAATATCCTCATTTAAAATCTAGACGGAAGCATTCTCAGAACCTGCTTTGTGATGTTTGCATTCAACTCACAGAGCTGAACATTCCCGTTCATAGAGCAGGTTTGAAACACTCTTTCTGTACTATCTGGAAGTGGACATTTCGAGCGCTTTCAGGCCTATGGTGAAAAAGGAAACATCTTCAAATAAAAACTAGACAGAAGCATTCTCAGAAACTTATTTGTGATGTGTGTCCTCAACTCACAGAGTTCAACCTTTGTTTTGATACAGCAGTTTGGAAACACTCTTTTTGTAGAATCTACAAATGGATATTTGGAGACCTTTGAAAATTTCGTTGGACACGGGAATATCTTCATATAAAATCTAGACAAAAGCATTCTCAGAATCTTCTTTGTGATGTTTGCATTCAACTCATAGAGTTGAACATTCCCTTTCATACAGCACGTTTGAAACACACTTTGTGGAGTATGTGGAAATGGACATTTCGAGCACTCTTAGGCCTAAGGTGAAAAGGGAAATATCTTCAAATAAAAACTAGTCAGCAGCATTCTCAGAAACCTCTTTGTGATGTGTGTACTCAACTAACAGAGTTGAACCTTCCTTTTCACAGAGCAGTTTGGAAACACTCTTTTTGTGGCATTTGCAAGTGGATATTTGGATAGCTTTGAGGATTTCGTTGGAAACGGGAATATTTTCATATAAAATCTAGACAGAAGCATTCTCAGAATCTTCTTTGTGATGTATGCCCTCAATTCACAGAGTTGAACCTTTGTTTGGATACAGCATTTTGGAAACATTCCTTTTGTAGAATCTGCAAGTTGATATTTGGATAGCTTTGAGGATTTCGTTGGAAACGGGAATATCTACATATAAAATCTAGACAGAAGCATTCTCAGAAACCTCTTTGTAATGCTTGCATTCAACTCATAGGTTTCAACATTCCCTATCATAGAGCAGGTTTGAAACACTCTTTTTGTAGTATGTGGAAGTGGACATTTGGAGCGCTTTGAGGCCTACGGTGAAAAAGGAAATATCTTCCCATAAAAACTAGACAGAAGCATTCTCAGAAACTTGTTTGTGACGTGTGTATTCAACTAACAGAGTTGAACCTTTCTTTTTACAGAGCAGCTTTGAAACACGCTTTTTGTGGAATCTGCAATTGGAAATTTCGATAGTTCTGAGGATTTCGTTGGAAACGGGATTACAAATAGAAAGTAGACAGCAGCATTCTCAGAAACTTATTTGTGATGTGTGTCCTCAACTAACAGAGTTGAACCTTTCTTTTGACACAGCAGTTTGGAAACACTCTTTTTGTAGAATCTACAAGTGGATATTTTGAGAGCATTGAAAATTTCGTTGGAAACGGGAAAACCTTCATATAAAATCTAGACAGAAGCATTCTCAGAAACTTCTTTGTAATGTTTGCATTCAACTCATAGAGTTGAACATTCCCTTTCATACAGCAGGTTTGAAACACTCTTTTTGTAGTATGTGGAAGTGGACATTTGGAGCGCTTTGAGGCCTACGGTGAAAAAGGAAATATCTTCCCATAAAAACTAGACAGAAGCATTCTCAGAAACTTGTTTGTGACGTGTGTATTCAACTAACAGAGTTGAACCTTTCTTTTTACAGAGCAGCTTTGAAACCCTGTTTCTGTGGAATCTGCAATTGGAAATTTCGATAGTTCTGAGGATTTCGTTGGAAACGGGATTACAAATAGAAAGTAGACAGCAGCATTCTCAGAAACTGCTTTGTGATGTTTGCATTCAAGTCACATAGTTGAACATTTCCTTTGATAGAGTAGGTTTGAATCACTGTCTGTGTAGTATCTGGAAGTGGGTGTTTCGAGCGCTTTCAGGCCTAAGATGAGAAAGGAAATGTCTTCAAATAAGAACTAGACAGAAGCATTCTCAGAAACTTATTTGTGATGTGTGTCCTCAACTAACAGAGTTGAACCTTTGTTTTGATACAGCAGTTTGGAAGCACTCTTTTTGTAGAATCTACAAGTGGATATTTGGAGAGCATTGAAAATTTCGTTGGAAGCGGGAAAACCTTCATATAAAATCTAGACAGTAGCATTCTCAGAAACTTCTTTGTGATGTTTGCATTCAACTCATAGAGTTGAACGTTCCCTTTCATACAGCAGGTTTGAGACACTCTTGGTATAGTATGTGGAAATGGATATTTGGAGCGCTTTGAGGCCTATGGTGAAGAAGGAAATATCTTCCCAAAAAAACTAGACGAAAGCATTCTCGGAATCTTGTTTGCCATGTGTGTACTCAACTAACAGAGTTGAACCTATCTTTTGACAGAGCAGTTTTGAAACACTCTTTTTGTGGAATCTGCAAATGGATATTTGGATAGCTTCGAGGATTTCGTTGGAAACGGGAATATCCTCATATAACATCTAGACGGAAGCATTCTCAGAACCTGCTTTGTGATGTTTGCATTCCACTCACAGAGCTGAACACTCCCATTCATAGAGCAGGTTTGAAACACTCTTTCTGTACTATCTGGAAGTGGATATTTCGAGCGCTTTCAGGCCTATGGTGAAAAAGGAAATATCTTCAAATAAAAACTAGACAGAAGCATTCTCAGAAACTTATTTGTGATGTGTGTCCTCAACTCACAGAGTTCAACCTTTGTTTTGATACAGCAGTTTGGAAACACTCTTTTTGTAGAATCTACAAATGGATATTTGGAGACCTTTGAAAATTTCGTTGGACACGGGAATATCTTCATATAAAATCTAGACAAAAGCATTCTCAGAATCTTCTTTGTGATGTTTGCATTCAACTCATAGAGTTGAACATTCCCTTTCATACAGCACGTTTGAAACACACTTTGTGGAGTATGTGGAAATGGACATTTCGAGCACTCTTAGGCCTAAGGTGAAAAGGGAAATATCTTCAAATAAAAACTAGTCAGCAGCATTCTCAGAAACCTCTTTGTGATGTGTGTACTCAACTAACAGAGTTGAACCTTCCTTTTCACAGAGCAGTTTGGAAACACTCTTTTTGTGGCATTTGCAAGTGGATATTTGGATAGCTTTGAGGATTTCGTTGGAAACGGGAATATTTTCATATAAAATCTAGACAGAAGCATTCTCAGAATCTTCTTTGTGATGTATGCCCTCAATTCACAGAGTTGAACCTTTGTTTGGATACAGCATTTTGGAAACATTCCTTTTGTAGAATCTGCAAGTTGATATTTGGATAGCTTTGAGGATTTCGTTGGAAACGGGAATATCTACATATAAAATCTAGACAGAAGCATTCTCAGAAACCTCTTTGTAATGCTTGCATTCAACACATAGGTTTCAACATTCCCTATCATAGAGCAGGTTTGAAACACTCTTTTTGTAGTATGTGGAAGTGGACATTTGGAGCGCTTTGAGGCCTACCGTGAAAAAGGAAATATCTTCCCATAAAAACTAGACAGAAGCATTCTCAGAAACTTGTTTGTGACGTGTGTATTCAACTAACAGAGTTGAACCTTTCTTTTTACAGAGCAGCTTTGAAACACGCTTTTTGTGGAATCTGCAATTGGAAATTTCGATAGTTCTGAGGATTTCGTTGGAAACGGGATTACAAATAGAAAGTAGACAGCAGCATTCTCAGAAACTTATTTGTGATGTGTGTCCTCAACTAACAGAGTTGAACCTTTCTTTTGACACAGCAGTTTGGAAACACTCTTTTTGTAGAATCTACAAGTGGATATTTTGAGAGCATTGAAAATTTCGTTGGAAACGGGAAAACCTTCATATAAAATCTAGACAGAAGCATTCTCAGAAACTTCTTTGTAATGTTTGCATTCAACTCATAGAGTTGAACATTCCCTTTCATACAGCAGGTTTGAAACACTGTTTTTGTAGTATGTGGAAGTGGACATTTGGAGCGCTTTGAGGCCTACGGTGAAAAAGGAAATATCTTCCCATAAAAACTAGACAGAAGCATTCTCAGAAACTTGTTTGTGACGTGTGTATTCAACTAACAGAGTTGAACCTTTCTTTTTACAGAGCAGCTTTGAAACCCTGTTTTTGTGGAATCTGCAATTGGAAATTTCGATAGTTCTGAGGATTTCGTTGGAAACGGGATTACAAATAGAAAGTAGACAGCAGCATTCTCAGAAACTGCTTTGTGATGTTTGCATTCAAGTCACCTAGTTGAACATTCCCTTTCATAGAGCAGGTTTGAATCACTGTTTCTGTAGTATCTGGAAGTGGGTATTTCGAGCGCTTTCAGGCCTAAGGTGAGAAAGGAAATGTCTTCAAATAAGAACTAGACAGAAGCATTCTCAGAAACTTATTTGTGATGTGTGTCCTCAACTAACAGAGATGAACCTTTGTTTTCATACAGCAGTTTGGAAACACTCTTTTTGTAGAATCTACAAGAGGATATTTTGAGAGCATTGAAAATTTCGTTGGAAGCGGGAAAACCTTCATATAAAATCTAGACAGCAGCATTCTCAGAAACTTCTTTGTGATGTTTGCATTCAACTCATAGAGTTGAACATTCCCATTCATACAGCAGGTTTGAGACACTCTTTGTATAGCATGTGGAAATGGATATTTGGAGCGCTTTGAGGCCTATGGTGAAGAAGGAAATATCTTCCCAAAAAAACTAGACGAAAGAGCATTCTCGGAATCTTGTTTGCCATGTTTGTACTCAACTAACAGAGTTGAATCTATCTTTTGACAGAGCAGTTTTGAAACACTCTTTTTGTGGAATCTGCAAGTGGATATTTGGATAGCTTCGAGGATTTCGTTGGAAACGGGAATATCCTCATTTAAAATCTAGACGGAAGCATTCTCAGAACCTGCTTTGTGATGTTTGCATTCAACTCACAGAGCTGAACATTCCCGTTCATAGAGCAGGTTTGAAACACTCTTTCTGTACTATCTGGAAGTGGACATTTCGAGCGCTTTCAGGCCTATGGTGAAAAAGGAAACATCTTCAAATAAAAACTAGACAGAAGCATTCTCAGAAACTTATTTGTGATGTGTGTCCTCAACTCACAGAGTTCAACCTTTGTTTTGATACAGCAGTTTGGAAACACTCTTTTTGTAGAATCTACAAATGGATATTTGGAGACCTTTGAAAATTTCGTTGGACACGGGAATATCTTCATATAAAATCTAGACAAAAGCATTCTCAGAATCTTCTTTGTGATGTTTGCATTCAACTCATAGAGTTGAACATTCCCTTTCATACAGCACGTTTGAAACACACTTTGTGGAGTATGTGGAAATGGACATTTCGAGCACTCTTAGGCCTAAGGTGAAAAGGGAAATATCTTCAAATAAAAACTAGTCAGCAGCATTCTCAGAAACCTCTTTGTGATGTGTGTACTCAACTAACAGAGTTGAACCTTCCTTTTCACAGAGCAGTTTGGAAACACTCTTTTTGTGGCATTTGCAAGTGGATATTTGGATAGCTTTGAGGATTTCGTTGGAAACGGGAATATTTTCATATAAAATCTAGACAGAAGCATTCTCAGAATCTTCTTTGTGATGTATGCCCTCAATTCACAGAGTTGAACCTTTGTTTGGATACAGCATTTTGGAAACATTCCTTTTGTAGAATCTGCAAGTTGATATTTGGATAGTTTGAGGATTTCGTTGGAAACGGGAATATCTACATATAAAATCTAGACAGAAGCATTCTCAGAAACCTCTTTGTAATGCTTGCATTCAACTCATAGGTTTCAACATTCCCTATCATAGAGCAGGTTTGAAACACTCTTTTTGTAGTATGTGGAAGTGGACATTTGGAGCGCTTTGAGGCCTACCGTGAAAAAGGAAATATCTTCCCATAAAAACTAGACAGAAGCATTCTCAGAAACTTGTTTGTGACGTGTGTATTCAACTAACAGAGTTGAACCTTTCTTTTTACAGAGCAGCTTTGAAACACGCTTTTTGTGGAATCTGCAATTGGAAATTTCGATAGTTCTGAGGATTTCGTTGGAAACGGGATTACAAATAGAAAGTAGACAGCAGCATTCTCAGAAACTTATTTGTGATGTGTGTCCTCAACTAACAGAGTTGAACCTTTCTTTTGACACAGCAGTTTGGAAACACTCTTTTTGTAGAATCTACAAGTGGATATTTTGAGAGCATTGAAAATTTCGTTGGAAACGGGAAAACCTTCATATAAAATCTAGACAGAAGCATTCTCAGAAACTTCTTTGTAATGTTTGCATTCAACTCATAGAGTTGAACATTCCCTTTCATACAGCAGGTTTGAAACACTCTTTTTGTAGTATGTGGAAGTGGACATTTGGAGCGCTTTGAGGCCTACGGTGAAAAAGGAAATATCTTCCCATAAAAACTAGACAGAAGCATTCTCAGAAACTTGTTTGTGACGTGTGTATTCAACTAACAGAGTTGAACCTTTCTTTTTACAGAGCAGCTTTGAAACCCTGTTTCTGTGGAATCTGCAATTGGAAATTTCGATAGTTCTGAGGATTTCGTTGGAAACGGGATTACAAATAGAAAGTAGACAGCAGCATTCTCAGAAACTGCTTTGTGATGTTTGCATTCAAGTCACCTAGTTGAACATTCCCTTTCATAGAGCAGGTTTGAATCACTGTTTCTGTCGTATCTGGAAGTGGATATTTCGAGCGTTTTCAGGCCTAAGGTGAGAAAGGAAATGTCTTCAAATAAGAACTAGACAGAAGCATTCTCAGAAACTTATTTCTGATGTGTGTCCTCAACTAACAGAGTTGAACCTTTCTTTTGACACAGCAGTTTGGAAACACTCTTTTTGTAGAATCTACAAGTGGATATTTTGAGAGCATTGAAAATTTCGTTGGAAACGGGAAAACCTTCATATAAAATCTAGACAGAAGCATTCTCAGAAACTTCTTTGTAATGTTTGCATTCGACTCATAGAGTTGAACATTCCCTTTCATACAGCAGGTTTGAAACACCCTTTTTGTAGTATGTGGAAGTGGACATTTGGAGCGCTTTGAGGCCTACGGTGAAAAAGGAAATATCTTCCCATAAAAACTAGACAGAAGCATTCTCAGAAACTTGTTTGTGACGTGTGTATTCAACTAACAGAGTTGAACCTTTCTTTTTACAGAGCAGCTTTGAAACCCTGTTTCTGTGGAATCTGCAATTGGAAATTTCGATAGTTCTGAGGATTTCGTTGGAAACGGGATTACAAATAGAAAGTAGACAGCAGCATTCTCAGAAACTGCTTTGTGATGTTTGCATTCAAGTCACCTAGTTGAACATTCCCTTTCATAGAGCAGGTTTGAATCACTGTTTCTGTAGTATCTGGAAGTGGGTATTTCGAGCGCTTTCAGGCCTAAGGTGAGAAAGGAAATGTCTTCAAATAAGAACTAGACAGAAGCATTCTCAGAAACTTATTTGTGATGTGTGTCCTCACCTAACAGAGATGAACCTTTGTTTTGATACAGCAGTTTGGAAACACTCTTTTTGTAGAATCTACAAGAGGATATTTTGAGAGCATTGAAAATTTCGTTGGAAGCGGGAAAACCTTCATATAAAATCTAGACAGCAGCATTCTCAGAAACTTCTTTGTGATGTTTGCATTCAACTCATAGAGTTGAACATTCCCATTCATACAGCAGGTTTGAGACACTCTTTGTATAGCATGTGGAAATGGATATTTGGAGCGCTTTGAGGCCTATGTTGAAGAAGGAAATATCTTCCCAAAAAAACTAGACGAAAGCATTCTCGCAATCTTGTTTGCCATGTGTGTACTCAACTAACAGAGTTGAACCTATCTTTTGACAGAGCAGTTTTGAAACACTCTTTTTGTGGAATCTGCAAGTGGATATTTGGATAGCTTCGAGGATTTCGTTGGAAACGGGAATATCCTCATTTAAAATCTAGACGGAAGCATTCTCAGAACCTGCTTTGTGATGTTTGCATTCAACTCACAGAGCTGAACATTCCCGTTCATAGAGCAGGTTTGAAACACTCTTTCTGTACTATCTGGAAGTGGACATTTCGAGCGCTTTCAGGCCTATGGTGAAAAAGGAAATATCTTCAAATAAAAACTAGACAGAAGCATTCTCAGAAACTTATTTGTGATGTGTGTCCTCAACTCACAGAGTTCAACCTTTGTTTTGATACAGCAGTTTGGAAACACTCTTTTTGTAGAATCTACAAATGGGTATTTGGAGACCTTTGAAAATTTCGTTGGACACGGGAATATCTTCATATAAAATCTAGACAAAAGCATTCTCAGAGTCTTCTTTGTGATGTTTGCATTCAACTGATAGAGTTGAACATTCCCTTTCATACAGCACGTTTGAAACACACTTTGTGGAGTATGTGGAAATGGACATTTCGAGCACTCTTAGGCCTAAGGTGAAAAGGGAAATATCTTCAAATAAAAACTAGTCAGCAGCATTCTCAGAAACCTCTTTGTGATGTGTGTACTCAACTAACAGAGTTGAACCTTCCTTTTCACAGAGCAGTTTGGAAACACTCTTTTTGTGGCATTTGCAAGTGGATATTTGGATAGCTTTGAGGATTTCGTTGGAAACGGGAATATTTTCATATAAAATCTAGACAGAAGCATTCTCAGAATCTTCTTTGTGATGTATGCCCTCAATTCACAGAGTTGAACCTTTGTTTGGATACAGCATTTTGGAAACATTCCTTTTGTAGAATCTGCAAGTTGATATTTGGATAGCTTTGAGGATTTCGTTGGAAACGGGAATATCTACATATAAAATCTAGACAGAAGCATTCTCAGAAACCTCTTTGTAATGCTTGCATTCAACTCATAGGTTTCAACATTCCCTATCATAGAGCAGGTTTGAAACACTCTTTTTGTAGTATGTGGAAGTGGACATTTGGAGCGCTTTGAGGCCTACCGTGAAAAAGGAAATATCTTCCCATAAAAACTAGACAGAAGCATTCTCAGAAACTTGTTTGTGACGTGTGTATTCAACTAACAGAGTTGAACCTTTCTTTTTACAGAGCAGCTTTGAAACACGCTTTTTGTGGAATCTGCAATTGGAAATTTCGATAGTTCTGAGGATTTCGTTGGAAACGGGATTACAAATAGAAAGTAGACAGCAGCATTCTCAGAAACTTATTTGTGATGTGTGTCCTCAACTAACAGAGTTGAACCTTTCTTTTGACACAGCAGTTTGGAAACACTCTTTTTGTAGAATCTACAAGTGGATATTTTGAGAGCATTGAAAATTTCGTTGGAAACGGGAAAACCTTCATATAAAATCTAGACAGAAGCATTCTCAGAAACTTCTTTGTAATGTTTGCATTCAACTCATAGAGTTGAACATTCCCTTTCATACAGCAGGTTTGAAACACTCTTTTTGTAGTATGTGGACGTGGACATTTGGAGCGCTTTGAGGCCTACGGTGAAAAAGGAAATATCTTCCCATAAAAACTAGACAGAAGCATTCTCAGAAACTTGTTTGTGACGTGTGTATTCAACTAACAGAGTTGAACCTTTCTTTTTACAGAGCAGCTTTGAAACCCTGTTTCTGTGGAATCTGCAATTGGAAATTTCGATAGTTCTGAGGATTTCGTTGCAAACGGGATTACAAATAGAAAGTAGACAGCAGCATTCTCAGAAACTGCTTTGTGATGTTTGCATTCAAGTCACCTAGTTGAACATTCTCTTTCATAGAGCAGGTTTGA
The DNA here is from genome assembly GCF_000001405.40 of Homo sapiens. Taxonomy (NCBI): domain Eukaryota; kingdom Metazoa; phylum Chordata; class Mammalia; order Primates; family Hominidae; genus Homo; species Homo sapiens. The sequence continues at coordinate 19,692,952 of NC_000015.10, forward strand.
ATCACTGTTTCTGTCGTATCTGGAAGTGGATATTTCGAGCGTTTTCAGGCCTAAGGTGAGAAAGGAAATGTCTTCAAATAAGAACTAGACAGAAGCATTCTCAGAAACTTATTTGTGATGTGTGTCCTCAACTAACAGAGTTGAACCTTTCTTTTGACACAGCAGTTTGGAAACACTCTTTTTGTAGAATCTACAAGTGGATATTTTGAGAGCATTGAAAATTTCGTTGGAAACGGGAAAACCTTCATATAAAATCTAGACAGAAGCATTCTCAGAAACTTCTTTGTAATGTTTGCATTCAACTCATAGAGTTGAACATTCCCTTTCATACAGCAGGTTTGAAACACTCTTTTTGTAGTATGTGGAAGTGGACATTTGGAGCGCTTTGAGGCCTACGGTGAAAAAGGAAATATCTTCCCATAAAAACTAGACAGAAGCATTCTCAGAAACTTGTTTGTGACGTGTGTATTCAACTAACAGAGTTGAACCTTTCTTTTTACAGAGCAGCTTTGAAACCCTGTTTCTGTGGAATCTGCAATTGGAAATTTCGATAGTTCTGAGGATTTCGTTGGAAACGGGATTACAAATAGAAAGTAGACAGCAGCATTCTCAGAAACTGCTTTGTGATGTTTGCATTCAAGTCACCTAGTTGAACATTCCCTTTCATAGAGCAGGTTTGAATCACTGTTTCTGTCGTATCTGGAAGTGGATATTTCGAGCGTTTTCAGGCCTAAGGTGAGAAAGGAAATGTCTTCAAATAAGAACTAGACAGAAGCATTCTCAGAAACTTATTTGTGATGTGTGTCCTCAACTAACAGAGATGAACCTTTGTTTTGATACAGCAGTTTGGAAACACTCTTTTTGTAGAATCTACAAGAGGATATTTTGAGAGCATTGAAAATTTCGTTGGAAGCGGGAAAACCTTCATATAAAATCTAGACAGCAGCATTCTCAGAAACTTCTTTGTGATGTTTGCATTCAACTGATAGAGTTGAACATTCCCATTCATACAGCAGGTTTGAGACACTCTTTGTATAGCATGTGGAAATGGATATTTGGAGCGCTTTGAGGCCTATGGTGAAGAAGGAAATATCTTCCCAAAAAAACTAGACGAAAGCATTCTCGCAATCTTGTTTGCCATGTGTGTACTCAACTAACAGAGTTGAACCTATCTTTTGACAGAGCAGTTTTGAAACACTCTTTTTGTGGAATCTGCAAGTGGATATTTGGATAGCTTCGAGGATTTCGTTGGAAACGGGAATATCCTCATTTAAAATCTAGACGGAAGCATTCTCAGAACCTGCTTTGTGATGTTTGCATTCAACTCACAGAGCTGAACATTCCCGTTCATAGAGCAGGTTTGAAACACTCTTTCTGTACTATCTGGAAGTGGACATTTCGAGCGCTTTCAGGCCTATGGTGAAAAAGGAAACATCTTCAAATAAAAACTAGACAGAAGCATTCTCAGAAACTTATTTGTGATGTGTGTCCTCAACTCACAGAGTTCAACCTTTGTTTTGATACAGCAGTTTGGAAACACTCTTTTTGTAGAATCTACAAATGGATATTTGGAGACCTTTGAAAATTTCGTTGGACACGGGAATATCTTCATATAAAATCTAGACAAAAGCATTCTCAGAATCTTCTTTGTGATGTTTGCATTCAACTCATAGAGTTGAACATTCCCTTTCATACAGCACGTTTGAAACACGCTTTGTGGAGTATGTGGAAATGGACATTTCGAGCACTCTTAGGCCTAAGGTGAAAAGGGAAATATCTTCAAATAAAAACTAGTCAGCAGCATTCTCAGAAACCTCTTTGTGATGTGTGTACTCAACTAACAGAGTTGAACCTTCCTTTTCACAGAGCAGTTTGGAAACACTCTTTTTGTGGCATTTGCAAGTGGATATTTGGATAGCTTTAAGGATTTCGTTGGAAACGGGAATATTTTCATATAAAATCTAGACAGAAGCATTCTCAGAATCTTCTTTGTGATGTATGCCCTCAATTCACAGAGTTGAACCTTTGTTTGGATACAGCATTTTGGAAACATTCCTTTTGTAGTATCTGCAAGTTGGTATTTGGATAGGTTTGAGGATTTCGTTGGAAACGGGAATATCTACATATAAAATCTAGACAGAAGCATTCTCAGAAACCTCTTTGTAATGCTTGCATTCAACTCATAGGTTTCAACATTCCCTACCATAGAGCAGGTTTGAAACACTCTTTTTGTAGTATGTGGAAGTGGACATTTGGAGCGCTTTGAGGCCTACCGTGAAAAAGGAAATATCTTCCCATAAAAACTAGACAGAAGCATTCTCAGAAACTTGTTTGTGACGTGTGTATTCAACTAACAGAGTTGAACCTTTCTTTTTACAGAGCAGCTTTGAAACACGCTTTTTGTGGAATCTGCAATTGGAAATTTCGATAGTTCTGAGGATTTCGTTGGAAACGGGATTACAAATAGAAAGTAGACAGCAGCATTCTCAGAAACTTATTTGTGATGTGTGTCCTCAACTAACAGAGTTGAACCTTTCTTTTGACACAGCAGTTTGGAAACACTCTTTTTGTAGAATCTACAAGTGGATATTTTGAGAGCATTGAAAATTTCGTTGGAAACGGGAAAACCTTCATATAAAATCTAGACAGAAGCATTCTCAGAAACTTCTTTGTAATGTTTGCATTCAACTCATAGAGTTGAACATTCCCTTTCATACAGCAGGTTTGAAACACTCTTTTTGTAGTATGTGGAAGTGGACATTTGGAGCGCTTTGAGGCCTACGGTGAAAAAGGAAATATCTTCCCATAAAAACTAGACAGAAGCATTCTCAGAAACTTGTTTGTGACGTGTGTATTCAACTAACAGAGTTGAACCTTTCTTTTTACAGAGCAGCTTTGAAACCCTGTTTCTGTGGAATCTGCAATTGGAAATTTCGATAGTTCTGAGGATTTCGTTGGAAACGGGATTACAAATAGAAAGTAGACAGCAGCATTCTCAGAAACTGCTTTGTGATGTTTGCATTCAAGTCACATAGTTGAACATTCCCTTTCATAGAGCAGGTTTGAATCACTGTTTCTGTAGTATCTGGAAGTGGGTATTTCGAGCGCTTTCAGGCCTAAGGTGAGAAAGGAAATGTCTTCAAATAAGAACTAGACAGAAGCATTCTCAGAAACTTATTTGTGATGTGTGTCCTCAACTAACAGAGATGAACCTTTGTTTTGATACAGCAGTTTGGAAACACTCTTTTTGTAGAATCTACAAGAGGATATTTTGAGAGCATTGAAAATTTCGTTGGAAGCGGGAAAACCTTCATATAAAATCTAGACAGCAGCATTCTCAGAAACTTCTTTGTGATGTTTGCATTCAACTCATAGAGTTGAACATTCCCATTCATACAGCAGGTTTGAGACACTCTTTGTATAGCATGTGGAAATGGATATTTGGAGCGCTTTGAGGCCTATGGTGAAGAAGGAAATATCTTCCCAAAAAAACTAGACGAAAGCATTCTCGGAATCTTGTTTGCCATGTGTGTACTCAACTAACAGAGTTGAACCTATCTTTTGACAGAGCAGTTTTGAAACACTCTTTTTGTGGAATCTGCAAGTGGATATTTGGATAGCTTCGAGGATTTCGTTGGAAACGGGAATATCCTCATTTAAAATCTAGACGGAAGCATTCTCAGAACCTGCTTTGTGATGTTTGCATTCAACTCACAGAGCTGAACATTCCCGTTCATAGAGCAGGTTTGAAACACTCTTTCTGTACTATCTGGAAGTGGACATTTCGAGCGCTTTCAGGCCTATGGTGAAAAAGGAAACATCTTCAAATAAAAACTAGACAGAAGCATTCTCAGAAACTTATTTGTGATGTGTGTCCTCAACTCACAGAGTTCAACCTTTGTTTTGATACAGCAGTTTGGAAACACTCTTTTTGTAGAATCTACAAATGGATATTTGGAGACCTTTGAAAATTTCGTTGGACACGGGAATATCTTCATATAAAATCTAGACAAAAGCATTCTCAGAATCTTCTTTGTGATGTTTGCATTCAACTCATAGAGTTGAACATTCCCTTTCATACAGCACGTTTGAAACACACTTTGTGGAGTATGTGGAAATGGACATTTCGAGCACTCTTAGGCCTAAGGTGAAAAGGGAAATATCTTCAAATAAAAACTAGTCAGCAGCATTCTCAGAAACCTCTTTGTGATGTGTGTACTCAACTAACAGAGTTGAACCTTCCTTTTCACAGAGCAGTTTGGAAACACTCTTTTTGTGGCATTTGCAAGTGGATATTTGGATAGCTTTGAGGATTTCGTTGGAAACGGGAATATTTTCATATAAAATCTAGACAGAAGCATTCTCAGAATCTTCTTTGTGATGTATGCCCTCAATTCACAGAGTTGAACCTTTGTTTGGATACAGCATTTTGGAAACATTCCTTTTGTAGAATCTGCAAGTTGATATTTGGATAGCTTTGAGGATTTCGTTGGAAACGGGAATATCTACATATAAAATCTAGACAGAAGCATTCTCAGAAACCTCTTTGTAATGCTTGCATTCAACTCATAGGTTTCAACATTCCCTATCATAGAGCAGGTTTGAAACACTCTTTTTGTAGTATGTGGAAGTGGACATTTGGAGCGCTTTGAGGCCTACGGTGAAAAAGGAAATATCTTCCCATAAAAACTAGACAGAAGCATTCTCAGAAACTTGTTTGTGACGTGTGTATTCAACTAACAGAGTTGAACCTTTCTTTTTACAGAGCAGCTTTGAAACACGCTTTTTGTGGAATCTGCAATTGGAAATTTCGATAGTTCTGAGGATTTCGTTGGAAACGGGATTACAAATAGAAAGTAGACAGCAGCATTCTCAGAAACTTATTTGTGATGTGTGTCCTCAACTAACAGAGTTGAACCTTTCTTTTGACACAGCAGTTTGGAAACACTCTTTTTGTAGAATCTACAAGTGGATATTTTGAGAGCATTGAAAATTTCGTTGGAAACGGGAAAACCTTCATATAAAATCTAGACAGAAGCATTCTCAGAAACTTCTTTGTAATGTTTGCATTCAACTCATAGAGTTGAACATTCCCTTTCATACAGCAGGTTTGAAACACTCTTTTTGTAGTATGTGGAAGTGGACATTTGGAGCGCTTTGAGGCCTACGGTGAAAAAGGAAATATCTTCCCATAAAAACTAGACAGAAGCATTCTCAGAAACTTGTTTGTGACGTGTGTATTCAACTAACAGAGTTGAACCTTTCTTTTTACAGAGCAGCTTTGAAACCCTGTTTTTGTGGAATCTGCAATTGGAAATTTCGATAGTTCTGAGGATTTCGTTGGAAACGGGATTACAAATAGAAAGTAGACAGCAGCATTCTCAGAAACTGCTTTGTGATGTTTGCATTCAAGTCACCTAGTTGAACATTCCCTTTCATAGAGCAGGTTTGAATCACTGTTTCTGTAGTATCTGGAAGTGGGTATTTCGAGCGCTTTCAGGCCTAAGGTGAGAAAGGAAATGTCTTCAAATAAGAACTAGACAGAAGCATTCTCAGAAACTTATTTGTGATGTGTGTCCTCAACTAACAGAGTTGAACCTTTCTTTTGACACAGCAGTTTGGAAACACTCTTTTTGTAGAATCTACAAGTGGATATTTTGAGAGCATTGAAAATTTCGTTGGAAACGGGAAAACCTTCATATAAAATCTAGACAGAAGCATTCTCAGAAACTTCTTTGTAATGTTTGCATTCAACTCATAGAGTTGAACATTCCCTTTCATACAGCAGGTTTGAAACACTCTTTTTGTAGTATGTGGAAGTGGACATTTGGAGCGCTTTGAGACCTACGGTGAAAAAGGAAATATCTTCCCATAAAAACTAGATAGAAGCATTCTCAGTAAACTTGTTTGTGACGTGTGTATTCAACTAACAGAGTTGAACCTTTCTTTTTACAGAGCAGCTTTGAAACCCTGTTTCTGTGGAATCTGCAATTGGAAATTTCGATAGTTCTGAGGATTTCGTTGGAAACGGGATTACAAATAGAAAGTAGACAGCAGCATTCTCAGAAACTGCTTTGTGATGTTTGCATTCAAGTCACCTAGTTGAACATTCCCTTTCATAGAGCAGGTTTGAATCACTGTTTCTGTAGTATCTGGAAGTGGGTATTTCGAGCGCTTTCAGGCCTAAGGTGAGAAAGGAAATGTCTTCAAATAAGAACTAGACAGAAGCATTCTCAGAAACTTATTTGTGATGTGTGTCCTCAACTAACAGAGATGAACCTTTGTTTTGATACAGCAGTTTGGAAACACTCTTTTTGTAGAATCTACAAGAGGATATTTTGAGAGCATTGAAAATTTCGTTGGAAGCGGGAAAACCTTCATATAAAATCTAGACAGCAGCATTCTCAGAAACTTCTTTGTGATGTTTGCATTCAACTCATAGAGTTGAACATTCCCATTCATACAGCAGGTTTGAGACACTCTTTGTATAGCATGTGGAAATGGATATTTGGAGCGCTTTGAGGCCTATGGTGAAGAAGGAAATATCTTCCCAAAAAAACTAGACGAAAGCATTCTCGGAATCTTGTTTGCCATGTGTGTACTCAACTAACAGAGTTGAACCTATCTTTTGACAGAGCAGTTTTGAAACACTCTTTTTGTGGAATCTGCAAGTGGATATTTGGATAGCTTCGAGGATTTCGTTGGAAACGGGAATATCCTCATTTAAAATCTAGACGGAAGCATTCTCAGAACCTGCTTTGTGATGTTTGCATTCAACTCACAGAGCTGAACATTCCCGTTCATAGAGCAGGTTTGAAACACTCTTTCTGTACTATCTGGAAGTGGACATTTCGAGCGCTTTCAGGCCTATGGTGAAAAAGGAAACATCTTCAAATAAAAACTAGACAGAAGCATTCTCAGAAACTTATTTGTGATGTGTGTCCTCAACTCACAGAGTTCAACCTTTGTTTTGATACAGCAGTTTGGAAACACTCTTTTTGTAGAATCTACAAATGGATATTTGGAGACCTTTGAAAATTTCGTTGGACACGGGAATATCTTCATATAAAATCTAGACAAAAGCATTCTCAGAATCTTCTTTGTGATGTTTGCATTCAACTCATAGAGTTGAACATTCCCTTTCATACAGCACGTTTGAAACACACTTTGTGGAGTATGTGGAAATGGACATTTCGAGCACTCTTAGGCCTAAGGTGAAAAGGGAAATATCTTCAAATAAAAACTAGTCAGCAGCATTCTCAGAAACCTCTTTGTGATGTGTGTACTCAACTAACAGAGTTGAACCTTCCTTTTCACAGAGCAGTTTGGAAACACTCTTTTTGTGGCATTTGCAAGTGGATATTTGGATAGCTTTGAGGATTTCGTTGGAAACGGGAATATTTTCATATAAAATCTAGACAGAAGCATTCTCAGAATCTTCTTTGTGATGTATTCCCTCAATTCACAGAGTTGAACCTTTGTTTGGATACAGCATTTTGGAAACATTCCTTTTGTAGAATCTGCAAGTTGATATTTGGATAGCTTTGAGGATTTCGTTGGAAACGGGAATATCTACATATAAAATCTAGACAGAAGCATTCTCAGAAACCTCTTTGTAATGCTTGCATTCAACTCATAGGTTTCAACATTCCCTATCATAGAGCAGGTTTGAAACACTCTTTTTGTAGTATGTGGAAGTGGACATTTGGAGCGCTTTGAGGCCTACGGTGAAAAAGGAAATATCTTCCCATAAAAACTAGACAGAAGCATTCTCAGAAACTTGTTTGTGACGTGTGTATTCAACTAACAGAGTTGAACCTTTCTTTTTACAGAGCAGCTTTGAAACACGCTTTTTGTGGAATCTGCAATTGGAAATTTCGATAGTTCTGAGGATTTCGTTGGAAACGGGATTACAAATAGAAAGTAGACAGCAGCATTCTCAGAAACTTATTTGTGATGTGTGTCCTCAACTAACAGAGTTGAACCTTTCTTTTGACACAGCAGTTTGGAAACACTCTTTTTGTAGAATCTACAAGTGGATATTTTGAGAGCATTGAAAATTTCGTTGGAAACGGGAAAACCTTCATATAAAATCTAGACAGAAGCATTCTCAGAAACTTCTTTGTAATGTTTGCATTCAACTCATAGAGTTGAACATTCCCTTTCATACAGCAGGTTTGAAACACTCTTTTTGTAGTATGTGGACGTGGACATTTGGAGCGCTTTGAGGCCTACGGTGAAAAAGGAAATATCTTCCCATAAAAACTAGACAGAAGCATTCTCAGAAACTTGTTTGTGACGTGTGTATTCAACTAACAGAGTTGAACCTTTCTTTTTACAGAGCAGCTTTGAAACCCTGTTTCTGTGGAATCTGCAATTGGAAATTTCGATAGTTCTGAGGATTTCGTTGGAAACGGGATTACAAATAGAAAGTAGACAGCAGCATTCTCAGAAACTGCTTTGTGATGTTTGCATTCAAGTCACCTAGTTGAACATTCCCTTTCATAGAGCAGGTTTGAATCCCTGTTTCTGTCGTATCTGGAAGTGGATATTTCGAGCGTTTTCAGGCCTAAGGTGAGAAAGGAAATGTCTTCAAATAAGAACTAGACAGAAGCATTCTCAGAAACTTATTTGTGATGTGTGTCCTCAACTAACAGAGATGAAACTTTGTTTTGACACAGCAGTTTAGAAACACTCTTTTTGTAGAATCTACAAGAGGATATTTTGAGAGCATTGAAAATTTCCTTGGAAGCGGGAAAACCTTCATATAAAATCTAGACAGCAGCATTCTCAGAAACTTCTTTGTGATGTTTGCATTCAACTCATAGAGTTGAACATTCCCATTCATACAGCAGGTTTGAGACACTCTTTGTATAGCATGTGGAAATGGATATTTGGAGCGCTTTGAGGCCTATGGTGAAGAAGGAAATATCTTCCCAAAAAAACTAGACGAAAGCATTCTCGGAATCTTGTTTGCCATGTGTGTACTCAACTAACAGAGTTGAACCTATCTTTTGACAGAGCAGTTTTGAAACACTCTTTTTGTGGAATCTGCAAGTGGATATTTGGATAGCTTCGAGGATTTCGTTGGAAACGGGAATATCCTCATTTAAAATCTAGACGGAAGCATTCTCAGAACCTGCTTTGTGATGTTTGCATTCAACTCACAGAGCTGAACATTCCCGTTCATAGAGCAGGTTTGAAACACTCTTTCTGTACTATCTGGAAGTGGACATTTCGAGCGCTTTCAGGCCTATGGTGAAAAAGGAAACATCTTCAAATAAAAACTAGACAGAAGCATTCTCAGAAACTTATTTGTGATGTGTGTCCTCAACTCACAGAGTTCAACCTTTGTTTTGATACAGCAGTTTGGAAACACTCTTTTTGTAGAATCTACAAATGGATATTTGGAGACCTTTGAAAATTTCGTTGGACACGGGAATATCTTCATATAAAATCTAGACAAAAGCATTCTCAGAATCTTCTTTGTGATGTTTGCATTCAACACATAGAGTTGAACATTCCCTTTCATACAGCACGTTTGAAACACACTTTGTGGAGTATGTGGAAATGGACATTTCGAGCACTCTTAGGCCTAAGGTGAAAAGGGAAATATCTTCAAATAAAAACTAGTCAGCAGCATTCTCAGAAACCTCTTTGTGATGTGTGTACTCAACTAACAGAGTTGAACCTTCCTTTTCACAGAGCAGTTTGGAAACACTCTTTTTGTGGCATTTGCAAGTGGATATTTGGATAGCTTTGAGGATTTCGTTGGAAACGGGAATATTTTCATATAAAATCTAGACAGAAGCATTCTCAGAATCTTCTTTGTGATGTATGCCCTCAATTCACAGAGTTGAACCTTTGTTTGGATACAGCATTTTGGAAACATTCCTTTTGTAGAATCTGCAGGTTGATATTTGGATAGCTTTGAGGATTTCGTTGGAAACGGGAATATCTACATATAAAATCTAGACAGAAGCATTCTCAGAAACCTCTTTGTAATGCTTGCATTCAACTCATAGGTTTCAACATTCCCTATCATAGAGCAGGTTTGAAACACTCTTTTTGTAGTATGTGGAAGTGGACATTTGGAGCGCTTTGAGGCCTACGGTGAAAAAGGAAATATCTTCCCATAAAAACTAGACAGAAGCATTCTCAGAAACTTGTTTGTGACCGTGTGTATTCAACTAACAGAGTTGAACCTTTCTTTTTACACAGCAGCTTTGAAACACGCTTTTTGTGGAATCTGCAATTGGAAATTTCGATAGTTCTGAGGATTTCGTTGGAAACGGGATTACAAATAGAAAGTAGACAGCAGCATTCTCAGAAACTGCTTTGTGATGTTTGCATTCAAGTCACCTAGTTGAACATTCCCTTTCATAGAGCAGGTTTGAATCACTGTTTCTGTCGTATCTGGAAGTGGATATTTCGAGCGTTTTCAGGCCTAAGGTGAGAAAGGAAATGTCTTCAAATAAGAACTAGACAGAAGCATTCTCAGAAACTTATTTGTGATGTGTGTCCTCAACTAACAGAGTTGAACCTTTCTTTTGACACAGCAGTTTGGAAACACTCTTTTTGTAGAATCTACAAGTGGATATTTTGAGAGCATTGAAAATTTCGTTGGAAACGGGAAAACCTTCATATAAAATCTAGACAGAAGCGTTCTCAGAAACTTCTTTGTAATGTTTGCATTCAACTCATAGAGTTGAACATTCCCTTTCATACAGCAGGTTTGAAACACTCTTTTTGTAGTATGTGGAAGTGGACATTTGGAGCGCTTTGAGGCCTACGGTGAAAAAGGAAATATCTTCCCATAAAAACTAGACAGAAGCATTCTCAGAAACTTGTTTGTGACGTGTGTATTCAACTAACAGAGTTGAACCTTTCTTTTTACAGAGCAGCTTTGAAACCCTGTTTCTGTGGAATCTGCAATTGGAAATTTCGATAGTTCTGAGGATTTCGTTGGAAACGGGATTACAAATAGAAAGTAGACAGCAGCATTCTCAGAAACTGCTTTGTGATGTTTGCATTCAAGTCACATAGTTGAACATTCCCTTTCATAGAGCAGGTTTGAATCACTGTTTCTGTAGTATCTGGAAGTGGGTATTTCGAGCGCTTTCAGGCCTAAGGTGAGAAAGGAAATGTCTTCAAATAAGAACTAGACAGAAGCATTCTCAGAAACTTATTTGTGATGTGTGTCCTCAACTAACAGAGATGAACCTTTGTTTTGATACAGCAGTTTGGAAACACTCTTTTTGTAGAATCTACAAGAGGATATTTTGAGAGCATTGAAAATTTCGTTGGAAGCGGGAAAACCTTCATATAAAATCTAGACAGCAGCATTCTCAGAAACTTCTTTGTGATGTTTGCATTCAACTCATAGAGTTGAACATTCCCATTCATACAGCAGGTTTGAGACACTCTTTGTATAGCATGTGGAAATGGATATTTGGAGCGCTTTGAGGCCTATGGTGAAGAAGGAAATATCTTCCCAAAAAAACTAGACGAAAGCATTCTCGGAATCTTGTTTGCCATGTGTGTACTCAACTAACAGAGTTGAACCTATCTTTTGACAGAGCAGTTTTGAAACACTCTTTTTGTGGAATCTGCAAGTGCATATTTGGATAGCTTCGAGGATTTCGTTGGAAACGGGAATATCCTCATTTAAAATCTAGACGGAAGCATTCTCAGAACCTGCTTTGTGATGTTTGCATTCAACTCACAGAGCTGAACATTCCCGTTCATAGAGCAGGTTTGAAACACTCTTTCTGTACTATCTGGAAGTGGACATTTCGAGCGCTTTCAGGCCTATGGTGAAAAAGGAAACATCTTCAAATAAAAACTAGACAGAAGCATTCTCAGAAACTTATTTGTGATGTGTGTCCTCAACTCACAGAGTTCAACCTTTGTTTTGATACAGCAGTTTGGAAACACTCTTTTTGTAGAATCTACAAATGGATATTTGGAGACCTTTGAAAATTTCGTTGGACACGGGAATATCTTCATATAAAATCTAGACAAAAGCATTCTCAGAATCTTCTTTGTGATGTTTGCATTCAACTCATAGAGTTGAACATTCCCTTTCATACAGCACGTTTGAAACACACTTTGTGGAGTATGTGGAAATGGACATTTCGAGCACTCTTAGGCCTAAGGTGAAAAGGGAAATATCTTCAAATAAAAACTAGTCAGCAGCATTCTCAGAAACCTCTTTGTGATGTGTGTACTCAACTAACAGAGTTGAACCTTCCTTTTCACAGAGCAGTTTGGAAACACTCTTTTTGTGGCATTTGCAAGTGGATATTTGGATAGCTTTGAGGATTTCGTTGGAAACGGGAATATTTTCATATAAAATCTAGACAGAAGCATTCTCAGAATCTTCTTTGTGATGTATGCCCTCAATTCACAGAGTTGAACCTTTGTTTGGATACAGCATTTTGGAAACATTCCTTTTGTAGAATCTGCAAGTTGATATTTGGATAGCTTTGAGGATTTCGTTGGAAACGGGAATATCTACATATAAAATCTAGACAGAAGCATTCTCAGAAACCTCTTTGTAATGTTTGCATTCAACTCATAGGTTTCAACATTCCCTATCATAGAGCAGGTTTGAAACACTCTTTTTGAAGTATGTGGAAGTGGACATTTGGAGCGCTTTGAGGCCTACGGTGAAAAAGGAAATATCTTCCCATAAAAACTAGACAGAAGCATTCTCAGAAACTTGTTTCTGACGTGTATTCAACTAAAAGAGTTGAACCTTTCTTTTTACAGAGCAGCTTTGAAACACACTTTTGTGGAATCTGCAATTGGAAATTTCGATAGTTCTGAGAATTTCTTTGGAAACGGGATTACAAATAGAAAGTAGACAGCAGCATTCTCAGAAACTTATTTGTGATGTGTGTCCTCAACTAACAGAGTTGAACCTTTCTTTTGACACAGCAGTTTGGAAACACTCTTTTTGTAGAATCTACAAGTGGATATTTTGAGAGCATTGAAAATTTCGTTGGAAACGGGAAAACCTTCATATAAAATCTAGACAGAAACATTCTCAGAAACTTCTTTGTGATGTTTCCATTCAAGTCACAGAGTTGAACATTCCCTTTCATAGAGCAGGTTTGAAACACTCTTTTTGTAGTATGTGGAAGTGGACATTTGGAGCGCTTGGAGGCCTATGGTGAAAAAGGAAATATCTTCCCATAAAAACTAGACAGAAGCATTCTCAGAAACTTGTTTGTGACGTGTGTATTCAACTAACAGAGTTGAACCTTTCTTTTTACAGAGCAGCTTTGAAACCCTGTTTCTGTGGAATCTGCAATTGGAAATTTCGATAGTTCTGAGGATTTCGTTGGAAACGGGATTACAAATAGAAAGTAGACAGCAGCATTCTCAGAAACTGCTTTGTGATGTTTGCATTCAAGTCACCTAGTTGAACATTCCCTTTCATAGAGCAGGTTTGAATCACTGTTTCTGTAGTATCTGGAAGTGGGTATTTCGAGCGCTTTCAGGCCTAAGGTGAGAAAGGAAATGTCTTCAAATAAGAACTAGACAGAAGCATTCTCAGAAACTTATTTGTGATGTGTGTCCTCAACTAACAGAGATGAACCTTTGTTTTGATACAGCAGTTTGGAAACACTCTTTTTGTAGAATCTACAAGAGGATATTTTGAGAGCATTGAAAATTTCGTTGGAAGCGGGAAAGCCTTCATATAAAATCTAGACAGCAGCATTCTCAGAAACTTCTTTGTGATGTTTGCATTCAACTCATAGAGTTGAACATTCCCATTCATACAGCAGGTTTGAGACACTCTTTGTATAGCATGTGGAAATGGATATTTGGAGCGCTTTGAGGCCTATGGTGAAGAAGGAAATATCTTCCCAAAAAAACTAGACGAAAGCATTCTCGGAATCTTGTTTGCCATGTGTGTACTCAACTAACAGAGTTGAACCTATCCTTTGACAAAGCAGTTTTGAAACACTCTTTTTGTGGAATCTGCAAGTGGATATTTGGATAGCTTCGAGGATTTCGTTGGAAACGGGAATATCCTCATTTAAAATCTAGACGGAAGCATTCTCAGAACCTGCTTTGTGATGTTTGCATTCAACTCACAGAGCTGAACATTCCCGTTCATAGAGCAGGTTTGAAACACTCTTTCTGTACTATCTGGAAGTGGACATTTCGAGCGCTTTCAGGCCTATGGTGAAAAAGGAAACATCTTCAAATAAAAACTAGACAGAAGCATTCTCAGAAACTTATTTGTGATGTGTGTCCTCAACTCACAGAGTTCAACCTTTGTTTTGATACAGCAGTTTGGAAACACTCTTTTTGTAGAATCTACAAATGGATATTTGGAGACCTTTGAAAATTTCGTTGGACACGGGAATATCTTCATATAAAATCTAGACAAAAGCATTCTCAGAATCTTCTTTGTGATGTTTGCATTCAACTCATAGAGTTGAACATTCCCTTTCATACAGCACGTTTGAAACACACTTTGTGGAGTATGTGGAAATGGACATTTCGAGCACTCTTAGGCCTAAGGTGAAAAGGGAAATATCTTCAAATAAAAACTAGTCAGCAGCATTCTCAGCAAACCTCTTTGTGATGTGTGTACTCAACTAACAGAGTTGAACCTTCCTTTTCACAGAGCAGTTTGGAAACACTCTTTTTGTGGCATTTGCAAGTGGATATTTGGATAGCTTTGAGGATTTCGTTGGAAACGGGAATATTTTCATATAAAATCTAGACAGAAGCATTCTCAGAATATTCTTTGTGATGTATGCCCTCAATTCACAGAGTTGAACCTTTGTTTGGATACAGCATTTTGGAAACATTCCTTTTGCAGAATCTGCAAGCTGATATTTGGATAGCTTTGAGGATTTCGTTGGAAACGGGAATATCTACATATAAAATCTAGACAGAAGCATTCTCAGAAACCTCTTTGTAATGCTTGCATTCAACTCATAGGTTTCAACATTCCCTATCATAGAGCAGGTTTGAAACACTCTTTTTGTAGTATGTGGAAGTGGACATTTGGAGCGCTTTGAGGCCTACCGTGAAAAAGGAAATATCTTCCCATAAAAACTAGACAGAAGCAATCTCAGCAAACTTGTTTGTGACGTGTGTATTCAACTAACAGAGTTGAACCTTTCTTTTTACAGAGCAGCTTTGAAACACGCTTTTTGTGGAATCTGCAATTGGAAATTTCGATAGTTCTGAGGATTTCGTTGGAAACGGGATTACAAATACAAAGTAGACAGCAGCATTCTCAGAAACTGCTTTCTGATGTTTGCATTCAAGTCACCTAGTTGAACATTCCCTTTCATAGAGCAGGTTTGAATCACAGTTTCTGTCGTATCTGGAAGTGGGTATTTCGAGCGCTTTCAGGCCTAAGGTGAGAAAGGAAATGTCTTCAAATAAGAACTAGACAGAAGCATTCTCAGAAACTTATTTGTGATGTGTGTCCTCAACTAACAGAGATGAACCTTTGTTTTGATACAGCAGTTTGGAAACACTCTTTTTGTAGAATCTACAAGAGGATATTTTGAGAGCATTGAAAATTTCGTTGGAAGCGGGAAAACCTTCATATAAAATCTAGACAGCAGCATTCTCAGAAACTTCTTTGTGATGTTTGCATTCAACTCATAGAGTTGAACATTCCCATTCATACAGCAGGTTTGAGACACTCTTTGTATAGCATGTGGAAATGGATATTTGGAGCGCTTTGAGGCCTATGGTGAAGAAGGAAATATCTTCCCAAAAAAACTAGACGAAAGCATTCTCGGAATCTTGTTTGCCATGTGTGTACTCAACTAACAGAGTTGAACCTATCTTTTGACAGAGCAGTTTTGAAACACTCTTTTTGTGGAATCTGCAAGTGGATATTTGGATAGCTTCGAGGATTTCGTTGGAAACGGGAATATCCTCATTTAAAATCTAGACGGAAGCATTCTCAGAACCTGCTTTGTGATGTTTGCATTCAACTCACAGAGCTGAACATTCCCGTTCATAGAGCAGGTTTGAAACACTCTTTCTGTACTATCTGGAAGTGGACATTTCGAGCGCTTTCAGGCCTATGGTGAAAAAGGAAACATCTTCAAATAAAAACTAGACAGAAGCATTCTCAGAAACTTATTTGTGATGTGTGTCCTCAACTCACAGAGTTCAACCTTTGTTTTGATACAGCAGTTTGGAAACACTCTTTTTGTAGAATCTACAAATGGATATTTGGAGACCTTTGAAAATTTCGTTGGACACGGGAATATCTTCATATAAAATCTAGACAAAAGCATTCTCAGAATCTTCTTTGTGATGTTTGCATTCAACTCATAGAGTTGAACATTCCCTTTCATACAGCACGTTTGAAACACACTTTGTGGAGTATGTGGAAATGGACATTTCGAGCACTCTTAGGCCTAAGGTGAAAAGGGAAATATCTTCAAATAAAAACTAGTCAGCAGCATTCTCAGAAACCTCTTTGTGATGTGTGTACTCAACTAACAGAGTTGAACCTTCCTTTTCACAGAGCAGTTTGGAAACACTCTTTTTGTGGCATTTGCAAGTGGATATTTGGATAGCTTTGAGGATTTCGTTGGAAACGGGAATATTTTCATATAAAATCTAGACAGAAGCATTCTCAGAATCTTCTTTGTGATGTATGCCCTCAATTCACAGAGTTGAACCTTTGTTTGGATACAGCATTTTGGAAACATTCCTTTTGCAGAATCTGCAAGCTGATATTTGGATAGCTTTGAGGATTTCGTTGGAAACGGGAATATCTACATATAAAATCTAGACAGAAGCATTCTCAGAAACCTCTTTGTAATGCTTGCATTCAACTCATAGGTTTCAACATTCCCTATCATAGAGCAGGTTTGAAACACTCTTTTTGTAGTATGTGGAAGTGGACATTTGGAGCGCTTTGAGGCCTACGGTGAAAAAGGAAATATCTTCCCATAAAAACTAGACAGAAGCATTCTCAGAAACTTGTTTGTGACGTGTGTATTCAACTAACAGAGTTGAACCTTTCTTTTTACAGAGCAGCTTTGAAACACGCTTTTTGTGGAATCTGCAATTGGAAATTTCGATAGTTCTGAGGATTTCGTTGGAAACGGGATTACAAATAGAAAGTAGACAGCAGCATTCTCAGAAACTTATTTGTGATGTGTGTCCTCAACTAACAGAGTTGAACCTTTCTTTTGACACAGCAGTTTGGAAACACTCTTTTTGTAGAATCTACAAGTGGATATTTTGAGAGCATTGAAAATTTCGTTGGAAACGGGAAAATCTTCATATAAAATCTAGACAGAAGCATTCTCAGAAACTTCTTTGTAATGTTTGCATTCAACTCATAGAGTTGAACATTCCCTTTCATACAGCAGGTTTGAAACACTCTTTTTGTAGTATGTGGACGTGGACATTTGGAGCGCTTTGAGGCCTACGGTGAAAAAGGAAATATCTTCCCATAAAAACTAGACAGAAGCATTCTCAGAAACTTGTTTGTGACGTGTGTATTCAACTAACAGAGTTGAACCTTTCTTTTTACAGAGCAGCTTTGAAACACGCTTTTTGTGGAATCTGCAATTGGAAATTTCGATAGTTCTGAGGATTTCGTTGGAAACGGGATTACAAATAGAAAGTAGACAGCAGCATTCTCAGAAACTTATTTGTGATGTGTGTCCTCAACTAACAGAGTTGAACCTTTCTTTTGACACAGCAGTTTGGAAACACTCTTTTTGTAGAATCTACAAGTGGATATTTTGAGAGCATTGAAAATTTCGTTGGAAACGGGAAAACCTTCATATAAAATCTAGACAGAAGCATTCTCAGAAACTTCTTTGTAATGTTTGCATTCAACTCATAGAGTTGAACATTCCCATTCATACAGCAGGTTTGAAACACTCTTTTTGTAGTATGTGGAAGTGGACATTTGGAGCGCTTTGAGGCCTACGGTGAAAAAGGAAATATCTTCCCATAAAAACTAGACAGAAGCATTCTCAGAAACTTGTTTGTGACGTGTGTATTCAACTAACAGAGTTGAACCTTTCTTTTTACAGAGCAGCTTTGAAACCCTGTTTCTGTGGAATCTGCAATTGGAAATTTCGATAGTTCTGAGGATTTCGTTGGAAACGGGATTACAAATAGAAAGTAGACAGCAGCATTCTCAGAAACTGCTTTGTGATATTTGCATTCAAGTCACCTAGTTGAACATTCCCTTTCATAGAGCAGGTTTGAATCACTGTTTCTGTAGTATCTGGAAGTGGGTATTTCGAGCGCTTTCAGGCCTAAGGTGAGAAAGGAAATGTCTTCAAATAAGAACTAGACAGAAGCATTCTCAGAAACTTATTTGTGATGTGTGTCCTCAACTAACAGAGATGAACCTTTGTTTTGATACAGCAGTTTGGAAACACTCTTTTTGTAGAATCTACAAGAGGATATTTTGAGAGCATTGAAAATTTCGTTGGAAGCGGGAAAACCTTCATATAAAATCTAGACAGCAGCATTCTCAGAAACTTCTTTGTGATGTTTGCATTCAACTCATAGAGTTGAACATTCCCATTCATACAGCAGGTTTGAGACACTCTTTGTATAGCATGTGGAAATGGATATTTGGAGCGCTTTGAGGCCTATGGTGAAGAAGGAAATATCTTCCCAAAAAAACTAGACGAAAGCATTCTCGGAATCTTGTTTGCCATGTGTGTACTCAACTAACAGAGTTGAACCTATCTTTTGACAGAGCAGTTTTGAAACACTCTTTTTGTGGAATCTGCAAGTGGATATTTGGATAGCTTCGAGGATTTCGTTGGAAACGGGAATATCCTCATTTAAAATCTAGACGGAAGCATTCTCAGAACCTGCTTTGTGATGTTTGCATTCAACTCACAGAGCTGAACATTCCCGTTCATAGAGCAGGTTTGAAACACTCTTTCTGTACTATCTGGAAGTGGACATTTCGAGCGCTTTCAGGCCTATGGTGAAAAAGGAAACATCTTCAAATAAAAACTAGACAGAAGCATTCTCAGAAACTTATTTGTGATGTGTGTCCTCAACTCACAGAGTTCAACCTTTGTTTTGATACAGCAGTTTGGAAACACTCTTTTTGTAGAATCTACAAATGGATATTTGGAGACCTTTGAAAATTTCGTTGGACACGGGAATATCTTCATATAAAATCTAGACAAAAGCATTCTCAGAATCTTCTTTGTGATGTTTGCATTCAACTCATAGAGTTGAACATTCCCTTTCATACAGCACGTTTGAAACACACTTTGTGGAGTATGTGGAAATGGACATTTCGAGCACTCTTAGGCCTAAGGTGAAAAGGGAAATATCTTCAAATAAAAACTAGTCAGCAGCATTCTCAGAAACCTCTTTGTGATGTGTGTACTCAACTAACAGAGTTGAACCTTCCTTTTCACAGAGCAGTTTGGAAACACTCTTTTTGTGGCATTTGCAAGTGGATATTTGGATAGCTTTGAGGATTTCGTTGGAAACGGGAATATTTTCATATAAAATCTAGACAGAAGCATTCTCAGAATCTTCTTTGTGATGTATGCCCTCAATTCACAGAGTTGAACCTTTGTTTGGATACAGCATTTTGGAAACATTCCTTTTGTAGAATCTGCAAGTTGATATTTGGATAGCTTTGAGGATTTCGTTGGAAACGGGAATATCTACATATAAAATCTAGACAGAAGCATTCTCAGAAACCTCTTTGTAATGCTTGCATTCAACTCATAGGTTTCAACATTCCCTATCATAGAGCAGGTTTGAAACACTCTTTTTGTAGTATGTGGAAGTGGACATTTGGAGCGCTTTGAGGCCTACCGTGAAAAAGGAAATATCTTCCCATAAAAACTAGACAGAAGCATTCTCAGAAACTTGTTTGTGACGTGTGTATTCAACTAACAGAGTTGAACCTTTCTTTTTACAGAGCAGCTTTGAAACACGCTTTTTGTGGAATCTGCAATTGGAAATTTCGATAGTTCTGAGGATTTCTTTGGAAACGGGATTAAAAATAGAAAGTAGACAGCAGCATTCTCAGAAACTTATTTGTGATGTGTGTCCTCAACTAACAGAGTTGAACCTTTCTTTTGACACAGCAGTTTGGAAACACTCTTTTTGTAGAATCTACAAGTGGATATTTTGAGAGCATTGAAAATTTCGTTGGAAACGGGAAAACCTTCATATAAAATCTAGACAGAAGCATTCTCAGAAACTTCTTTGTAATGTTTGCATTCGACTCATAGAGTTGAACATTCCCTTTCATACAGCAGGTTTGAAACACTCTTTTTGTAGTATGTGGAAGTGGACATTTGGAGCGCTTTGAGGCCTACGGTGAAAAAGGAAATATCTTCCCATAAAAACTAGACAGAAGCATTCTCAGAAACTTGTTTGTGACGTGTGTATTCAACTAACAGAGTTGAACCTTTCTTTTTACAGAGCAGCTTTGAAACCCTGTTTCTGTGGAATCTGCAATTGGAAATTTCGATAGTTCTGAGGATTTCGTTGGAAACGGGATTACAAATAGAAAGTAGACAGCAGCATTCTCAGAAACTGCTTTGTGATGTTTGCATTCAAGTCACATAGCTGAACATTCCCTTTCATAGAGCAGGTTTGAATCACTGTTTCTGTAGTATCTGGAAGTGGGTATTTCGAGCGCTTTCAGGCCTAAGGTGAGAAAGGAAATGTCTTCAAATAAGAACTAGACAGAAGCATTCTCAGAAACTTATTTGTGATGTGTGTCCTCAACTAACAGAGATGAACCTTTGTTTTGATACAGCAGTTTGGAAACACTCTTTTTGTAGAATCTACAAGAGGATATTTTGAGAGCATTGAAAATTTCGTTGGAAGCGGGAAAACCTTCATATAAAATCTAGACAGCAGCATTCTCAGAAACTTCTTTGTGATGTTTGCATTCAACTCATAGAGTTGAACATTCCCATTCATACAGCAGGTTTGAGACACTCTTTGTATAGCATGTGGAAATGGATATTTGGAGCGCTTTGAGGCCTATGGTGAAGAAGGAAATATCTTCCCAAAAAAACTAGACGAAAGCATTCTCGCAATCTTGTTTGCCATGTGTGTACTCAACTAACAGAGTTGAACCTATCTTTTGACAGAGCAGTTTTGAAACACTCTTTTTGTGGAATCTGCAAGTGGATATTTGGATAGCTTCGAGGATTTCGTTGGAAACGGGAATATCCTCATTTAAAATATAGACGGAAGCATTCTCAGAACCTGCTTTGTGATGTTTGCATTCAACTCACAGAGCTGAACATTCCCGTTCATAGAGCAGGTTTGAAACACTCTTTCTGTACTATCTGGAAGTGGACATTTCGAGCGCTTTCAGGCCTATGGTGAAAAAGGAAACATCTTCAAATAAAAACTAGACAGAAGCATTCTCAGAAACTTATTTGTGATGTGTGTCCTCAACTCACAGAGTTCAACCTTTGTTTTGATACAGCAGTTTGGAAACACTCTTTTTGTAGAATCTACAAATGGATATTTGGAGACCTTTGAAAATTTCGTTGGACACGGGAATATCTTCATATAAAATCTAGACAAAAGCATTCTCAGAATCTTCTTTGTGATGTTTGCATTCAACTCATAGAGTTGAACATTCCCTTTCATACAGCACGTTTGAAACACACTTTGTGGAGTATGTGGAAATGGACATTTCGAGCACTCTTAGGCCTAAGGTGAAAAGGGAAATATCTTCAAATAAAAACTAGTCAGCAGCATTCTCAGAAACCTCTTTGTGATGTGTGTACTCAACTAACAGAGTTGAACCTTCCTTTTCACAGAGCAGTTTGGAAACACTCTTTTTGTGGCATTTGCAAGTGGATATTTGGATAGCTTTGAGGATTTCGTTGGAAACGGGAATATTTTCATATAAAATCTAGACAGAAGCATTCTCAGAATCTTCTTTGTGATGTATGCCCTCAATTCACAGAGTTGAACCTTTGTTTGGATACAGCATTTTGGAAACATTCCTTTTGTAGAATCTGCAAGTTGATATTTGGATAGTTTGAGGATTTCGTTGGAAACGGGAATATCTACATATAAAATCTAGACAGAAGCATTCTCAGAAACCTCTTTGTAATGCTTGCATTCAACTCATAGGTTTCAACATTCCCTATCATAGAGCAGGTTTGAAACACTCTTTTTGTAGTATGTGGAAGTGGACATTTGGAGCGCTTTGAGGCCTACCGTGAAAAAGGAAATATCTTCCCATAAAAACTAGACAGAAGCATTCTCAGAAACTTGTTTGTGACGTGTGTATTCAACTAACAGAGTTGAACCTTTCTTTTTACAGAGCAGCTTTGAAACACGCTTTTTGTGGAATCTGCAATTGGAAATTTCGATAGTTCTGAGGATTTCGTTGGAAACGGGATTACAAATAGAAAGTAGACAGCAGCATTCTCAGAAACTTATTTGTGATGTGTGTCCTCAACTAACAGAGTTGAACCTTTCTTTTGACACAGCAGTTTGGAAACACTCTTTTTGTAGAATCTACAAGTGGATATTTTGAGAGCATTGAAAATTTCGTTGGAAACGGGAAAACCTTCATATAAAATCTAGACAGAAGCATTCTCAGAAACTTCTTTGTAATGTTTGCATTCAACTCATAGAGTTGAACATTCCCTTTCATACAGCAGGTTTGAAACACTCTTTTTGTAGTATGTGGAAGTGGACATTTGGAGCGCTTTGAGGCCTACGGTGAAAAAGGAAATATCTTCCCATAAAAACTAGACAGAAGCATTCTCAGAAACTTGTTTGTGACGTGTGTATTCAACTAACAGAGTTGAACCTTTCTTTTTACAGAGCAGCTTTGAAACCCTGTTTCTGTGGAATCTGCAGTTGGAAATTTCGATAGTTCTGAGGATTTCATTGGAAACGGGATTACAAATAGAAAGTAGACAGCAGCATTCTCAGAAACTGCTTTGTGATGTTTGCATTCAAGTCACCTAGTTGAACATTCCCTTTCATAGAGCAGGTTTGAATCACTGTTTCTGTCGTATCTGGAAGTGGATATTTCGAGCGTTTTCAGGCCTAAGGTGAGAAAGGAAATGTCTTCAAATAAGAACTAGACAGAAGCATTCTCAGAAACTTATTTGTGATGTGTGTCCTCAACTAACAGAGATGAACCTTTGTTTTGATACAGCAGTTTGGAAACACTCTTTTTGTAGAATCTACAAGAGGATATTTTGAGAGCATTGAAAATTTCGTTGGAAGCGGGAAAACCTTCATATAAAATCTAGACAGCAGCATTCTCAGAAACTTCTTTGTGATGTTTGCATTCAACTCATAGAGTTGAACATTCCCATTCATACAGCAGGTTTGAGACACTCTTTGTATAGCATGTGGAAATGGATATTTGGAGCGCTTTGAGGCCTATGGTGAAGAAGGAAATATCTTCCCAAAAAAACTAGACGAAAGCATTCTCGCAATCTTGTTTGCCATGTGTGTACTCAACTAACAGAGTTGAACCTATCTTTTGACAGAGCAGTTTTGAAACACTCTTTTTGTGGAATCTGCAAGTGGATATTTGGATAGCTTCGAGGATTTCGTTGGAAACGGGAATATCCTCATTTAAAATCTAGACGGAAGCATTCTCAGAACCTGCTTTGTGATGTTTGCATTCAACTCACAGAGCTGAACATTCCCGTTCATAGAGCAGGTTTGAAACACTCTTTCTGTACTATCTGGAAGTGGACATTTCGAGCGCTTTCAGGCCTATGGTGAAAAAGGAAACATCTTCAAATAAAAACTAGACAGAAGCATTCTCAGAAACTTATTTGTGATGTGTGTCCTCAACTCACAGAGTTCAACCTTTGTTTTGATACAGCAGTTTGGAAACACTCTTTTTGTAGAATCTACAAATGGATATTTGGAGACCTTTGAAAATTTCGTTGGACACGGGAATATCTTCATATAAAATCTAGACAAAAGCATTCTCAGAATCTTCTTTGTGATGTTTGCATTCAACTCATAGAGTTGAACATTCCCTTTCATACAGCACGTTTGAAACACACTTTGTGGAGTATGTGGAAATGGACATTTCGAGCACTCTTAGGCCTAAGGTGAAAAGGGAAATATCTTCAAATAAAAACTAGTCAGCAGCATTCTCAGAAACCTCTTTGTGATGTGTGTACTCAACTAACAGAGTTGAACCTTCCTTTTCACAGAGCAGTTTGGAAACACTCTTTTTGTGGCATTTGCAAGTGGATATTTGGATAGCTTTGAGGATTTCGTTGGAAACGGGAATATTTTCATATAAAATCTAGACAGAAGCATTCTCAGAATCTTCTTTGTGATGTATGCCCTCAATTCACAGAGTTGAACCTTTGTTTGGATACAGCATTTTGGAAACATTCCTTTTGCAGAATCTGCAAGTTGATATTTGGATAGCTTTGAGGATTTCGTTGGAAACGGGAATATCTACATATAAAATCTAGACAGAAGCATTCTCAGAAACCTCTTTGTAATGTTTGCATTCAACTCATAGGTTTCAACATTCCCTATCATAGAGCAGGTTTGAAACACTCTTTTTGTAGTATGTGGAAGTGGACATTTGGAGCGCTTTGAGGCCTACGGTGAAAAAGGAAATATCTTCCCATAAAAACTAGACAGAAGCATTCTCAGAAACTTGTTTGTGACGTGTGTATTCAACTAACAGAGTTGAACCTTTCTTTTTACAGAGCAGCTTTGAAACCCTGTTTCTGTGGAATCTGCAATTGGAAATTTCGATAGTTCTGAGGATTTCGTTGCAAACGGGATTACAAATAGAAAGTAGACAGCAGCATTCTCAGAAACTGCTTTGTGATGTTTGCATTCAAGTCACCTAGTTGAACATTCCCTTTCATAGAGCAGGTTTGAATCACAGTTTCTGTCGTATCTGGAAGTGGATATTTCGAGCGTTTTCAGGCCTAAGGTGAGAAAGGAAATGTCTTCAAATAAGAACTAGACAGAAGCATTCTCAGAAACTTATTTGTGATGTGTGTCCTCAACTAACAGAGATGAACCTTTGTTTTGATACAGCAGTTTGGAAACACTCTTTTTGTAGAATCTACAAGAGGATATTTTGAGAGCATTGAAAATTTCGTTGGAAGCGGGAAAACCTTCATATAAAATCTAGACAGCAGCATTCTCAGAAACTTCTTTGTGATGTTTGCATTCAACTCATAGAGTTGAACATTCCCATTCATACAGCAGGTTTGAGACACTCTTTGTATAGCATGTGGAAATGGATATTTGGAGCGCTTTGAGGCCTATGGTGAAGAAGGAAATATCTTCCCAAAAAAACTAGACGAAAGCATTCTCGCAATCTTGTTTGCCATGTGTGTACTCAACTAACAGAGTTGAACCTATCTTTTGACAGAGCAGTTTTGAAACACTCTTTTTGTGGAATCTGCAAGTGGATATTTGGATAGCTTCGAGGATTTCGTTGGAAACGGGAATATCCTCATTTAAAATCTAGACGGAAGCATTCTCAGAACCTGCTTTGTGATGTTTGCATTCAACTCACAGAGCTGAACATTCCCGTTCATAGAGCAGGTTTGAAACACTCTTTCTGTACTATCTGGAAGTGGACATTTCGAGCGCTTTCAGGCCTATGGTGAAAAAGGAAACATCTTCAAATAAAAACTAGACAGAAGCATTCTCAGAAACTTATTTGTGATGTGTGTCCTCAACTCACAGAGTTCAACCTTTGTTTTGATACAGCAGTTTGGAAACACTCTTTTTGTAGAATCTACAAATGGATATTTGGAGACCTTTGAAAATTTCGTTGGACACGGGAATATCTTCATATAAAATCTAGACAAAAGCATTCTCAGAATCTTCTTTGTGATGTTTGCATTCAACTCATAGAGTTGAACATTCCCTTTCATACAGCACGTTTGAAACACACTTTGTGGAGTATGTGGAAATGGACATTTCGAGCACTCTTAGGCCTAAGGTGAAAAGGGAAATATCTTCAAATAAAAACTAGTCAGCAGCATTCTCAGAAACCTCTTTGTGATGTGTGTACTCAACTAACAGAGTTGAACCTTCCTTTTCACAGAGCAGTTTGGAAACACTCTTTTTGTGGCATTTGCAAGTGGATATTTGGATAGCTTTGAGGATTTCGTTGGAAACGGGAATATTTTCATATAAAATCTAGACAGAAGCATTCTCAGAATCTTCTTTGTGATGTATGCCCTCAATTCACAGAGTTGAACCTTTGTTTGGATACAGCATTTTGGAAACATTCCTTTTGTAGAATCTGCAAGTTGATATTTGGATAGCTTTGAGGATTTCGTTGGAAACGGGAATATCTACATATAAAATCTAGACAGAAGCATTCTCAGAAACCTCTTTGTAATGCTTGCATTCAACTCATAGGTTTCAACATTCCCTATCATAGAGCAGGTTTGAAACACTCTTTTTGTAGTATGTGGAAGTGGACATTTGGAGCGCTTTGAGGCCTACGGTGAAAAAGGAAATATCTTCCCATAAAAACTAGACAGAAGCATTCTCAGAAACTTGTTTGTGACGTGTGTATTCAACTAACAGAGTTGAACCTTTCTTTTTACAGAGCAGCTTTGAAACACGCTTTTTGTGGAATCTGCAATTGGAAATTTCGATAGTTCTGAGGATTTCGTTGGAAACGGGATTACAAATAGAAAGTAGACAGCAGCATTCTCAGAAACTTATTTGTGATGTGTGTCCTCAACTAACAGAGTTGAACCTTTCTTTTGACACAGCAGTTTGGAAACACTCTTTTTGTAGAATCTACAAGTGGATATTTTGAGAGCATTGAAAATTTCGTTGGAAACGGGAAAACCTTCATATAAAATCTAGACAGAAGCATTCTCAGAAACTTCTTTGTAATGTTTGCATTCAACTCATAGAGTTGAACATTCCCTTTCATACAGCAGGTTTGAAACACTCTTTTTGTAGTATGTGGAAGTGGACATTTGGAGCGCTTTGAGGCCTACGGTGAAAAAGGAAATATCTTCCCATAAAAACTAGACAGAAGCATTCTCAGAAACTTGTTTGTGACGTGTGTATTCAACTAACAGAGTTGAACCTTTCTTTTTACAGAGCAGCTTTGAAACCCTGTTTCTGTGGAATCTGCAATTGGAAATTTCGATAGTTCTGAGGATTTCGTTGGAAACGGGATTACAAATAGAAAGTAGACAGCAGCATTCTCAGAAACTGCTTTGTGATGTTTGCATTCAAGTCACCTAGTTGAACATTCCCTTTCATAGAGCAGGTTTGAATCACTGTTTCTGTCGTATCTGGAAGTGGATATTTCGAGCGTTTTCAGGCCTAAGGTGAGAAAGGAAATGTCTTCAAATAAGAACTAGACAGAAGCATTCTCAGAAACTTATTTGTGATGTGTGTCCTCAACTAACAGAGATGAACCTTTGTTTTGATACAGCAGTTTGGAAACACTCTTTTTGTAGAATCTACAAGAGGATATTTTGAGAGCATTGAAAATTTCGTTGGAAGCGGGAAAACCTTCATATAAAATCTAGACAGAAGCATTCTCAGAAACTTCTTTGTGATGTTTGCATTCAACTCATAGAGTTGAACATTCCCATTCATACAGCAGGTTTGAGACACTCTTTGTATAGCATGTGGAAATGGATATTTGGAGCGCTTTGAGGCCTATGGTGAAGAAGGAAATATCTTCCCAAAAAAACTAGACGAAAGCATTCTCGCAATCTTGTTTGCCATGTGTGTACTCAACTAACAGAGTTGAACCTATCTTTTGACAGAGCAGTTTTGAAACACTCTTTTTGTGGAATCTGCAAGTGGATATTTGGATAGCTTCGAGGATTTCGTTGGAAACGGGAATATCCTCATTTAAAATCTAGACGGAAGCATTCTCAGAACCTGCTTTGTGATGTTTGCATTCAACTCACAGAGCTGAACATTCCCGTTCATAGAGCAGGTTTGAAACACTCTTTCTGTACTATCTGGAAGTGGACATTTCGAGCGCTTTCAGGCCTATGGTGAAAAAGGAAACATCTTCAAATAAAAACTAGACAGAAGCATTCTCAGAAACTTATTTGTGATGTGTGTCCTCAACTCACAGAGTTCAACCTTTGTTTTGATACAGCAGTTTGGAAACACTCTTTTTGTAGAATCTACAAATGGATATTTGGAGACCTTTGAAAATTTCGTTGGACACGGGAATATCTTCATATAAAATCTAGACAAAAGCATTCTCAGAATCTTCTTTGTGATGTTTGCATTCAACTCATAGAGTTGAACATTACCTTTCATACAGCACGTTTGAAACACACTTTGTGGAGTATGTGGAAATGGACATTTCGAGCACTCTTAGGCCTAAGGTGAAAAGGGAAATATCTTCAAATAAAAACTAGTCAGCAGCATTCTCAGAAACCTCTTTGTGATGTGTGTACTCAACTAACAGAGTTGAACCTTCCTTTTCACAGAGCAGTTTGGAAACACTCTTTTTGTGGCATTTGCAAGTGGATATTTGGATAGCTTTGAGGATTTCGTTGGAAACGGGAATATTTTCATATAAAATCTAGACAGAAGCATTCTCAGAATCTTCTTTGTGATGTATGCCCTCAATTCATAGAGTTGAACCTTTGTTTCGATACAGCATTTTGGAAACATTCCTTTTGTAGTATCTGCACGTTGATATTTGGATAGCTTTGAGGATTTCATTGCAAACGGGAATATCTACATATAAAATCTAGACAGAAGCATTCTCAGAAACCTCTTTGTAATGCTTGCATTCAACTCATAGGTTTCAACATTCCCTATCATAGAGCAGGTTTGAAACACTCTTTTTGTAGTATGTGGAAGTGGACATTTGGAGCGCTTTGAGGCCTACGGTGAAAAAGGAAATATCTTCCCATAAAAACTAGACAGAAGCATTCTCAGAAACTTGTTTGTGACGTGTGTATTCAACTAACAGAGTTGAACCTTTCTTTTTACAGAGCAGCTTTGAAACACGCTTTTTGTGGAATCTGCAATTGGAAATTTCGATAGTTCTGAGGATTTCGTTGGAAACGGGATTACAAATAGAAAGTAGACAGCAGCATTCTCAGAAACTTATTTGTGATGTGTGTCCTCAACTAACAGAGTTGAACCTTTCTTTTGACACAGCAGTTTGGAAACACTCTTTTTGTAGAATCTACAAGTGGATATTTTGAGAGCATTGAAAATTTCCTTGGAAACGGGAAAACCTTCATATAAAATCTAGACAGAAGCATTCTCAGCAAACTTCTTTGTAATGTTTGCATTCAACTCATAGAGTTGAACATTCCCTTTCATACAGCAGGTTTGAAAAACTCTTTTTGTAGTATGTGGACGTGGACATTTGGAGCGCTTTGAGGCCTACGGTGAAAAAGGAAATATCTTCCCATAAAAACTAGACAGAAGCATTCTCAGAAACTTGTTTGTGACGTGTGTATTCAACTAACAGAGTTGAACCTTTCTTTTTACAGAGCAGCTTTGAAACCCTGTTTCTGTGGAATCTGCAATTGGAAATTTCGATAGTTCTGAGGATTTCGTTGGAAACGGGATTACAAATAGAAAGTAGACAGCAGCATTCTCAGAAACTGCTTTGTGATGTTTGCATTCAAGTCACCTAGTTGAACATTCCCTTTCATAGAGCAGGTTTGAATCACTGTTTCTGTAGTATCTGGAAGTGGGTATTTCGAGCGCTTTCAGGCCTAAGGTGAGAAAGGAAATGTCTTCAAATAAGAACTAGACAGAAGCATTCTCAGAAACTTATTTGTGATGTGTGTCCTCAACTAACAGAGATGAACCTTTGTTTTGATACAGCAGTTTGGAAACACTCTTTTTGTGGAATCTACAAGAGGATATTTTGAGAGCATTGAAAATTTCGTTGGAAGCGGGAAAACCTTCATATAAAATCTAGACAGCAGCATTCTCAGAAACTTCTTTGTGATGTTTGCATTCAACTCATAGAGTTGAACATTCCCATTCATACAGCAGGTTTGAGACACTCTTTGTATAGCATGTGGAAATGGATATTTGGAGCGCTTTGAGGCCTATGGTGAAGAAGGAAATATCTTCCCAAAAAAACTAGACGAAAGCATTCTCGCAATCTTGTTTGCCATGTGTGTACTCAACTAACAGAGTTGAACCTATCTTTTGACAGAGCAGTTTTGAAACACTCTTTTTGTGGAATCTGCAAGTGGATATTTGGATAGCTTCGAGGATTTCGTTGGAAACGGGAATATCCTCATTTAAAATCTAGACGGAAGCATTCTCAGAACCTGCTTTGTGATGTTTGCATTCAACTCACAGAGCTGAACATTCCCGTTCATAGAGCAGGTTTGAAACACTCTTTCTGTACTATCTGGAAGTGGACATTTCGAGCGCTTTCAGGCCTATGGTGGAAATGGAAACATCTTCAAATAAAAACTAGACAGAAGCATTCTCAGAAACTTGTTTGTGATGTGACCTCAACTAACAGAGTTGAACCTTTGTTTTGATACAGCAGTTTAGAAACACTATTTTCGTAGAATCTACAAATGGATATTTGGAAACCTTTGAAAATTTCGTTGGACACGGGAAAATCTTCATATAAAATCTAGACAAAAGCATTCTCAGAATCTTCTTTGTGATGTTTTCACTCAACTCATAGAGTTGAACATTCCCTTTCATACAGCACGTTTTAAACTCACTTTGTGTAGTATGTGGAAATGGACATTTTGAGCGCTCTTAGGCCTAAGGTGAAAAGGGAAATATATTCAAGTAAAAACTAGTGAGGAGCATTCTCACAAACCCCTTTGTGATGTGTGTACTCAACTAACAGAGTTGAACATTCCTTTTGAGAGAGCAGTTTTGAAACACTCTTTTTGTAGAATTTGCAAGTGGATATTTGGATAGCTTTGAGAATTTCGTTGGAAACGGGAATATCTTCCTATAAAATATAGACAGAAGCATTCTCAGAATCTTCTTTGTGATGTATGCCCTCAATTCACAGAGCTGAACCTTTGTTTGGATACAGCATTTTGGAAACATTCCTTTTGTAGAATCTGCAAGTTGATATTTGGATAGCTTTGAGGATTTCGTTGGAAACGGGAATATCTACATATAAAATCTAGACAGAAGCATTCTCAGAAACCTCTTTGTAATGCTTGCATTCAACTCATAGGTTTCAACATTCCCTATCATAGAGCAGGTTTGAAACACTCTTTTTGTAGTATGTGGAAGTGGACATTTGGAGCGCTTTGAGGCCTACCGTGAAAAAGGAAATATCTTCCCATAAAAACTAGACAGAAGCATTCTCAGAAACTTGTTTGTGACGTGTGTATTCAACTAACAGAGTTGAACCTTTCTTTTTACAGAGCAGCTTTGAAACACGCTTTTTGTGGAATCTGCAATTGGAAATTTCGATAGTTCTGAGGATTTCGTTGGAAACGGGATTACAAATAGAAAGTAGACAGCAGCATTCTCAGAAACTTATTTGTGATGTGTGTCCTCAACTAACAGAGTTGAACCTTTCCTTTGACACAGCAGTTTGGAAACACTCTTTTTGTAGAATCTACAAGTGGATATTTTGAGAGCATTGAAAATTTCGTTGGAAACGGGAAAACCTTCATATAAAATCTAGACAGAAGCATTCTCAGAAACTTCTTTGTAATGTTTGCATTCAACTCATAGAGTTGAACATTCCCTTTCATACAGCAGGTTTGAAACACTCTTTTTGTAGTATGTGGACGTGGACATTTGGAGCGCTTTGAGGCCTACGGTGAAAAAGGAAATATCTTCCCATAAAAACTAGACAGAAGCATTCTCAGAAACTTGTTTGTGACGTGTGTATTCAACTAACAGAGTTGAACCTTTCTTTTTACAGAACAGCTTTGAAACCCTGTTTTGTGGAATCTGCAATTGGAAATTTCGATAGTTCTGAGGATTTCGTTGGAAACGGGATTACAAATAGAAAGTAGACAGCAGCATTCTCAGCAAACTGCTTTGTGATGTTTGCATTCAAGTCACATAGTTGAACATTCCCTTTCATAGAGCAGGTTTGAATCACTGTTTCTGTAGTATCTGGAAGTGGGTATTTCGAGCGCTTTCAGGCCTAAGGTGAGAAAGGAAATGTCTTCAAATAAGAACTAGACAGAAGCATTCTCAGAAACTTATTTGTGATGTGTGTCCTCACCTAACAGAGATGAACCTTTGTTTTGATACAGCAGTTTGGAAACACTCTTTTTGTAGAATCTACAAGAGGATATTTTGAGAGCATTGAAAATTTCGTTGGAAGCGGGAAAACCTTCATATAAAATCTAGACAGC